>NC_000015.10:18979946-19352600 GCF_000001405.40 Homo sapiens
AGCATTCTCAGAAACCTCTTTGTAATGCTTGCATTCAACTCATAGGTTTCAACATTCCCTATCATAGAGCAGGTTTGAAACACTCTTTTTGTAGTATGTGGAAGTGGACATTTGGAGCGCTTTGAGGCCTACGGTGAAAAAGGAAATATCTTCCCATAAAAACTAGACAGAAGCATTCTCAGAAACTTGTTTGTGACGTGTGTATTCAACTAACAGAGTTGAACCTTTTTTTTTACAGAGCAGCTTTGAAACCCTGTTTCTGTGGAATCTGCAATTGGAAATTTCGATAGTTCTGAGGATTTCGTTGGAAACGGGATTACAAATAGAAAGTAGACAGCAGCATTCTCAGAAACTGCTTTGTGATGTTTGCATTCAAGTCACATAGTTGAACATTCCCTTTCATAGAGCAGGTTTGAATCACTGTTTCTGTAGTATCTGGAAGTGGGTATTTCGAGCGCTTTCAAGCCTAAGGTGAGAAAGGAAATGTCTTCAAATAAGAACTAGACAGAAGCATTCTCAGAAACTTATTTGTGATGTGTGTCCTCAACTAACAGAGATGAACCTTTGTTTTGATACAGCAGTTTGGAAACACTCTTTTTGTAGAATCTACAAGAGGATATTTTGAGAGCATTGAAAATTTCGTTGGAAGCGGGAAAACCTTCATATAAAATCTAGACAGCAGCATTCTCAGAAACTTCTTTGTGATGTTTGCATTCAACTCATAGAGTTGAACATTCCCATTCATACAGCAGGTTTGAGACACTCTTTGTATAGCATGTGGAAATGGATATTTGGAGCGCTTTGAGGCCTATGGTGAAGAAGGAAATATCTTCCCAAAAAAACTAGACGAAAGCATTCTCGCAATCTTGTTTGCCATGTGTGTACTCAACTAACAGAGTTGAACCTATCTTTTGACAGAGCAGTTTTGAAACACTCTTTTTGTGGAATCTGCAAGTGGATATTTGGATAGCTTCGAGGATTTCGTTGGAAACGGGAATATCCTCATTTAAAATCTAGACGGAAGCATTCTCAGAACCTGCTTTGTGATGTTTGCATTCAACTCACAGAGCTGAACATTCCCGTTCATAGAGCAGGTTTGAAACACTCTTTCTGTACTATCTGGAAGTGGACATTTCGAGCGCTTTCAGGCCTATGGTGAAAAAGGAAACATCTTCAAATAAAAACTAGACAGAAGCATTCTCAGAAACTTATTTGTGATGTGTGTCCTCAACTCACAGAGTTCAACCTTTGTTTTGATACAGCAGTTTGGAAACACTCTTTTTGTAGAATCTACAAATGGATATTTGGAGACCTTTGAAAATTTCGTTGGACACGGGAATATCTTCATATAAAATCTAGACAAAAGCATTCTCAGAATCTTCTTTGTGATGTTTGCATTCAACTCATAGAGTTGAACATTCCCTTTCATACAGCACGTTTGAAACACACTTTGTGGAGTATGTGGAAATGGACATTTCGAGCACTCTTAGGCCTAAGGTGAAAAGGGAAATATCTTCAAATAAAAACTAGTCAGCAGCATTCTCAGAAACCTCTTTGTGATGTGTGTACTCAACTAACAGAGTTGAACCTTCCTTTTCACAGAGCAGTTTGGAAACACTCTTTTTGTGGCATTTGCAAGTGGATATTTGGATAGCTTTGAGGATTTCGTTGGAAACGGGAATATTTTCATATAAAATCTAGACAGAAGCATTCTCAGAATCTTCTTTGTGATGTATGCCCTCAATTCACAGAGTTGAACCTTTGTTTGGATACAGCATTTTGGAAACATTCCTTTTGTAGAATCTGCAAGTTGATATTTGGATAGCTTTGAAGATTTCGTTGGAAACGGGAATATCTACATATAAAATCTAGACAGAAGCATTCTCAGAAACCTCTTTGTAATGCTTGCATTCAACTCATAGGTTTCAACATTCCCTATCATAGAGCAGGTTTGAAACACTCTTTTTGTAGTATGTGGAAGTGGACATTTGGAGCGCTTTGAGGCCTACGGTGAAAAAGGAAATATCTTCCCATAAAAACTAGACAGAAGCATTCTCAGAAACTTGTTTGTGACGTGTGTATTCAACTAACAGAGTTGAACCTTTCTTTTTACAGAGCAGCTTTGAAACACGCTTTTTGTGGAATCTGCAATTGGAAATTTCGATAGTTCTGAGGATTTCGTTGGAAACGGGATTACAAATAGAAAGTAGACAGCAGCATTCTCAGAAACTGCTTTGTGATGTTTGCATTCAAGTCACCTAGTTGAACATTCCCTTTCATAGAGCAGGTTTGAATCACTGTTTCTGTCGTATCTGGAAGTGGATATTTCGAGCGTTTTCAGGCCTAAGGTGAGAAAGGAAATGTCTTCAAATAAGAACTAGACAGAAGCATTCTCAGAAACTTATTTGTGATGTGTGTCCTCAACTAACAGAGTTGAACCTTTCTTTTGACACAGCAGTTTGGAAACACTCTTTTTGTAGAATCTACAAGTGGATATTTTGAGAGCATTGAAAATTTCGTTGGAAACGGGAAAACCTTCATATAAAATCTAGACAGAAGCATTCTCAGAAACTTCTTTGTAATGTTTGCATTCAACTCATAGAGTTGAACATTCCCTTTCATACAGCAGGTTTGAAACACTCTTTTTGTAGTATGTGGACGTGGACATTTGGAGCGCTTTGAGGCCTACGGTGAAAAAGGAAATATCTTCCCATAAAAACTAGACAGAAGCATTCTCAGAAACTTGTTTGTGACGTGTGTATTCAACTAACAGAGTTGAACCTTTCTTTTTACAGAGCAGCTTTGAAACCCTGTTTCTGTGGAATCTGCAATTGGAAATTTCGATAGTTCTGAGGATTTCGTTGGAAACGGGATTACAAATAGAAAGTAGACAGCAGCATTCTCAGAAACTGCTTTGTGATGTTTGCATTCAAGTCACCTAGTTGAACATTCCCTTTCATAGAGCAGGTTTGAATCACTGTTTCTGTAGTATCTGGAAGTGGGTATTTCGAGCGCTTTCAGGCCTAAGGTGAGAAAGGAAATGTCTTCAAATAAGAACTAGACAGAAGCATTCTCAGAAACTTATTTGTGATGTGTGTCCTCAACTAACAGAGATGAACCTTTGTTTTGATACAGCAGTTTGGAAACACTCTTTTTGTAGAATCTACAAGAGGATATTTTGAGAGCATTGAAAATTTCGTTGGAAGCGGGAAAACCTTCATATAAAATCTAGACAGCAGCATTCTCAGAAACTTCTTTGTGATGTTTGCATTCAACTCATAGAGTTGAACATTCCCATTCATACAGCAGGTTTGAGACACTCTTTGTATAGCATGTGGAAATGGATATTTGGAGCGCTTTGAGGCCTATGGTGAAGAAGGAAATATCTTCCCAAAAAAACTAGACGAAAGCATTCTCGCAATCTTGTTTGCCATGTGTGTACTCAACTAACAGAGTTGAACCTATCTTTTGACAGAGCAGTTTTGAAACACTCTTTTTGTGGAATCTGCAAGTGGATATTTGGATAGCTTCGAGGATTTCGTTGGAAACGGGAATATCCTCATTTAAAATCTAGACGGAAGCATTCTCAGAACCTGCTTTGTGATGTTTGCATTCAACTCACAGAGCTGAACATTCCCGTTCATAGAGCAGGTTTGAAACACTCTTTCTGTACTATCTGGAAGTGGACATTTCGAGCGCTTTCAGGCCTATGGTGAAAAAGGAAACATCTTCAAATAAAAACTAGACAGAAGCATTCTCAGAAACTTATTTGTGATGTGTGTCCTCAACTCACAGAGTTCAACCTTTGTTTTGATACAGCAGTTTGGAAACACTCTTTTTGTAGAATCTACAAGAGGATATTTTGAGAGCTTTGAAAATTTCGTTGGAAGCGGGAAAACCTTCATATAAAATCTAGACAGCAGCATTCTCAGAAACTTCTTTGTGATGTTTGCATTCAACTCATAGAGTTGAACATTCCCATTCATACAGCAGGTTTGAGACACTCTTTGTATAGCATGTGGAAATGGATATTTGGAGCGCTTTGAGGCCTATGGTGAAGAAGGAAATATCTTCCCAAAAAAACTAGACGAAAGCATTCTCGCAATCTTGTTTGCCATGTGTGTACTCAACTAACAGAGTTGAACCTATCTTTTGACAGAGCAGTTTTGAAACACTCTTTTTGTGGAATCTGCAAGTGGATATTTGGATAGCTTCGAGGATTTCGTTGGAAACGGGAATATCCTCATTTAAAATCTAGACGGAAGCATTCTCAGAACCTGCTTTGTGATGTTTGCATTCAACTCACAGAACTGAACATTCCCGTTCATAGAGCAGGTTTGAAACACTCTTTCTGTACTATCTGGAAGTGGACATTTCGAGCGCTTTCAGGCCTATGGTGAAAAAGGAAACATCTTCAAATAAAAACTAGACAGAAGCATTCTCAGAAACTTATTTGTGATGTGTGTCCTCAACTCACAGAGTTCAACCTTTGTTTTGATACAGCAGTTTGGAAACACTCTTTTTGTAGAATCTACAAATGGATATTTGGAGACCTTTGAAAATTTCGTTGGACACGGGAATATCTTCATATAAAATCTAGACAAAAGCATTCTCAGAATCTTCTTTGTGATGTTTGCATTCAACTCATAGAGTTGAACATTCCCTTTCATACAGCACGTTTGAAACACACTTTGTGGAGTATGTGGAAATGGACATTTCGAGCACTCTTAGGCCTAAGGTGAAAAGGGAAATATCTTCAAATAAAAACTAGTCAGCAGCATTCTCAGAAACCTCTTTGTGATGTGTGTACTCAACTAACAGAGTTGAACCTTCCTTTTCACAGAGCAGTTTGGAAACACTCTTTTTGTGGCATTTGCAAGTGGATATTTGGATAGCTTTGAGGATTTCGTTGGAAACGGGAATATTTTCATATAAAATCTAGACAGAAGCATTCTCAGAATCTTCTTTGTGATGTATGCCCTCAATTCACAGAGTTGAACCTTTGTTTGGATACAGCATTTTGGAAACATTCCTTTTGTAGAATCTGCAAGTTGATATTTGGATAGCTTTGAGGATTTCGTTGGAAACGGGAATATCTACATATAAAATCTAGACAGAAGCATTCTCAGAAACCTCTTTGTAATGCTTGCATTCAACTCATAGGTTTCAACATTCCCTATCATAGAGCAGGTTTGAAACACTCTTTTTGTAGTATGTGGAAGTGGACATTTGGAGCGCTTTGAGGCCTACGGTGAAAAAGGAAATATCTTCCCATAAAAACTAGACAGAAGCATTCTCAGAAACTTGTTTGTGACGTGTGTATTCAACTAACAGAGTTGAACCTTTCTTTTTACAGAGCAGCTTTGAAACACGCTTTTTGTGGAATCTGCAATTGGAAATTTCGATAGTTCTGAGGATTTCGTTGGAAACGGGATTACAAATAGAAAGTAGACAGCAGCATTCTCAGAAACTGCTTTGTGATGTTTGCATTCAAGTCACCTAGTTGAACATTCCCTTTCATAGAGCAGGTTTGAATCACTGTTTCTGTCGTATCTGGAAGTGGATATTTCGAGCGTTTTCAGGCCTAAGGTGAGAAAGGAAATGTCTTCAAATAAGAACTAGACAGAAGCATTCTCAGAAACTTATTTGTGATGTGTGTCCTCAACTAACAGAGTTGAACCTTTCTTTTGACACAGCAGTTTGGAAACACTCTTTTTGTAGAATCTACAAGTGGATATTTTGAGAGCATTGAAAATTTCGTTGGAAACGGGAAAACCTTCATATAAAATCTAGACAGAAGCATTCTCAGAAACTTCTTTGTAATGTTTGCATTCAACTCATAGAGTTGAACATTCCCTTTCATACAGCAGGTTTGAAACACTCTTTTTGTAGTATGTGGACGTGGACATTTGGAGCGCTTTGAGGCCTACGGTGAAAAAGGAAATATCTTCCCATGAAAACTAGACAGAAGCATTCTCAGAAACTTGTTTGTGACGTGTGTATTCAACTAACAGAGTTGAACCTTTCTTTTTACAGAGCAGCTTTGAAACCCTGTTTCTGTGGAATCTGCAATTGGAAATTTCGATAGTTCTGAGGATTTCGTTGGAAACGGGATTACAAATAGAAAGTAGACAGCAGCATTCTCAGAAACTGCTTTGTGATGTTTGCATTCAAGTCACCTAGTTGAACATTCCCTTTCATAGAGCAGGTTTGAATCACTGTTTCTGTCGTATCTGGAAGTGGATATTTCGAGCGTTTTCAGGCCTAAGGTGAGAAAGGAAATGTCTTCAAATAAGAACTAGACAGAAGCATTCTCAGAAACTTATCTGTGATGTGTGTCCTCAACTAACAGAGTTGAACCTTTCTTTTGACACAGCAGTTTGAAAACACTCTTTTTGTAGAATCTACAAGTGGATATTTTGAGAGCATTGAAAATTTCGTTGGAAACGGGAAAACCTTCATATAAAATCTAGACAGAAGCATTCTCAGAAACTTCTTTGTAATGTTTGCATTCAACTCATAGAGTTGAACATTCCCTTTCATACAGCAGGTTTGAAAAACTCTTTTTGTAGTATGTGGAAGTGGACATTTGGAGCGCTTTGAGGCCTACGGTGAAAAAGGAAATATCTTCCCATAAAAACTAGACAGAAGCATTCTCAGAAACTTGTTTGTGACGTGTGTATTCAACTAACAGAGTTGAACCTTTCTTTTTACAGAGCAGCTTTGAAACCCTGTTTCTGTGGAATCTGCAATTGGAAATTTCGATAGTTCTGAGGATTTCGTTGGAAACGGGATTACAAATAGAAAGTAGACAGCAGCATTCTCAGAAACTGCTTTGTGATGTTTGCATTCAAGTCACATAGTTGAACATTCCCTTTCGTAGAGCAGGTTTGAATCACTGTTTCTGTAGTATCTGGAAGTGGGTATTTCGAGCGCTTTCAGGCCTAAGGTGAGAAAGGAAATGTCTTCAAATAAGAACTAGACAGAAGCATTCTCAGAAACTTATTTGTGATGTGTGTCCTCAACTAACAGAGATGAACCTTTGTTTTGATACAGCAGTTTGGAAACACTCTTTTTGTAGAATCTACAAGAGGATATTTTGAGAGCATTGAAAATTTCGTTGGAAGCGGGAAAACCTTCATATAAAATCTAGACAGCAGCATTCTCAGAAACTTCTTTGTGATGTTTGCATTCAACTCATAGAGTTGAACATTCCCATTCATACAGCAGGTTTGAGACACTCTTTGTATAGCATGTGGAAATGGATATTTGGAGCGCTTTGAGGCCTATGGTGAAGAAGGAAATATCTTCCCAAAAAAACTAGACGAAAGCATTCTCGCAATCTTGTTTGCCATGTGTGTACTCAACTAACAGAGTTGAACCTATCTTTTGACAGAGCAGTTTTGAAACACTCTTTTTGTGGAATCTGCAAGTGGATATTTGGATAGCTTCGAGGATTTCGTTGGAAACGGGAATATCCTCATTTAAAATCTAGACGGAAGCATTCTCAGAACCTGCTTTGTGATGTTTGCATTCAACTCACAGAGCTGAACATTCCCGTTCATAGAGCAGGTTTGAAACACTCTTTCTGTACTATCTGGAAGTGGACATTTCGAGCGCTTTCAGGCCTATGGTGAAAAAGGAAACATCTTCAAATAAAAACTAGACAGAAGCATTCTCAGAAACTTATTTGTGATGTGTGTCCTCAACTCACAGAGTTCAACCTTTGTTTTGATACAGCAGTTTGGAAACACTCTTTTTGTAGAATCTACAAATGGATATTTGGAGACCTTTGAAAATTTCGTTGGACACGGGAATATCTTCATATAAAATGCTAGACAAAAGCATTCTCAGAATCTTCTTTGTGATGTTTGCATTCAACTCATAGAGTTGAACATTCCCTTTCATACAGCACGTTTGAAACACACTTTGTGGAGTATGTGGAAATGGGCATTTCGAGCACTCTTAGGCCTAAGGTGAAAAGGGAAATATCTTCAAATAAAAACTAGTCAGCAGCATTCTCAGAAACCTCTTTGTGATGTGTGTACTCAACTAACAGAGTTGAACCTTCCTTTTCACAGAGCAGTTTGGAAACACTCTTTTTGTGGCATTTGCAAGTGGATATTTGGATAGCTTTGAGGATTTCGTTGGAAACGGGAATATTTTCATATAAAATCTAGACAGAAGCATTCTCAGAATCTTCTTTGTGATGTATGCCCTCAATTCACAGAGTTGAACCTTTGTTTGGATACAGCATTTTGGAAACATTCCTTTTGCAGAATCTGCAAGCTGATATTTGGATAGCTTTGAGGATTTCGTTGGAAACGGGAATATCTACATATAAAATCTAGACAGAAGCATTCTCAGAAACCTCTTTGTAATGCTTGCATTCAACTCATAGGTTTCAACATTCCCTATCATAGAGCAGGTTTGAAACACTCTTTTTGTAGTATGTGGAAGTGGACATTTGGAGCGCTTTGAGGCCTACCGTGAAAAAGGAAATATCTTCCCATAAAAACTAGACAGAAGCATTCTCAGAAACTTGTTTGTGACGTGTGTATTCAACTAACAGAGTTGAACCTTTCTTTTTACAGAGCAGCTTTGAAACCCTGTTTCTGTGGAATCTGCAATTGGAAATTTCGATAGTTCTGAGGATTTCGTTGGAAACGGGATTACAAATAGAAAGTAGACAGCAGCATTCTCAGAAACTGCTTTGTGATGTTTGCATTCAAGTCACCTAGTTGAACATTCCCTTTCATAGAGCAGGTTTGAATCACTGTTTCTGTCGTATCTGGAAGTGGATATTTCGAGCGTTTTCAGGCCTAAGGTGAGAAAGGAAATGTCTTCAAATAAGAACTAGACAGAAGCATTCTCAGAAACTTATTTGTGATGTGTGTCCTCAACTAACAGAGTTGAACCTTTCTTTTGACACAGCAGTTTGGAAACACTCTTTTTGTAGAATCTACAAGTGGATATTTTGAGAGCATTGAAAATTTCGTTGGAAACGGGAAAACCTTCATATAAAATCTAGACAGAAGCATTCTCAGAAACTTCTTTGTAATGTTTGCATTCAACTCATAGAGTTGAACATTCCCTTTCATACAGCAGGTTTGAAACACTCTTTTTGTAGTATGTGGACGTGGACATTTGGAGCGCTTTGAGGCCTACGGTGAAAAAGGAAATATCTTCCCATAAAAACTAGACAGAAGCATTCTCAGAAACTTGTTTGTGACGTGTGTATTCAACTAACAGAGTTGAACCTTTCTTTTTACAGAGCAGCTTTGAAACCCTGTTTCTGTGGAATCTGCAATTGTAAATTTCGATAGTTCTGAGGATTTCGTCGGAAACGGGATTACAAATAGAAAGTAGACAGCAGCATTCTCAGAAACTGCTTTGTGATGTTTGCATTCAAGTCACCTAGTTGAATATTCCCTTTCATAGAGCAGGTTTGAATCACTGTTTCTGTAGTATCTGGAAGTGGGTATTTCGAGCGCTTTCAGGCCTAAGGTGAGAAAGGAAATGTCTTCAAATAAGAACTAGACAGAAGCATTCTCAGAAACTTATTTGTGATGTGTGTCCTCAACTAACAGAGATGAACCTTTGTTTTGATACAGCAGTTTGGAAACACTCTTTTTGTAGAATCTACAAGAGGATATTTTGAGAGCATTGAAAATTTCGTTGGAAGCGGGAAAACCTTCATATAAAATCTAGACAGCAGCATTCTCAGAAACTTCTTTGTGATGTTTGCATTCAACTCATAGAGTTGAACATTCCCATTCATACAGCAGGTTTGAGACACTCTTTGTATAGCATGTGGAAATGGATATTTGGAGCGCTTTGAGGCCTATGGTGAAGAAGGAAATATCTTCCCAAAAAAACTAGACGAAAGCATTCTCGGAATCTTGTTTGCCATGTGTGTACTCAACTAACAGAGTTGAACCTATCTTTTGACAGAGCAGTTTTGAAACACTCTTTTTGTGGAATCTGCAAGTGGATATTTGGATAGCTTCGAGGATTTCGTTGGAAACGGGAATATCCTCATTTAAAATCTAGACGGAAGCATTCTCAGAACCTGCTTTGTGATGTTTGCATTCAACTCACAGAGCTGAACATTCCCGTTCATAGAGCAGGTTTGAAACACTCTTTCTGTACTATCTGGAAGTGGACATTTCGAGCGCTTTCAGGCCTATGGTGAAAAAGGAAACATCTTCAAATAAAAACTAGACAGAAGCATTCTCAGAAACTTATTTGTGATGTGTGTCCTCAACTCACAGAGTTCAACCTTTGTTTTGATACAGCAGTTTGGAAACACTCTTTATTTGGAGACCTTTGAAAATTTCGTTGGACACGGGAATATCTTCATATAAAATCTGGACAAAAGCATTCTCAGAATCTTCTTTGTGATGTTTGCATTCAACTCATAGAGTTGAACATTCCCTTTCATACAGCACGTTTGAAACACACTTTGTGGAGTATGTGGAAATGGACATTTCGAGCACTCTTAGGCCTAAGGTGAAAAGGGAAATATCTTCAAATAAAAACTAGTCAGCAGCATTCTCAGAAACCTCTTTATGATGTGTGTACTCAACTAACAGAGTTGAACCTTCCTTTTCACAGAGCAGTTTGGAAACACTCTTTTTGTGGCATTTGCAAGTGGATATTTGGATAGCTTTGAGGATTTCGTTGGAAACGGGAATATTTTCATATAAAATCTACACAGAAGCATTCTCAGAATCTTCTTTGTGATGTATGTCCTCAATTCACAGAGTTGAACCTTTGTTTGGATACAGCATTTTGGAAACATTCCTTTTGTAGAATCTGCAAGTTGATATTTGGATAGCTTTGAGGATTTCGTTGGAAACGGGAATATCTACATATAAAATCTAGACAGAAGCATTCTCAGAAACCTCTTTGTAATGCTTGCATTCAACTCATAGGTTTCAACATTCCCTATCATAGAGCAGGTTTGAAACACTCTTTTTGTAGTATGTGGAAGTGGACATTTGGAGCGCTTTGAGGCATACGGTGAAAAAGGAAATATCTTCCCATAAAAACTAGACAGAAGCATTCTCAGAAACTTGTTTGTGACGTGTGTATTCAACTAACAGAGATGAACCTTTCTTTTTACAGAGCAGCTTTGAAACACGCTTTTTGTGGAATCTGCAATTGGAAATTTCGATAGTTCTGAGGATTTCGTTGGAAACGGGATTACAAATAGAAAGTAGACAGCAGCATTGTCAGAAACTGCTTTGTGATGTTTGCATTCAAGTCACCTAGTTGAACATTCCCTTTCATAGAGCAGGTTTGAATCACTGTTTCTGTCGTATCTGGAAGTGGATATTTCGAGCGTTTTCAGGCCTAAGGTGAGAAAGGAAATGTCTTCAAATAAGAACTAGACAGAAGCATTCTCAGAAACTTATTTGTGATGTGTGTCCTCAACTAACAGAGTTGAACCTTTCTTTTGACACAGCAGTTTGGAAACACTCTTTTTGTAGAATCTACAAGTGGATATTTTGAGAGCATTGAAAATTTCGTTGGAAACGGGAAAACCTTCATATAAAATCTAGACAGAAGCATTCTCAGAAACTTCTTTGTAATGTTTGCATTCAACTCATAGAGTTGAACATTCCCTTTCATACAGCAGGTTTGAAACACTCTTTTTGTAGTATGTGGACGTGGACATTTGGAGCGCTTTGAGGCCTACGGTGAAAAAGGAAATATCTTCCCATAAAAACTAGACAGAAGCATTCTCAGAAACTTGTTTGTGACGTGTGTATTCAACTAACAGAGTTGAACCTTTCTTTTTACAGAGCAGCTTTGAAACCCTGTTTCTGTGGAATCTGCAATTGGAAATTTCGATAGTTCTGAGGATTTCGTTGGAAACGGGATTACAAATAGAAAGTAGACAGCAGCATTCTCAGAAACTGCTTTGTGATGTTTGCATTCAAGTCACCTAGTTGAACATTCCCTTTCATAGAGCAGGTTTGAATCACTGTTTCTGTCGTATCTGGAAGTGGGTATTTCGAGCGCATTCAGGCCTAAGGTGAGAAAGGAAATGTCTTCAAATAAGAACTAGACAGAAGCATTCTCAGAAACTTATTTGTGATGTGTGTCCTCAACTAACAGAGATGAACCTTTGTTTTGATACAGCAGTTTGGAAACACTCTTTTTGTAGAATCTACAAGAGGATATTTTGAGAGCATTGAAAATTTCGTTGGAAGCGGGAAAACCTTCATATAAAATCTAGACAGCAGCATTCTCAGAAACTTCTTTGTGATGTTTGCATTCAACTCATAGAGTTGAACATTCCCATTCATACAGCAGGTTTGAGACACTCTTTGTATAGCATGTGGAAATGGATATTTGGAGCGCTTTGAGGCCTATGGTGAAGAAGGAAATATCTTCCCAAAAAAACTAGACGAAAGCATTCTCGCAATCTTGTTTGCCATGTGTGTACTCAACTAACAGAGTTGAACCTATCTTTTGACAGAGCAGTTTTGAAACACTCTTTTTGTGGAATCTGCAAGTGGATATTTGGATAGCTTCGAGGATTTCGTTGGAAACGGGAATATCCTCATTTAAAATCTAGACGGAAGCATTCTCAGAACCTGCTTTGTGATGTTTGCATTCAACTCACAGAGCTGAACATTCCCGTTCATAGAGCAGGTTTGAAACACTCTTTCTGTACTATCTGGAAGTGGACATTTCGAGCGCTTTCAGGCCTATGGTGAAAAAGGAAACATCTTCAAATAAAAACTAGACAGAAGCATTCTCAGAAACTTATTTGTGATGTGTGTCCTCAACTCACAGAGTTCAACCTTTGTTTTGATACAGCAGTTTGGAAACACTCTTTTTGTAGAATCTACAAATGGATATTTGGAGACCTTTGAAAATTTCGTTGGACACGGGAATATCTTCATATAAAATCTAGACAAAAGCATTCTCAGAATCTTCTTTGTGATGTTTGCATTCAACTCATAGAGTTGAACATTCCCTTTCATACAGCACGTTTGAAACACACTTTGTGGAGTATGTGGAAATGGACATTTCGAGCACTCTTAGGCCTAAGGTGAAAAGGGAAATATCTTCAAATAAAAACTAGTCAGCAGCATTCTCAGAAACCTCTTTGTGATGTGTGTACTCAACTAACAGAGTTGAACCTTCCTTTTCACAGAGCAGTTTGGAAACACTCTTTTTGTGGCATTTGCAAGTGGATATTTGGATAGCTTTGAGGATTTCGTTGGAAACGGGAATATTTTCATATAAAATCTAGACAGAAGCATTCTCAGAATCTTCTTTGTGATGTATGCCCTCAATTCACAGAGTTCAACCTTTGTTTGGATACAGCATTTTGGAAACATTCCTTTTGTAGAATCTGCAAGTTGATATTTGGATAGCTTTGAGGATTTCGTTGGAAACGGGAATATCTACATATAAAATCTAGACAGAAGCATTCTCAGAAACCTCTTTGTAATGTTTGCATTCAACTCACAGGTTTCAACATTCCCTATCATAGAGCAGGTTTGAAACACTCTTTTTGTAGTATGTGGAAGTGGACATTTGGAGCGCTTTGAGGCCTACGGTGAAAAAGGAAATATCTTCCCATAAAAACTAGACAGAAGCATTCTCAGAAACTTGTTTGTGACGTGTGTATTCAACTAACAGAGTTGAACCTTTCTTTTTACAGAGCAGCTTTGAAACACGCTTTTTGTGGAATCTGCAATTGGAAATTTCGATAGTTCTGAGGATTTCGTTGGAAACGGGATTACAAATAGAAAGTAGACAGCAGCATTCTCAGAAACTGCTTTGTGATGTTTGCATTCAAGTCACCTAGTTGAACATTCCCTTTCATAGAGCAGGTTTGAATCACTGTTTCTGTCGTATCTGGAAGTGGATATTTCGAGCGTTTTCAGGCCTAAGGTGAGAAAGGAAATGTCTTCAAATAAGAACTAGACAGAAGCATTCTCAGAAACTTATTTGTGATGTGTGTCCTCAACTAACAGAGTTGAACCTTTCTTTTGACACAGCAGTTTGGAAACACTCTTTTTGTAGAATCTACAAGTGGATATTTTGAGAGCATTGAAAATTTCGTTGGAAACGGGAAAACCTTCATATAAAATCTAGACAGAAGCATTCTCAGAAACTTCTTTGTGATGTTTGCATTCAACTCATAGAGTTGAACATTCCCATTCATACAGCAGGTTTGAGACACTCTTTGTATAGCATGTGGAAATGGATATTTGGAGCGCTTTGAGGCCTATGGTGAAGAAGGAAATATCTTCCCAAAAAAACTAGACGAAAGCATTCTCGGAATCTTGTTTGCCATGTGTGTACTCAACTAACAGAGTTGAACCTATCTTTTGACAGAGCAGTTTTGAAACACTCTTTTTGTGGAATCTGCAAGTGGATATTTGGATAGCTTCGAGGATTTCGTTGGAAACGGGAATATCCTCATTTAAAATCTAGACGGAAGCATTCTCAGAACCTGCTTTGTGATGTTTGCATTCAACTCACAGAGCTGAACATTCCCGTTCATAGAGCAGGTTTGAAACACTCTTTCTGTACTATCTGGAAGTGGACATTTCGAGCGCTTTCAGGCCTATGGTGAAAAAGGAAACATCTTCAAATAAAAACTAGACAGAAGCATTCTCAGAAACTTATTTGTGATGTGTGTCCTCAACTCACAGAGTTCAACCTTTGTTTTGATACAGCAGTTTGGAAACACTCTTTTTGTAGAATCTACAAATGGATATTTGGAGACCTTTGAAAATTTCGTTGGACACGGGAATATCTTCATATAAAATCTAGACAAAAGCATTCTCAGAATCTTCTTTGTGATGTTTGCATTCAACTCATAGAGTTGAACATTCCCTTTCATACAGCACGTTTGAAACACACTTTGTGGAGTATGTGGAAATGGACATTTCGAGCACTCTTAGGCCTAAGGTGAAAAGGGAAATATCTTCAAATAAAAACTAGTCAGCAGCATTCTCAGAAACCTCTTTGTGATGTGTGTACTCAACTAACAGAGTTGAACCTTCCTTTTCACAGAGCAGTTTGGAAACACTCTTTTTGTGGCATTTGCAAGTGGATATTTGGATAGCTTTGAGGATTTCGTTGGAAACGGGAATATTTTCATATAAAATCTAGACAGAAGCATTCTCAGAATCTTCTTTGTGATGTATGCCCTCAATTCACAGAGTTGAACCTTTGTTTGGATACAGCATTTTGGAAACATTCCTTTTGTAGAATCTGCAAGTTGATATTTGGATAGCTTTGAGGATTTCGTTGGAAACGGGAATATCTACATATAAAATCTAGACAGAAGCATTCTCAGAAACCTCTTTGTAATGCTTGCATTCAACTCATAGGTTTCAACATTCCCTATCATAGAGCAGGTTTGAAACACTCTTTTTGTAGTATGTGGAAGTGGACATTTGGAGCGCTTTGAGGCCTACCGTGAAAAAGGAAATATCTTCCCATAAAAACTAGACAGAAGCATTCTCAGAAACTTGTTTGTGACGTGTGTATTCAACTAACAGAGTTGAACCTTTCTTTTTACAGAGCAGCTTTGAAACACGCTTTTTGTGGAATCTGCAATTGGAAATTTCGATGGTTCTGAGGATTTCGTTGGAAACGGGATTACAAATAGAAAGTAGACAGCAGCATTCTCAGAAACTGCTTTGTGATGTTTGCATTCAAGTCACCTAGTTGAACATTCCCTTTCATAGAGCAGGTTTGAATCACTGTTTCTGTAGTATCTGGAAGTGGGTGTTTCGAGCGCTTTCAGGCCTAAGGTGAGAAAGGAAATGTCTTCAAATAAGAACTAGACAGAAGCATTCTCAGAAACTTATTTGTGATGTGTGTCCTCAACTAACAGAGATGAACCTTTGTTTTGATACAGCAGTCTGGAAACACTCTTTTTGTAGAATCTACAAGGAGGATATTTTGAGAGCATTGAAAATTTCGTTGGAAGCGGGAAAACCTTCATATAAAATCTAGACAGCAGCATTCTCAGAAACTTCTTTGTGATGTTTGCATTCAACTCATAGAGTTGAACATTCCCATTCATACAGCAGGTTTGAGACACTCTTTGTATAGCATGTGGAAATGGATATTTGGAGCGCTTTGAGGCCTATGGTGAAGAAGGAAATATCTTCCCAAAAAAACTAGACGAAAGCATTCTCGGAATCTTGTTTGCCATGTGTGTACTCAACTAACAGAGTTGAACCTATCTTTTGACAGAGCAGTTTTGAAACACTCTTTTTGTGGAATCTGCAAGTGGATATTTGGATAGCTTTGAGGATTTCGTTGGAAACGGGAATATCCTCATTTAAAATCTAGACGGAAGCATTCTCAGAACCTGCTTTGTGATGTTTGCATTCAACTCACAGAGCTGAACATTCCCGTTCATAGAGCAGGTTTGAAACACTCTTTCTGTACTATCTGGAAGTGGACATTTCGAGCGCTTTCAGGCCTATGGTGAAAAAGGAAACATCTTCAAATAAAAACTAGACAGAAGCATTCTCAGAAACTTATTTGTGATGTGTGTCCTCAACTCACAGAGTTCAACTTTTGTTTTGATACAGCAGTTTGGAAACACTCTTTTTGTAGAATCTACAAATGGATATTTGGAGACCTTTGAAAATTTCGTTGGACACGGGAATATCTTCATATAAAATCTAGACAAAAGCATTCTCAGAGTCTTCTTTGTGATGTTTGCATTCAACTGATAGAGTTGAACATTCCCTTTCATACAGCACGTTTGAAACACACTTTGTGGAGTATGTGGAAATGGACATTTCGAGCACTCTTAGGCCTAAGGTGAAAAGGGAAATATCTTCAAATAAAAACTAGTCAGCAGCATTCTCAGAAACCTCTTTGTGATGTGTGTACTCAACTGAGTTGAACCTTCCTTTTCACAGAGCAGTTTGGAAACACTCTTTTTGTGGCATTTGCAAGTGGATATTTGGATAGCTTTGAGGATTTCGTTGGAAACGGGAATATTTTCATATAAAATCTAGACAGAAGCATTCTCAGAATCTTCTTTGTGATGTATTCCCTCAATTCACAGAGTTGAACCTTTGTTTGGATACAGCATTTTGGAAACATTCCTTTTGTAGAATCTGCAAGTTGATATTTGGATAGCTTTGAGGATTTCGTTGGAAACGGGAATATCTACATATAAAATCTAGACAGAAGCATTCTCAGAAACCTCTTTGTAATGCTTGCATTCAACTCATAGGTTTCAACATTCCCTATCATAGAGCAGGTTTGAAACACTCTTTTTGTAGTATGTGGAAGTGGACATTTGGAGCGCTTTGAGGCCTACGGTGAAAAAGGAAATATCTTCCCATAAAAACTAGACAGAAGCATTCTCAGAAACTTGTTTGTGACGTGTGTATTCAACTAACAGAGTTGAACCTTTCTTTTTACAGAGCAGCTTTGAAACACGCTTTTTGTGGAATCTGCAATTGGAAATTTCGATAGTTCTGAGGATTTCGTTGGAAACGGGATTACAAATAGAAAGTAGACAGCAGCATTCTCAGAAACTGCTTTGTGATGTTTGCATTCAAGTAACCTAGTTGAACATTCCCTTTCATAGAGCAGGTTTGAATCACTGTTTCTGTCGTATCTGGAAGTGGATATTTCGAGCGTTTTCAGGCCTAAGGTGAGAAAGGAAATGTCTTCAAATAAGAACTAGACAGAAGCATTCTCAGAAACTTATTTGTGATGTGTGTCCTCAACTAACAGAGATGAACCTTTGTTTTGATACAGCAGTTTGGAAACACTCTTTTTGTAGAATCTACAAGAGGATATTTTGAGAGCATTGAAAATTTCGTTGGAAGCGGGAAAACCTTCATATAAAATCTAGACAGCAGCATTCTCAGAAACTTCTTTGTGATGTTTGCATTCAACTCATAGAGTTGAACATTCCCATTCATACAGCAGGTTTGAGACACTCTTTGTATAGCATGTGGAAATGGATATTTGGAGCGCTTTGAGGCCTATGGTGAAGAAGGAAATATCTTCCCAAAAAAACTAGACGAAAGCATTCTCGGAATCTTGTTTGCCATGTGTGTACTCAACTAACAGAGTTGAACCTATCTTTTGACAGAGCAGTTTTGAAACACTCTTTCTGTGGAATCTGCAAGTGGATATTTGGATAGCTTCGAGGATTTCGTTGGAAACGGGAATATCCTCATTTAAAATCTAGACGGAAGCATTCTCAGAACCTGCTTTGTGATGTTTGCATTCAACTCACAGAGCTGAACATTCCTGTTCATAGAGCAGGTTTGAAACACTCTTTCTGTACTATCTGGAAGTGGACATTTCGAGCGCTTTCAGGCCTATGGTGAAAAAGGAAACATCTTCAAATAAAAACTAGACAGAAGCATTCTCAGAAACTTATTTGTGATGTGTGTCCTCAACTCACAGAGTTCAACCTTTGTTTTGATACAGCAGTTTGGAAACACTCTTTTTGTAGAATCTACAAATGGATATTTGGAGACCTTTGAAAATTTCATTGGACACGGGAATATCTTCATATAAAATCTAGACAAAAGCATTCTCAGAGTCTTCTTTGTGATGTTTGCATTCAACTCATAGAGTTGAACATTCCCTTTCATACAGCACGTTTGAAACACACTTTGTGGAGTATGTGGAAATGGACATTTCGAGCACTCTTAGGCCTAAGGTGAAAAGGGAAATATCTTTAAATAAAAACTAGTCAGCAGCATTCTCAGAAACCTCTTTGTGATGTGTGTACTCAACTAACAGAGTTGAACCTTCCTTTTCACAGAGCAGTTTGGAAACACTCTTTTTGTGGCATTTGCAAGTGGATATTTGGATAGCTTTGAGGATTTCGTTGGAAACGGGAATATTTTCATATAAAATCTAGACAGAAGCATTCTCAGAATCTTCTTTGTGATGTATGCCCTCAATTCACAGAGTTGAACCTTTGTTTGGATACAGCATTTTGGAAACATTCCTTTTGCAGAATCTGCAAGCTGATATTTGGATAGCTTTGAGGATTTCGTTGGAAACGGGAATATCTACATATAAAATCTAGACAGAAGCATTCTCAGAAACCTCTTTGTAATGCTTGCATTCAACTCATAGGTTTCAACATTCCCTATCATAGAGCAGGTTTGAAACACTCTTTTTGTAGTATGTGGAAGTGGACATTTGGAGCGCTTTGAGGCCTACGGTGAAAAAGGAAATATCTTCCCATAAAAACTAGACAGAAGCATTCTCAGAAACTTGTTTGTGACGTGTGTATTCAACTAACAGAGTTGAACCTTTCTTTTTACAGAGCAGCTTTGAAACACGCTTTTTGTGGAATCTGCAATTGGAAATTTCGATAGTTCTGAGGATTTCGTTGGAAACGGGATTACAAATAGAAAGTAGACAGCAGCATTCTCAGAAACTGCTTTGTGATGTTTGCATTCAAGTCACCTAGTTGAACATTCCCTTTCATAGAGCAGGTTTGAATCCCTGTTTCTGTCGTATCTGGAAGTGGATATTTCGAGCGTTTTCAGGCCTAAGGTGAGAAAGGAAATGTCTTCAAATAAGAACTAGACAGAAGCATTCTCAGAAACTTATTTGTGATGTGTGTCCTCAACTAACAGAGATGAACCTTTGTTTTGATACAGCAGTTTGGAAACACTCTTTTTGTAGAATCTACAAGAGGATATTTTGAGAGCATTGAAAATTTCTTTGGAAGCGGGAAAACCTTCATATAAAATCTAGACAGCAGCATTCTCAGAAACTTCTTTGTGATGTTTGCATTCAACTCATAGGAGTTGAACATTCCCATTCATACAGCAGGTTTGAGACACTCTTTGTATAGTATGTGGAAATGGATATTTGGCGCGCTTTGAGGCCTATGGTGAAGAAGGGAATATCTTCCCAAAAAAACTAGACGAAAGCATTCTCGCAATCTTGTTTGCCATGTGTGTTCTCAACTAACAGAGTTGAACCTATCTTTTGACAGAGCAGTTTTGAAACACTCTTTTTGTGGAATCTGCAAATGGATATTTGGATAGCTTCGAGGATTTCCTTGGAAACGGGAATATCCTCATATAAAATCTAGACGGAAGCATTCTCAGAACCTGCTTTGTGATGTTTGCATTCAACTCACAGAGCTGAACATTCCTGTTCATAGAGCAGGTTTGAAACACTCTTTCTGTACTATCTGGAAGGGGACATTTCGAGCGCTTTCAGGCCTATGGTGAAAAAGGAAATATCTTCAAATAAAAACTAGACAGAAGCATTCTCAGAAACTTATTTGTGATGTGTGTCCTCAACTCACAGAGTTCAACCTTTGTTTTGATACAGCAGTTTGGAAACACTCTTTTTGTAGAATCTACAAATGGATATTTGGAGACCATTGAAAATTTCGTTGGACACGGGAATATCTTCATATAAAATCTAGACAAAAGCATTCTCAGAATCTTCTTTGTGATGTTTGCATTCAACTCATAGAGTTGAACATTCCCTTTCATACAGCACGTTTGGAACACACTTTGTGGAGTATGTGGAAATGGACATTTCGAGCACTCTTAGGCCTAAGGTGAAAAGGGAAATATCTTCAAATAAAAACTAGCCAGCAGCATTCTCAGAAACCTCTTTGTGATGTGTGTACTCAACTAACAGAGTTGAACCTTCCTTTTCACAGAGCAGTTTGGAAACACTCTTTTTGTGGCATTTGCAAGTGGATATTTGGATAGCTTTGAGGATTTTGTTGGAAACGGGAATATTTTCATATAAAATCTAGACAGAAGCATTCTCAGAATCTTCTTTGTGATGTATGCCCTCAATTCACAGAGTTGAACCTTTGTTTGGATACAGCATTTTGGAAACATTCCTTTTGTAGAATCTGCAAGTTGATATTTGGATAGCTTTGAGGATTTCGTTGGAAACGGGAATATCTACATATAAAATCTAGACAGAAGCATTCTCAGAAACCTCTTTGTAATGCTTGCATTCAACTCATAGGTTTCAACATTCCCTATCATAGAGCAGGTTTGAAACACTCTTTTTGTAGTATGTGGAAGTGGACATTTGGAGCGCTTTGAGGCCTACCGTGAAAAAGGAAATATCTTCCCATAAAAACTAGACAGAAGCATTCTCAGAAACTTGTTTGTGACGTGTGTATTCAACTAACAGAGTTGAACCTTTCTTTTTACAGAGCAGCTTTGAAACCCTGTTTCTGTGGAATCTGCAAATGGAAATTTCGATAGTTCTGAGGATTTCGTTGGAAACGGGATTACAAATAGAAAGTAGACAGCAGCATTCTCAGAAACTGCTTTGTGATGTTTGCATTCAAGTCACCTAGTTGAACATTCCCTTTCATAGAACAGGTTTGAATCACTGTTTCTGTAGTATCTGGAAGTGGGTATTTCGAGCGCTTTCAGGCCTAAGGTGAGAAAGGAAATGTCTTCAAATAAGAACTAGACAGAAGCATTCTCAGAAACTTATTTGTGATGTGTGTCCTCAACTAACAGAGATGAACCTTTGTTTTGATACAGCAGTTTGGAAACACTCTTTTTGTAGAATCTACAAGAGGATATTTTGAGAGCATTGAAAATTTCGTTGGAAGCGGGAAAACCTTCATATAAAATCTAGACAGCAGCATTCTCAGAAACTTCTTTGTGATGTTTGCATTCAACTCATAGAGTTGAACATTCCCATTCATACAGCAGGTTTGAGACACTCTTTGTATAGCATGTGGAAATGGATATTTGGAGCGCTTTGAGGCCTATGGTGAAGAAGGAAATATCTTCCCCAAAAAACTAGACGAAAGCATTCTCGGAATCTTGTTTGCCATGTGTGTACTCAACTAACGGAGTTGAACCTATCTTTTGACAGAGCAGTTTTGAAACACTCTTTTTGTGGAATCTGCAAGTGGATATTTGGATAGCTTCGAGGATTTCGTTGGAAACGGGAATATCCTCATTTAAAATCTAGACGGAAGCATTCTCAGAACCTGCTTTGTGATGTTTGCATTCAACTCACAGAGCTGAACATTCCCGTTCATAGAGCAGGTTTGAAACACTCTTTCTGCACTATCTGGAAGTGGACATTTCGAGCGCTTTCAGGCCTATGGTGAAAAAGGAAACATCTTCAAATAAAAACTAGACAGAAGCATTCTCAGAAACTTATTTGTGATGTGTGTCCTCAACTCACAGAGTTCAACCTTTGTTTTGATACAGCAGTTTGGAAACACTCTTTTTGTAGAATCTACAAATGGATATTTGGAGACCTTTGAAAATTTCGTTGGACACGGGAATATCTTCATATAAAATGCTAGACAAAAGCATTCTCAGAATCTTCTTTGTGATGTTTGCATTCAACTCATAGAGTTGAACATTCCCTTTCATACAGCACGTTTGAAACACACTTTGTGGAGTATGTGGAAATGGGCATTTCGAGCACTCTTAGGCCTAAGGTGAAAAGGGAAATATCTTCAAATAAAAACTAGTCAGCAGCATTCTCAGAAACCTCTTTGTGATGTGTGTACTCAACTAACAGAGTTGAACCTTCCTTTTCACAGAGCAGTTTGGAAACACTCTTTTTGTGGCATTTGCAAGTGGATATTTGGATAGCTTTGAGGATTTCGTTGGAAACGGGAATATTTTCATATAAAATCTAGACAGAAGCATTCTCAGAATCTTCTTTGTGATGTATGCCCTCAATTCACAGAGTTGAACCTTTGTTTGGATACAGCATTTTGGAAACATTCCTTTTGCAGAATCTGCAAGCTGATATTTGGATAGCTTTGAGGATTTCGTTGGAAACGGGAATATCTACATATAAAATCTAGACAGAAGCATTCTCAGAAACCTCTTTGTAATGCTTGCATTCAACTCATAGGTTTCAACATTCCCTATCATAGAGCAGGTTTGAAACACTCTTTTTGTAGTATGTGGAAGTGGACATTTGGAGCGCTTTGAGGCCTACGGTGAAAAAGGAAATATCTTCCCATAAAAACTAGACAGAAGCATTCTCAGAAACTTGTTTGTGACGTGTGTATTCAACTAACAGAGTTGAACCTTTCTTTTTACAGAGCAGCTTTGAAACACGCTTTTTGTGGAATCTGCAATTGGAAATTTCGATAGTTCTGAGGATTTCGTTGGAAACGGGATTACAAATAGAAAGTAGACAGCAGCATTCTCAGAAACTGCTTTGTGGATGTTTGCATTCAAGTCACCTAGTTGAACATTCCCTTTCATAGAGCAGGTTTGAATCACTGTTTCTGTCGTATCTGGAAGTGGATATTTCGAGCGTTTTCAGGCCTAAGGTGAGAAAGGAAATGTCTTCAAATAAGAACTAGACAGAAGCATTCTCAGAAACTTATTTGTGATGTGTGTCCTCAACTAACAGAGTTGAACCTTTCTTTTGACACAGCAGTTTGGAAACACTCTTTTTGTAGAATCTACAAGTGGATATATTGAGAGCATTGAAAATTTCGTTGGAAACAGGAAAACCTTCATATAAAATCTAGACAGAAGCATTCTCAGAAACTTCTTTGTAATGTTTGCATTCGACTCATAGAGTTGAACATTCCCTTTCATACAGCAGGTTTGAAACACTCTTTTTGTAGTATGTGGAAGTGGACATTTGGAGCGCTTTGAGGCCTACGGTGAAAAAGGAAATATCTTCCCATAAAAACTAGACAGAAGCATTCTCAGAAACTTGTTTGTGACGTGTGTATTCAACTAACAGAGTTGAACCTTTCTTTTTACAGAGCAGCTTTGAAACCCTGTTTCTGTGGAATCTGCAATTGGAAATTTCGATAGTTCTGAGGATTTCGTTGGAAACGGGATTACAAATAGAAAGTAGACAGCAGCATTCTCAGAAACTGCTTTGTGATGTTTGCATTCAAGTCACATAGTTGAACATTCCCTTTCATAGAGCAGGTTTGAATCACTGTTTCTGTCGTATCTGGAAGTGGGTATTTCGAGCGCTTTCAGGCCTAAGGTGAGAAAGGAAATGTCTTCAAATAAGAACTAGACAGAAGCATTCTCAGAAACTTATTTGTGATGTGTGTCCTCAACTAACAGAGATGAACCTTTGTTTTGATACAGCAGTTTGGAAACACTCTTTTTGTAGAATCTACAAGAGGATATTTTGAGAGCATTGAAAATTTCGTTGGAAGCGGGAAAACCTTCATATAAAATCTAGACAGCAGCATTCTCAGAAACTTCTTTGTGATGTTTGCATTCAACTCATAGAGTTGAACATTCCCATTCATACAGCAGGTTTGAGACACTCTTTGTATAGCATGTGGAAATGGATATTTGGAGCGCTTTGAGGCCTATGGTGAAGAAGGAAATATCTTCCCAAAAAAACTAGACGAAAGCATTCTCGGAATCTTGTTTGCCATGTGTGTACTCAACTAACAGAGTTGAACCTATCTTTTGACAGAGCAGTTTTGAAACACTCTTTTTGTGGAATCTGCAAGTGGATATTTGGATAGCTTCGAGGATTTCGTTGGAAACGGGAATATCCTCATTTAAAATCTAGACGGAAGCATTCTCAGAACCTGCTTTGTGATGTTTGCATTCAACTCACAGAGCTGAACATTCCCGTTCATAGAGCAGGTTTGAAACACTCTTTCTGTACTATCTGGAAGTGGACATTTCGAGCGCTTTCAGGCCTATGGTGAAAAAGGAAACATCTTCAAATAAAAACTAGACAGAAGCATTCTCAGAAACTTATTTGTGATGTGTGTCCTCAACTCACAGAGTTCAACCTTTGTTTTGATACAGCAGTTTGGAAACAATCTTTATTTGGAGACCTTTGAAAATTTCGTTGGACACGGGAATATCTTCATATAAAATCTAGACAAAAGCATTCTCAGAATCTTCTTTGTGATGTTTGCATTCAACTCATAGAGTTGAACATTCCCTTTCATACAGCACGTTTGAAACACACTTTGTGGAGTATGTGGAAATGGACATTTCGAGCACTCTTAGGCCTAAGGTGAAAAGGGAAATATCTTCAAATAAAAACTAGTCAGCAGCATTCTCAGAAACCTCTTTGTGATGTGTGTACTCAACTAACAGAGTTGAACCTTCCTTTTCACAGAGCAGTTTGGAAACACTCTTTTTGTGGCATTTGCAAGTGGATATTTGGATAGCTTTGAGGATTTCGTTGGAAACGGCAATATTTTCATATAAAATCTAGACAGAAGCATTCTCAGAATCTTCTTTGTGATGTATTCCCTCAATTCACAGAGTTGAACCTTTGTTTGGATACAGCATTTTGGAAACATTCCTTTTGTAGAATCTGCAAGTTGATATTTGGATAGCTTTGAGGATTTCGTTGGAAACGGGAATATCTACATATAAAATCTAGACAGAAGCATTCTCAGAAACCTCTTTGTAATGCTTGCATTCAACTCATAGGTTTCAACATTCCCTATCATAGAGCAGGTTTGAAACACTCTTTTTGTAGTATGTGGAAGTGGACATTTGGAGCGCTTTGAGGCCTACGGTGAAAAAGGAAATATCTTCCCATAAAAACTAGACAGAAGCATTCTCAGAAACTTGTTTGTGACGTGTGTATTCAACTAACAGAGTTGAACCTTTCTTTTTACAGAGCAGCTTTGAAACACGCTTTTTGTGGAATCTGCAATTGGAAATTTCGATAGTTCTGAGGATTTCGTTGGAAACGGGATTACAAATAGAAAGTAGACAGCAGCATTCTCAGAAACTGCTTTGTGATG
This sequence comes from Homo sapiens, assembly GCF_000001405.40. Lineage (NCBI taxonomy): Eukaryota > Metazoa > Chordata > Mammalia > Primates > Hominidae > Homo > Homo sapiens. The sequence continues at coordinate 19,005,682 of NC_000015.10, forward strand.
TTTGCATTCAAGTCACCTAGTTGAACATTCCCTTTCATAGAGCAGGTTTGAATCACTGTTTCTGTCGTATCTGGAAGTGGATATTTCGAGCGTTTTCAGGCCTAAGGTGAGAAAGGAAATGTCTTCAAATAAGAACTAGACAGAAGCATTCTCAGAAACTTATTTGTGTTGTGTGTCCTCAACTAACAGAGTTGAACCTTTCTTTTGACACAGCAGTTTGGAAACACTCTTTTTGTAGAATCTACAAGTGGATATTTTGAGAGCATTGAAAATTTCGTTGGAAACGGGAAAACCTTCATATAAAATCTAGACAGAAAGCATTCTCAGAAACTTCTTTGTAATGTTTGCATTCAACTCATAGGAGTTGAACATTCCCTTTCATACAGCAGGTTTGAAACACTCTTTTTGTAGTATGTGGACGTGGACATTTGGAGCGCTTTGAGGCCTACGGTGAAAAAGGAAATATCTTCCCATAAAAACTAGACAGAAGCATTCTCAGAAACTTGTTTGTGACGTGTGTATTCAACTAACAGAGTTGAACCTTTCTTTTTACAGAGCAGCTTTGAAACCCTGTTTCTGTGGAATCTGCAATTGGAAATTTCGATAGTTCTGAGGATTTCGTTGGAAACGGGATTACAAATAGAAAGTAGACAGCAGCATTCTCAGAAACTGCTTTGTGATGTTTGCATTCAAGTCACATAGTTGAACATTCCCTTTCATAGAGCAGGTTTGAATCACTGTTTCTGTAGTATCTGGAAGTGGGTATTTCGAGCGCTTTCAGGCCTAAGGTGAGAAAGGAAATGTCTTCAAATAAGAACTAGACAGAAGCATTCTCAGAAACTTATTTGTGATGTGTGTCCTCAACTAACAGAGATGAACCTTTGTTTTGATACAGCAGTTTGGAAACACTCTTTTTGTAGAATCTACAAGAGGATATTTTGAGAGCATTGAAAATTTCGTTGGAAGCGGGAAAACCTTCATATAAAATCTAGACAGCAGCATTCTCAGAAACTTCTTTGTGATGTTTGCATTCAACTCATAGAGTTGAACATTCCCATTCATACAGCAGGTTTGAGACACTCTTTGTATAGCATTTGGAAATGGATATTTGGAGCGCTTTGAGGCCTATGGTGAAGAAGGAAATATCTTCCCAAAAAAACTAGACGAAAGCATTCTCGGAATCTTGTTTGCCATGTGTGTACTCAACTAACAGAGTTGAACCTATCTTTTGACAGAGCAGTTTTGAAACACTCTTTTTGTGGAATCTGCAAGTGGATATTTGGATAGCTTCGAGGATTTCGTTGGAAACGGGAATATCCTCATTTAAAATCTAGACGGAAGCATTCTCAGAACCTGCTTTGTGATGTTTGCATTCAACTCACAGAGCTGAACATTCCCGTTCATAGAGCAGGTTTGAAACACTCTTTCTGTACTATCTGGAAGTGGACATTTCGAGCGCTTTCAGGCCTATGGTGAAAAAGGAAACATCTTCAAATAAAAACTAGACAGAAGCATTCTCAGAAACTTATTTGTGATGTGTGTCCTCAACTCACAGAGTTCAACCTTTGTTTTGATACAGCAGTTTGGAAACACTCTTTTTGTAGAATCTACAAATGGATATTTGGAGACCTTTGAAAATTTCGTTGGACACGGGAATATCTTCATATAAAATCTAGACAAAAGCATTCTCAGAATCTTCTTTGTGATGTTTGCATTCAACTCATAGAGTTGAACATTCCCTTTCATACAGCACGTTTGAAACACACTTTGTGGAGTATGTGGAAATGGACATTTCGAGCACTCTTAGGCCTAAGGTGAAAAGGGAAATATCTTCAAATAAAAACTAGTCAGCAGCATTCTCAGAAACCTCTTTGTGATGTGTGTACTCAACTAACAGAGTTGAACCTTCCTTTTCACAGAGCAGTTTGGAAACACTCTTTTTGTGGCATTTGCAAGTGGATATTTGGATAGCTTTGAGGATTTCGTTGGAAACGGGAATATTTTCATATAAAATCTAGACAGAAGCATTCTCAGAATCTTCTTTGTGATGTATGCCCTCAATTCACAGAGTTGAACCTTTGTTTGGATACAGCATTTTGGAAACATTCCTTTTGTAGAATCTGCAAGTTGATATTTGGATAGCTTTGAGGATTTCGTTGGAAACGAGAATATCTACATATAAAATCTAGACAGAAGCATTCTCAGAAACCTCTTTGTAATGCTTGCATTCAACTCATAGGTTTCAACATTCCCTATCATAGAGCAGGTTTGAAACACTCTTTTTGTAGTATGTGGAAGTGGACATTTGGAGCGCTTTGAGGCCTACGGTGAAAAAGGAAATATCTTCCCATAAAAACTAGACAGAAGCATTCTCAGAAACTTGTTTGTGACGTGTGTATTCAACTAACAGAGTTGAACCTTTCTTTTTACAGAGCAGCTTTGAAAACCTGTTTCTGTGGAATCTGCAATTGGAAATTTCGATAGTTCTGAGGATTTCGTTGGAAACGGGATTACAAATAGAAAGTAGACAGCAGCATTCTCAGAAACTGCTTTGTGATGTTTGCATTCAAGTCACATAGTTGAACATTCCCTTTCATAGAGCAGGTTTGAATCACTGTTTCTGTAGTATCTGGAAGTGGGTATTTCGAGCGCTTTCAGGCCTAAGGTGAGAAAGGAAATGTCTTCAAATAAGAACTAGACAGAAGCATTCTCAGAAACTTATTTGTGATGTGTGTCCTCAACTAACAGAGATGAACCTTTGTTTTGATACAGCAGTTTGGAAACACTCTTTTTGTAGAATCTACAAGAGGATATTTTGAGAGCATTGAAAATTTCGTTGGAAGCGGGAAAACCTTCATATAAAATCTAGACAGCAGCATTCTCAGTAAACTTCTTTGTGATGTTTGCATTCAACTCATAGAGTTGAACATTCCCATTCATACAGCAGGTTTGAGACACTCTTTGTATAGCATGTGGAAATGGATATTTGGAGCGCTTTGAGGTCTATGGTGAAGAAGGAAATATCTTCCCAAAAAAACTAGACGAAAGCATTCTCGGAATCTTGTTTGCCATGTGTGTACTCAACTAACAGAGTTGAACCTATCTTTTGACAGAGCAGTTTTGAAACACTCTTTTTGTGGAATCTGCAAGTGGATATTTGGATAGCTTCGAGGATTTCGTTGGAAACGGGAATATCCTCATTTAAAATCTAGACGGAAGCATTCTCGGAACCTGCTTTGTGATGTTTGCATTCAACTCACAGAGCTGAACATTCCCGTTCATAGAGCAGGTTTGAAACACTCTTTCTGTACTATCTGGAAGTGGACATTTCGAGCGCTTTCAGGCCTATGGTGAAAAAGGAAACATCTTCAAATAAAAACTAGACAGAAGCATTCTCAGAAACTTATTTGTGATGTGTGTCCTCAACTCACAGAGTTCAACCTTTGTTTTGATACAGCAGTTTGGAAACACTCTTTTTGTAGAATCTACAAATGGATATTTGGAGACCTTTGAAAATTTCGTTGGACACGGGAATATCTTCATATAAAATCTAGACAAAAGCATTCTCAGAGTCTTCTTTGTGATGTTTGCATTCAACTCATAGAGTTGAACATTCCCTTTCATACAGCACGTTTGAAACACACTTTGTGGAGTATGTGGAAATGGACATTTCGAGCACTCTTAGGCCTAAGGTGAAAAGGGAAATATCTTCAAATAAAAACTAGTCAGCAGCATTCTCAGAAACCTCTTTGTGATGTGTGTACTCAACTAACAGAGTTGAACCTTCCTTTTCACAGAGCAGTTTGGAAACACTCTTTTTGTGGCATTTGCAAGTGGATATTTGGATAGCTTTGAGGATTTCGTTGGAAACGGGAATATTTTCATATAAAATGCTAGACAGAAGCATTCTCAGGAATCTTCTTTGTGATGTATGCCCTCAATTCACAGAGTTGAACCTTTGTTTGGATACAGCATTTTGGAAACATTCCTTTTGTAGAATCTGCAAGTTGATATTTGGATAGCTTTGAGGATTTCGTTGGAAACGGGAATATCTACATATAAAATCTAGACAGAAGCATTCTCAGAAACCTCTTTGTAATGCTTGCATTCAACTCATAGGTTTCAACATTCCCTATCATAGAGCAGGTTTGAAACACTCTTTTTGTAGTATGTGGAAGTGGACATTTGGAGCGCTTTGAGGCCTACCGTGAAAAAGGAAATATCTTCCCATAAAAACTAGACAGAAGCATTCTCAGAAACTTGTTTGTGACGTGTGTATTCAACTAACAGAGTTGAACCTTTCTTTTTACAGAGCAGCTTTGAAACACGCTTTTTGTGGAATCTGCAATTGGAAATTTCGATAGTTCTGAGGATTTCGTTGGAAACGGGATTACAAATAGAAAGTAGACAGCAGCATTCTCAGAAACTGCTTTGTGATGTTTGCATTCAAGTCACCTAGTTGAACATTCCCTTTCATAGAGCAGGTTTGAATCACTGTTTCTGTCGTATCTGGAAGTGGATATTTCGAGCGTTTTCAGGCCTAAGGTGAGAAAGGAAATGTCTTCAAATAAGAACTAGACAGAAGCATTCTCAGAAACTTATTTGTGATGTGTGTCCTCAACTAACAGAGTTGAACCTTTCTTTTGACACAGCAGTTTGGAAACACTCTTTTTGTAGAATCTACAAGTGGATATTTTGAGAGCATTGAAAATTTCGTTGGAAACGGGAAAACCTTCATATAAAATCTAGACAGAAGCATTCTCAGAAACTTCTTTGCAATGTTTGCATTCAACTCATAGAGTTGAACATTCCCTTTCATACAGCAGGTTTGAAACACTCTTTTTGTAGTATGTGGAAGTGGACATTTGGAGCGCTTTGAGGCCTACGGTGAAAAAGGAAATATCTTCCCATAAAAACTAGACAGAAGCATTCTCAGAAACTTGTTTGTGACGTGTGTATTCAACTAACAGAGTTGAACCTTTCTTTTTACAGAGCAGCTTTGAAACCCTGTTTCTGTGGAATCTGCAATTGGAAATTTCGATAGTTCTGAGGATTTCGTTGCAAACGGGATTACAAATAGAAAGTAGACAGCAGCATTCTCAGAAACTGCTTTGTGGATGTTTGCATTCAAGTCACCTAGTTGAACATTCCCTTTCATAGAGCAGGTTTGAATCACTGTTTCTGTCGTATCTGGAAGTGGATATTTCGAGCGTTTTCAGGCCTAAGGTGAGAAAGGAAATGTCTTCAAATAAGAACTAGACAGAAGCATTCTCAGAAACTTATTTGTGATGTGTGTCCTCAACTAACAGAGTTGAACCTTTCTTTTGACACAGCAGTTTGGAAACACTCTTTTTGTAGAATCTACAAGTGGATATTTTGAGAGCATTGAAAATTTCGTTGGAAACGGGAAAACCTTCATATAAAATCTAGACAGAAGCATTCTCAGAAACTTCTTTGTAATGTTTGCATTCAACTCATAGAGTTGAACATTCCCTTTCATACAGCAGGTTTGAAACACTCTTTTTGTAGTATGTGGACGTGGACATTTGGAGCGCTTTGAGGCCTACGGTGAAAAAGGAAATATCTTCCCATAAAAACTAGACAGAAGCATTCTCAGAAACTTGTTTGTGACGTGTGTATTCAACTAACAGAGTTGAACCTTTCTTTTTACAGAGCAGCTTTGAAACCCTGTTTCTGTGGAATCTGCAATTGGAAATTTCGATAGTTCTGAGGATTTCGTTGGAAACGGGATTACAAATAGAAAGTAGACAGCAGCATTCTCAGAAACTGCTTTGTGATGTTTGCATTCAAGTCACCTAGTTGAACATTCCCTTTCATAGAGCAGGTTTGAATCACTGTTTCTGTAGTATCTGGAAGTGGGTATTTCGAGCGCTTTCAGGCCTAAGGTGAGAAAGGAAATGTCTTCAAATAAGAACTAGACAGAAGCATTCTCAGAAACTTATTTGTGATGTGTGTCCTCAACTAACAGAGTTGAACCTTTCTTTTGACACAGCAGTTTGGAAACACTCTTTTTGTAGAATCTACAAGTGGATATTTTGAGAGCATTGAAAATTTCGTTGGAAACGGGAAAACCTTCATATAAAATCTAGACAGAAGCATTCTCAGAAACTTCTTTGTAATGTTTGCATTCAACTCATAGAGTTGAACATTCCCTTTCATACAGCAGGTTTGAAACACTCTTTTTGTAGTATGTGGAAGTGGACATTTGGAGCGCTTTGAGGCCTACGGTGAAAAAGGAAATATCTTCCCATAAAAACTAGACAGAAGCATTCTCAGAAACTTGTTTGTGACGTGTGTATTCAACTAACAGAGTTGAACCTTTCTTTTTACAGAGCAGCTTTGAAACCCTGTTTCTGTGGAATCTGCAATTTGAAACTTCGATAGTTCTGAGGATTTCGTTGGAAACGGGATTACAAATACAAAGTAGACAGCAGCATTCTCAGAAACTGCTTTGTGATGTTTGCATTCAAGTCACATTGTTGAACATTCCCTTTCATAGAGCAGGTTTGAATCACTGTTTCTGTAGTATCTGGAAGTGGGTATTTCGAGCGCTTTCAGGCCTAAGGTGAGAAAGGAAATGTCTTCAAATAAGAACTAGACAGAAGCATTCTCAGAAACTTATTTGTGATGTGTGTCCTCAACTAACAGAGATGAACCTTTGTTTTGATACAGCAGTTTGGAAACACTCTTTTTGTAGAATCTACAAGAGGATATTTTGAGAGCATTGAAAATTTCGTTGGAAGCGGGAAAACCTTCATATAAAATCTAGACAGCAGCATTCTCAGAAACTTCTTTGTGATGTTTGCATTCAACTCATAGAGTTGAACATTCCCATTCATACAGCAGGTTTGAGACACTCTTTGTATAGCATGTGGAAATGGATATTTGGAGCGCTTTGAGGCCTATGGTGAAGAAGGAAATATCTTCCCAAAAAAACTAGACGAAAGCATTCTCGCAATCTTGTTTGCCATGTGTGTACTCAACTAACAGAGTTGAACCTATCTTTTGACAGAGCAGTTTTGAAACACTCTTTTTGTGGAATCTGCAAGTGGATATTTGGATAGCTTCGAGGATTTCGTTGGAAACGGGAATATCCTCATTTAAAATCTAGACGGAAGCATTCTCAGAACCTGCTTTGTGATGTTTGCATTCAACTCACAGAGCTGAACATTCCCGTTCATAGAGCAGGTTTGAAACACTCTTTCTGTACTATCTGGAAGTGGACATTTCGAGCGCTTTCAGGCCTATGGTGAAAAAGGAAACATCTTCAAATAAAAACTAGACAGAAGCATTCTCAGAAACTTATTTGTGATGTGTGTCCTCAACTCACAGAGTTCAACCTTTGTTTTGATACAGCAGTTTGGAAACACTCTTTTTGTAGAATCTACAAATGGATATTTGGAGACCTTTGAAAATTTCGTTGGACACGGGAATATCTTCATATAAAATCTAGACAAAAGCATTCTCAGAATCTTCTTTGTGATGTTTGCATTCAACTCATAGAGTTGAACATTCCCTTTCATACAGCACGTTTGAAACACACTTTGTGGAGTATGTGGAAATGGACATTTCGAGCACTCTTAGGCCTAAGGTGAAAAGGGAAATATCTTCAAATAAAAACTAGTCAGCAGCATTCTCAGAAACCTCTTTGTGATGTGTGTACTCAACTAACAGAGTTGAACCTTCCTTTTCACAGAGCAGTTTGGAAACACTCTTTTTGTGGCATTTGCAAGTGGATATTTGGATAGCTTTGAGGATTTCGTTGGAAACGGGAATATTTTCATATAAAATCTAGACAGAAGCATTCTCAGAATCTTCTTTGTGATGTATGCCCTCAATTCACAGAGTTGAACCTTTGTTTGGATACAGCATTTTGGAAACATTCCTTTTGTAGAATCTGCAAGTTGATATTTGGATAGCTTTGAGGATTTCGTTGGAAACGGGAATATCTACATATAAAATCTAGACAGAAGCATTCTCAGAAATCTCTTTGTAATGCTTGCATTCAACTCATAGGTTTCAACATTCCCTATCATAGAGCAGGTTTGAAACACTCTTTTTGTAGTATGTGGAAGTGGACATTTGGAGCGCTTTGAGGCCTATGGTGAAAAAGGAAATATCTTCCCATAAAAACTAGACAGAAGCATTCTCAGAAACTTGTTTGTGACGTGTGTATTCAACTAACAGAGTTGAACCTTTCTTTTTACAGAGCAGCTTTGAAACCCTGTTTCTGTGGAATCTGCAATTGGAAATTTCGATAGTTGCTGAGGATTTCGTTGGAAACGGGATTACAAATAGAAAGTAGACAGCAAGCATTCTCAGAAACTGCTTTGTGATGTTTGCATTCAAGTCACCTAGTTGAACATTCCCTTTCATAGAGCAGGTTTGAATCACTGTTTCTGTAGTATCTGGAAGTGGGTATTTCGAGCGCTTTCAGGCCTAAGGTGAGAAAGGAAATGTCTTCAAATAAGAACTAGACAGAAGCATTCTCAGAAACTTATTTGTGATGTGTGTCCTCAACTAACAGAGATGAACCTTTGTTTTGATACAGCAGTTTGGAAACACTCTTTTTGTAGAATCTACAAGAGGATATTTTGAGAGCATTGAAAATTTCGTTGGAAGCGGGAAAACCTTCATATAAAATCTAGACAGCAGCATTCTCAGAAACTTCTTTGTGATGTTTGCATTCAACTCATAGAGTTGAACATTCCCATTCATACAGCAGGTTTGAGACACTCTTTGTATAGCATGTGGAAATGGATATTTGGAGCGCTTTGAGGCCTATGGTGAAGAAGGAAATATCTTCCCTAAAAAACTAGACGAAAGCATTCTCGCAATCTTGTTTGCCATGTGTGTACTCAACTAACAGAGTTGAACCTATCTTTTGACAGAGCAGTTTTGAAACACTCTTTTTGTGGAATCTGCAAGTGGATATTTGGATAGCTTCGAGGATTTCGTTGGAAACGGGAATATCCTCATTTAAAATCTAGACGGAAGCATTCTCAGAACCTGCTTTGTGATGTTTGCATTCAACTCACAGAGCTGAACATTCCCGTTCATAGAGCAGGTTTGAAACACTCTTTCTGTACTATCTGGAAGTGGACATTTCGAGCGCTTTCAGGCCTATGGTGAAAAAGGAAACATCTTCAAATAAAAACTAGACAGAAGCATTCTCAGAAACTTATTTGTGATGTGTGTCCTCAACTCACAGAGTTCAACCTTTGTTTTGATACAGCAGTTTGGAAACACTCTTTTTGTAGAATCTACAAATGGATATTTGGAGACCTTTGAAAATTTCGTTGGACACGGGAATATCTTCATATAAAATCTAGACAAAAGCATTCTCAGAATCTTCTTTGTGATGTTTGCATTCAACTCATAGAGTTGAACATTCCCTTTCATACAGCACGTTTGAAACACCCTTTGTGGAGTATGTGGAAATGGACATTTCGAGCACTCTTAGGCCTAAGGTGAAAAGGGAAATATCTTCAAATAAAAACTAGTCAGCAGCATTCTCAGAAACCTCTTTGTGATGTGTGTACTCAACTAACAGAGTTGAACCTTCCTTTTCACAGAGCAGTTTGGAAACACTCTTTTTGTGGCATTTGCAAGTGGATATTTGGATAGCTTTGAGGATTTCGTTGGAAACGGGAATATTTTCATATAAAATCTAGACAGAAGCATTCTCAGAATCTTCTTTGTGATGTATGCCCTCAATTCACAGAGTTGAACCTTTGTTTGGATACAGCATTTTGGAAACATCCCTTTTGTAGAATCTGCAAGTTGATATTTGGATAGCTTTGAGGATTTCGTTGGAAACGGGAATATCTACATATAAAATCTAGACAGAAGCATTCTCAGAAACCTCTTTGTAATGTTTGCATTCAACTCATAGGTTTCAACATTCCCTATCATAGAGCAGGTTTGAAACACTCTTTTTGTAGTATGTGGAAGTGGACATTTGGAGCGCTTTGAGGCCTACGGTGAAAAAGGAAATATCTTCCCATAAAAACTAGACAGAAGCATTCTCAGAAACTTGTTTGTGACGTGTGTATTCAACTAACAGAGTTGAACTTTTCTTTTTACAGAGCAGCTTGGAAACACGCTTTTTGTGGAACCTGCAATTGGAAATTTTGATAGTTCTGAGGATTTCGTTGGAAACCGGATTACAAATAGAAAGTAGACAGCAGCATTCTCAGAAACTGCTTTGTGATGTTTGCATTCAAGTCACCTAGTTGAACATTCCCTTTCATAGAGCAGGTTTGAATCACTGTTTCTGTCGTATCTGGAAGTGGATATTTCGAGCGTTTTCAGGCCTAAGGTGAGAAAGGAAATGTCTTCAAATAAGAACTAGACAGAAGCATTCTCAGAAACTTATTTGTGATGTGTGTCCTCAACTAACAGAGTTGAACCTTTCTTTTGACACAGCAGTTTGGAAACACTGTTTTTGTAGAATCTACAAGTGGATATTTTGAGAGCATTGAAAATTTCGTTGGAAACGGGAAAACCTTCATATAAAATCTAGACGGAAGCATTCTCAGAAACTTCTTTGAAATGTTTGCATTCAACTCATAGAGTTGAACATTCACTTTCATACAGCAGGTTTGAAACACTCTTTTTGTAGTATGTGGAAGTGGACATTTGGAGCGCTTTGAGGCCTACGGTGAAAAAGGAAATATCTTCCCATAAAAACTAGACAGAAGCATTCTCAGAAACTTGTTTGTGACGTGTGTATTCAACTAACAGAGTTGAACCTTTCTTTTTACAGAGCAGCTTTGAAACCCTGTTTCTGTGGAATCTGCAATTGGAAATTTCGATAGTTCTGAGGATTTCGTTGGAAACGGGATTACAAATAGAAAGTAGACAGCAGCATTCTCAGAAACTGCTTTGTGATGTTTGCATTCAAGTCACCTAGTTGAACATTCCCTTTCATAGAGCAGGTTTGAATCACTGTTTCTGTCGTATCTGGAAGTGGATATTTCGAGCGTTTTCAGGCCTAAGGTGAGAAAGGAAATGTCTTCAAATAAGAACTAGACAGAAGCATTCTCAGAAATTTATTTGTGATGTGTGTCCTCAACTAACAGAGTTGAACCTTTCTTTTGACACAGCAGTTTGGAAACACTCTTTTTGTAGAATCTACAAGTGGATATTTTGAGAGCATTGAAAATTTCGTTGGAAACGGGAAAACCTTCATATAAAATCTAGACAGAAGCATTCTCAGAAACTTCTTTGTAATATTTGCATTCAACTCATAGAGTTGAACATTCCCTTTCATACAGCAGGTTTGAAACACTCTTTTTGTAGTATGTGGAAGTGGACATTTGGAGCGCTTTGAGGCCTACGGTGAAAAAGGAAATATCTTCCCATAAAAACTAGACAGAAGCATTCTCAGAAACTTGTTTGTGACGTGTCTATTCAACTAACAGAGTTGAACCTTTCTTTTTACAGAGCAGCTTTGAAACCCTGTTTCTGTGGAATCTGCAATTGGAAATTTCGATGGTTCTGAGGATTTCGTTGGAAACGGGATTACAAATAGAAAGTAGACAGCAGCATTCTCAGAAACTGCTTTGTGATGTTTGCATTCAAGTCACCTAGTTGAACATTCCCTTTCATAGAGCAGGTTTGAATCACTGTTTCTGTCGTATCTGGAAGTGGATATTTCGAGCGTTTTCAGGCCTAAGGTGAGAAAGGAAATGTCTTCAAATAAGAACTAGACAGAAGCATTCTCAGAAACTTATTTGTGATGTGTGTCCTCAACTAACAGAGTTGAACCTTTCTTTTGACACAGCAGTTTGGAAACACTCTTTTTGTAGAATCTACAAGTGGATATTTTGAGAGCATTGAAAATTTCGTTGGAAACGGGAAAACCTTCATATAAAATCTAGACAGCAGCATTCTCAGAAACTTCTTTGTAATGTTTGCATTCAACTCATAGAGTTGAACATTCCCTTTCATACAGCAGGTTTGAAACACTCTTTTTGTAGTATGTGGAAGTGGACATTTCGAGCGCTTTGAGGCCTACCGTGAAAAAGGAAATATCTTCCCATAAAAACTAGACAGAAGCATTCTCAGAAACTTGTTTGTGACGTGTGTATTCAACTAACAGAGTTGAACCTTTCTTTTTACAGAGCAGCTTTGAAACCCTGTTTCTGTGGAATCTGCAATTGGAAATTTCGATAGTTCTGAGGATTTCGTTGGAAACGGGATTACAAATAGAAAGTAGACAGCAGCATTCTCAGAAACTGCTTTGTGATGTTTGCATTCAAGTCACATAGTTGAACATTCCCTTTCATAGAGCAGGTTTGAATCACTGTTTCTGTAGTATCTGGAAGTGGGTATTTCGAGCGCTTTCAGGCCTAAGGTGAGAAAGGAAATGTCTTCAAATAAGAACTAGACAGAAGCATTCTCAGAAACTTATTTGTGATGTGTGTCCTCAACTAACAGAGATGAACCTTTGTTTTGATACAGCAGTTTGGAAACACTCTTTTTGTAGAATCTACAAGAGGATATTTTGAGAGCATTGAAAATTTCGTTGGAAGCGGGAAAACCTTCATATAAAATCTAGACAGCAGCATTCTCAGAAACTTCTTTGTGATGTTTGCATTCAACTCATAGAGTTGAACATTCCCATTCATACAGCAGGTTTGAGACACTCTTTGTATAGCATGTGGAAATGGATATTTGGAGCGCTTTGAGGCCTATGGTGAAGAAGGAAATATCTTCCCAAAAAAACTAGACGAAAGCATTCTCGGAATCTTGTTTGCCATGTGTGTACTCAACTAACAGAGTTGAACCTATCTTTTGACAGAGCAGTTTTGAAACACTCTTTTTGTGGAATCTGCAAGTGGATATTTGGATAGCTTCGAGGATTTCGTTGGAAACGGGAATATCCTCATTTAAAATCTAGACGGAAGCATTCTCAGAACCTGCTTTGTGATGTTTGCATTCAACTCACAGAGCTGAACATTCCCGTTCATAGAGCAGGTTTGAAACACTCTTTCTGTACTATCTGGAAGTGGACATTTCGAGCGCTTTCAGGCCTATGGTGAAAAAGGAAACATCTTCAAATAAAAACTAGACAGAAGCATTCTCAGAAACTTATTTGTGATGTGTGTCCTCAACTCACAGAGTTCAACCTTTGTTTTGATACAGCAGTTTGGAAACACTCTTTTTGTAGAATCTACAAATGGATATTTGGAGACCTTTGAAAATTTCGTTGGACACGGGAATATCTTCATATAAAATCTAGACAAAAGCATTCTCAGAATCTTCTTTGTGATGTTTGCATTCAACTCATAGAGTTGAACATTCCCTTTCATACAGCACGTTTGAAACACACTTTGTGGAGTATGTGGAAATGGACATTTCGAGCACTCTTAGGCCTAAGGTGAAAAGGGAAATATCTTCAAATAAAAACTAGTCAGCAGCATTCTCAGAAACCTCTTTGTGATGTGTGTACTCAACTAACAGAGTTGAACCTTCCTTTTCACAGAGCAGTTTGGAAACACTCTTTTTGTGGCATTTGCAAGTGGATATTTGGATAGCTTTGAGGATTTCGTTGGAAACGGGAATATTTTCATATAAAATCTAGACAGAAGCATTCTCAGAATCTTCTTTGTGATGTATGCCCTCAATTCACAGAGTTGAACCTTTGTTTGGATACAGCATTTTGGAAACATTCCTTTTGTAGAATCTGCAAGTTGATATTTGGATAGCTTTGAGGATTTCGTTGGAAACGGGAATATCTATCTACATATAAAATCTAGACAGAAGCATTCTCAGAAACTTCTTTGTAATATTTGCATTCAACTCATAGAGTTGAACATTCCCTTTCATACAGCAGGTTTGAAACACTCTTTTTGTAGTATGTGGAAGTGGACATTTGGAGCGCTTTGAGGCCTACGGTGAAAAAGGAAATATCTTCCCATAAAAACTAGACAGAAGCATTCTCAGAAACTTGTTTGTGACGTGTGTATTCAACTAACAGAGTTGAACCTTTCTTTTTACAGAGCAGCTTTGAAACCCTGTTTCTGTGGAATCTGCAATTGGAAATTTCGATAGTTCTGAGGATTTCGTTGGAAACGGGATTACAAATAGAAAGTAGACAGCAGCATTCTCAGAAACTGCTTTGTGATGTTTGCATTCAAGTCACCTAGTTGAACATTCCCTTTCATAGAGCAGGTTTGAATCACTGTTTCTGTAGTATCTGGAAGTGGGTATTTCGAGCGCTTTCAGGCCTAAGGTGAGAAAGGAAATGTCTTCAAATAAGAACTAGACAGAAGCATTCTCAGAAACTTATTTGTGATGTGTGTCCTCAACTAACAGAGATGAACCTTTGTTTTGATACAGCAGTTTGGAAACACTCTTTTTGTAGAATCTACAAGAGGATATTTTGAGAGCATTGAAAATTTCGTTGGAAGCGGGAAAACCTTCATATAAAATCTAGACAGCAGCATTCTCAGAAACTTCTTTGTGATGTTTGCATTCAACTCATAGAGTTGAACATTCCCATTCATACAGCAGGTTTGAGACACTCTTTGTATAGCATGTGGAAATGGATATTTGGAGCGCTTTGAGGCCTATGGTGAAGAAGGAAATATCTTCCCAAAAAAACTAGACGAAAGCATTCTCGGAATCTTGTTTGCCATGTGTGTACTCAACTAACAGAGTTGAACCTATCTTTTGACAGAGCAGTTTTGAAACACTCTTTTTGTGGAATCTGCAAGTGGATATTTGGATAGCTTCGAGGATTTCGTTGGAAACGGGAATATCCTCATTTAAAATCTAGACGGAAGCATTCTCAGAACCTGCTTTGTGATGTTTGCATTCAACTCACAGAGCTGAACATTCCCGTTCATAGAGCAGGTTTGAAACACTCTTTCTGTACTATCTGGAAGTGGACATTTCGAGCGCTTTCAGGCCTATGGTGAAAAAGGAAACATCTTCAAATAAAAACTAGACAGAAGCATTCTCAGAAACTTATTTGTGATGTGTGTCCTCAACTCACAGAGTTCAACCTTTGTTTTGATACAGCAGTTTGGAAACACTCTTTTTGTAGAATCTACAAATGGATATTTGGAGACCTTTGAAAATTTCGTTGGACACGGGAATATCTTCATATAAAATCTAGACAAAAGCATTCTCAGAATCTTCTTTGTGATGTTTGCATTCAACTCATAGAGTTGAACATTCCCTTTCATACAGCACGTTTGAAACACACTTTGTGGAGTATGTGGAAATGGACATTTCGAGCACTCTTAGGCCTAAGGTGAAAAGGGAAATATCTTCAAATAAAAACTAGTCAGCAGCATTCTCAGAAACCTCTTTGTGATGTGTGTACTCAACTAACAGAGTTGAACCTTCCTTTTCACAGAGCAGTTTGGAAACACTCTTTGTGTGGCATTTGCAAGTGGATATTTGGATAGCTTTGAGGATTTCTTTGGAAACGGGAATATTTTCATATAAAATCTAGACAGAAGCATTCTCAGAATCTTCTTTGTGATGTATGCCCTCAATTCACAGAGTTGAACCTTTGTTTGGATACAGCATTTTGGAAACATTCCTTTTGTAGAATCTGCAAGTTGATATTTGGATAGCTTTGAGGATTTCGTTGGAAACGGGAATATCTACATATAAAATCTAGACAGAAGCATTCTCAGAAACCTCTTTGTAATGCTTGCATTCAACTCATAGGTTTCAACATTCCCTATCATAGAGCAGGTTTGAAACACTCTTTTTGTAGTATGTGGAAGTGGACATTTGGAGCGCTTTGAGGCCTACCGTGAAAAAGGAAATATCTTCCCATAAAAACTAGACAGAAGCATTCTCAGAAACTTGTTTGTGACGTGTGTATTCAACTAACAGAGTTGAACCTTTCTTTTTACAGAGCAGCTTTGAAACCCTGTTTCTGTGGAATCTGCAATTGGAAATTTCGATAGTTCTGAGGATTTCGTTGCAAACGGGATTACAAATAGAAAGTAGACAGCAGCATTCTCAGAAACTGCTTTGTGATGTTTGCATTCAAGTCACATAGTTGAACATTCCCTTTCATAGAGCAGGTTTGAATCACTGTTTCTGTAGTATCTGGAAGTGGGTATTTCGAGCGCTTTCAGGCCTAAGGTGAGAAAGGAAATGTCTTCAAATAAGAACTAGACAGAAGCATTCTCAGAAACTTATTTGTGATGTGTGTCCTCAACTAACAGAGATGAACCTTTGTTTTGATACAGCAGTTTGGAAACACTCTTTTTGTAGAATCTACAAGAGGACATTTTGAGAGCATTCAAAATTTCGTTGGAAGCGGGAAAACCTTCATATAAAATCTAGACAGCAGCATTCTCAGAAACTTCTTTGTGATGTTTGCATTCAACTCATAGAGTTGAACATTCCCATTCATACAGCAGGTTTGAGACACTCTTTGTATAGCATTTGGAAATGGATATTTGGAGCGCTTTGAGGCCTATGGTGAAGAAGGAAATATCTTCCCAAAAAAACTAGACGAAAGCATTCTCGCAATCTTGTTTGCCATGTGTGTACTCAACTAACAGAGTTGAACCTATCTTTTGACAGAGCAGTTTTGAAACACTCTTTTTGTGGAATCTGCAAGTGGATATTTGGATAGCTTCGAGGATTTCGTTGGAAACGGGAATATCCTCATTTAAAATCTAGACGGAAGCATTCTCAGAACCTGCTTTGTGATGTTTGCATTCAACTCACAGAGCTGAACATTCCCGTTCATGGAGCAGGTTTGAAACACTCTTTCTGTACTATCTGGAAGTGGACATTTCGAGCGCTTTCAGGCCTATGGTGAAAAAGGAAACATCTTCAAATAAAAACTAGACAGAAGCATTCTCAGAAACTTATTTGTGATGTGTGTCCTCAACTCACAGAGTTCAACCTTTGTTTTGATACAGCAGTTTGGAAACACTCTTTTTGTAGAATCTACAAATGGATATTTGGAGACCTTTGAAAATTTCGTTGGACACGGGAATATCTTCATATAAAATCTAGACAAAAGCATTCTCAGAATCTTCTTTGTGATGTTTGCATTCAACTCATAGAGTTGAACATTCCCTTTCATACAGCACGTTTGAAACACACTTTGTGGAGTATGTGGAAATGGACATTTCGAGCACTCTTAGGCCTAAGGTGAAAAGGGAAATATCTTCAAATAAAAACTAGTCAGCAGCATTCTCAGAAACCTCTTTGTGATGTGTGTACTCAACTAACAGAGTTGAACCTTCCTTTTCACAGAGCAGTTTGGAAACACTCTTTTTGTGGCATTTGCAAGTGGATATTTGGATAGCTTGAGGATTTCGTTGGAAACGGGAATATTTTCATATAAAATCTAGACAGAAAGCATTCTCAGAATCTTCTTTGTGATGTATGCCCTCAATTCACAGAGTTGAACCTTTGTTTGGATACAGCATTTTGGAAACATTCCTTTTGTAGAATCTGCAAGTTGATATTTGGATAGCTTTGAGGATTTCGTTGGAAACGGGAATATCTACATATAAAATCTAGACAGAAGCATTCTCAGAAACCTCTTTGTAATGCTTGCATTCAACTCATAGGTTTCAACATTCCCTATCATAGAGCAGGTTTGAAACACTCTTTTTGTAGTATGTGGAAGTGGACATTTGGAGCGCTTTGAGGCCTACGGTGAAAAAGGAAATATCTTCCCATAAAAACTAGACAGAAGCATTCTCAGAAACTTGTTTGTGACGTGTGTATTCAACTAACAGAGTTGAACCTTTCTTTTTACAGAGCAGCTTTGAAACACGCTTTTTGTGGAATCTGCAATTGGAAATTTCGATAGTTCTGAGGATTTCGGTGGAAACGGGATTACAAATAGAAAGTAGACAGCAGCATTCTCAGAAACTTATTTGTGATGTGTGTCCTCAACTAACAGAGTTGAACCTTTCTTTTGACACAGCAGTTTGGAAACACTCTTTTTGTAGAATCTACAAGTGGATATTTTGAGAGCATTGAAAATTTCGTTGGAAACGGGAAAACCTTCATATAAAATCTAGACAGAAGCATTCTCAGAAACTTCTTTGTAATGTTTGCATTCAACTCATAGAGTTGAACATTCCCTTTCATACAGCAGGTTTGAAACACTCTTTTTGTAGTATGTGGAAGTGGACATTTGGAGCGCTTTGAGGCCTACGGTGAAAAAGGAAATATCTTCCCATAAAAACTAGACAGAAGCATTCTCAGAAACTTGTTTGTGACGTGTGTATTCAACTAACAGAGTTGAACCTTTCTTTTTACAGAGCAGCTTTGAAACCCTGTTTCTGTGGAATCTGCAATTGGAAATTTCGATACTTCTGAGGATTTCGTTGGAAACGGGATTACAAATAGAAAGTAGACAGCAGCATTCTCAGTAAACTGCTTTGTGATGTTTGCATTCAAGTCACCTAGTTGAACATTCCCTTTCATAGAGCAGGTTTGAATCACTGTTTCTGTCGTATCTGGAAGTGGATATTTCGAGCGTTTTCAGGCCTAAGGTGAGAAAGGAAATGTCTTCAAATAAGAACTAGACAGAAGCATTCTCAGAAACTTATTTGTGATGTGTGTCCTCAACTAACAGAGTTGAACCTTTCTTTTGACACAGCAGTTTGGAAACACTCTTTTTGTAGAATCTACAAGTGGATATTTTGAGAGCATTGAAAATTTCGTTGGAAACGGGAAAACCTTCATATAAAATCTAGACAGAAGCATTCTCAGAAACTTCTTTGTAATGTTTGCATTCAACTCATAGAGTTGAACATTCCCTTTCATACAGCAGGTTTGAAACACTCTTTTTGTAGTATGTGGACGTGGACATTTGGAGCGCTTTGAGGCCTACGGTGAAAAAGGAAATATCTTCCCATAAAAACTAGACAGAAGCATTCTCAGAAACTTGTTTGTGACGTGTGTATTCAACTAACAGAGTTGAACCTTTCTTTTTACAGAGCAGCTTTGAAACCCTGTTTCTGTGGAATCTGCAATTGGAAATTTCGATAGTTCTGAGGATTTCGTTGGAAACGGGATTACAAATAGAAAGTAGACAGCAGCATTCTCAGAAACTGCTTTGTGATGTTTGCATTCAAGTCACCTAGTTGAACATTCCCTTTCATAGAGCAGGTTTGAATCACTGTTTCTGTAGTATCTGGAAGTGGGTATTTCGAGCGCTTTCAGGCTTAAGGTGAGAAAGGAAATGTCTTCAAATAAGAACTAGACAGAAGCATTCTCAGAAACTTATTTGTGATGTGTGTCCTCAACTAACAGAGATGAACCTTTGTTTTGATACAGCAGTTTGGAAACACTCTTTTTGTAGAATCTACAAGAGGATATTTTGAGAGCATTGAAAATTTCGTTGGAAGCGGGAAAACCTTCATATAAAATCTAGACAGCAGCATTCTCAGAAACTTCTTTGTGATGTTTGCATTCAACTCATAGAGTTGAACATTCCCATTCATACAGCAGGTTTGAGACACTCTTTGTATAGCATGTGGAAATGGATATTTGGAGCGCTTTGAGGCCTATGGTGAAGAAGGAAATATCTTCCCAAAAAAACTAGACGAAAGCATTCTCGCAATCTTGTTTGCCATGGGTGTACTCAACTAACAGAGTTGAACCTATCTTTTGACAGAGCAGTTTTGAAACACTCTTTTTGTGGAATCTGCAAGTGGATATTTGGATAGCTTCGAGGATTTCATTGGAAACGGGAATATCCTCATTTAAAATCTAGACGGAAGCATTCTCAGAACCTGCTTTGTGATGTTTGCATTCAACTCACAGAGCTGAACATTCCCGTTCATAGAGCAGGTTTGAAACACTCTTTCTGTACTATCTGGAAGTGGACATTTCGAGCGCTTTCAGGCCTATGGTGAAAAAGGAAACATCTTCAAATAAAAACTAGACAGAAGCATTCTCAGAAACTTATTTGTGATGTGTGTCCTCAACTCACAGAGTTCAACCTTTGTTTTGATACAGCAGTTTGGAAACACTCTTTTTGTAGAATCTACAAATGGATATTTGGAGACCTTTGAAAATTTCGTTGGACACGGGAATATCTTCATATAAAATCTAGACAAAAGCATTCTCAGAATCTTCTTTATGATGTTTGCATTCAACTCATAGAGTTGAACATTCCCTTTCATACAGCACGTTTGAAACACACTTTGTGGAGTATGTGGAAATGGACATTTCGAGCACTCTTAGGCCTAAGGTGAAAAGGGAAATATCTTCAAATAAAAACTAGTCAGCAGCATTCTCAGAAACCTCTTTGTGATGTGTGTACTCAACTAACAGAGTTGAACCTTCCTTTTCACAGAGCAGTTTGGAAACACTCTTTTTGTGGCATTTGCAAGTGGATATTTGGATAGCTTTGAGGATTTCGTTGGAAACGGGAATATTTTCATATAAAATCTAGACAGAAGCATTCTCAGAATCTTCTTTGTGATGTATGCCCTCAATTCACAGAGTTGAACCTTTGTTTGGATACAGCATTTTGGAAACATTCCTTTTGTAGAATCTGCAAGTTGATATTTGGATAGCTTTGAGGATTTCGTTGGAAACGGGAATATCTACATATAAAATCTAGACAGAAGCATTCTCAGAAACCTCTTTGTAATGCTTGCATTCAACTCATAGGTTTCAACATTCCCTATCATAGAGCAGGTTTGAAACACTCTTTTTGTAGTATGTGGAAGTGGACATTTGGAGCGCTTTGAGGCCTACGGTGAAAAAAGAAATATCTTCCCATAAAAACTAGACAGAAGCATTCTCAGAAACTTGTTTGTGACGTGTGTATTCAACTAACAGAGTTGAACCTTTCTTTTTACAGAGCAGCTTTGAAACACGCTTTTTGTGGAATCTGCAATTGGAAATTTCGATAGTTCTGAGGATTTCGTTGGAAACGGGATTACAAATAGAAAGTAGACAGCAGCATTCTCAGAAACTGCTTTGTGATGTTTGCATTCAAGTCACCTAGTTGAACATTCCCTTTCATAGAGCAGGTTTGAATCACTGTTTCTGTCGTATCTGGAAGTGGATATTTCGAGCGTTTTCAGGCCTAAGGTGAGAAAGGAAATGTCTTCAAATAAGAACTAGACAGAAGCATTCTCAGAAACTTATTTGTGATGTGTGTCCTCAACTAACAGAGTTGAACCTTTCTTTTGACACAGCAGTTTGGAAACACTCTTTTTGTAGAATCTACAAGTGGATATTTTGAGAGCATTGAAAATTTCGTTGGAAACGGGAAAACCTTCATATAAAATCTAGACAGAAGCATTCTCAGAAACTTCTTTGTAATGTTTGCATTCAACTCATAGAGTTGAACATTCCCTTTCATACAGCAGGTTTGAAACACTCTTTTTGTAGTATGTGGAAGTGGACATTTGGAGCGCTTTGAGGCCTACGGTGAAAAAGGAAATATCTTCCCATAAAAACTAGACAGAAGCATTCTCAGAAACTTGTTTGTGACGTGTGTATTCAACTAACAGAGTTGAACCTTTCTTTTTACAGAGCAGCTTTGAAACCCTGTTTCTGTGGAATCTGCAATTGGAAATTTCGATAGTTCTGAGGATTTCGTTGGAAACGGGATTACAAATAGAAAGTAGACAGCAGCATTGCTCAGAAACTGCTTTGTGATGTTTGCATTCAAGTCACCTAGTTGAACATTCCCTTTCATAGAGCAGGTTTGAATCACTGTTTCTGTCGTATCTGGAAGTGGATATTTCGAGCGTTTTCAAGCCTAAGGTGAGAAAGGAAATGTCTTCAAATAAGAACTAGACAGAAGCATTCTCAGAAACTTATTTGTGATGTGTGTCCTCAACTAACAGAGATGAAACTTTGTTTTGACACAGCAGTTTAGAAACACTCTTTTTGTAGAATCTACAAGAGGATATTTTGAGAGCATTGAAAATTTCATTGGAAGCGGGAAAACCTTCATATAAAATCTAGACAGCAGCATTCTCAGAAACTTCTTTGTGATGTTTGCATTCAACTCATAGAGTTGAACGTTCCCTTTCATACAGCAGGTTTGAGACACTCTTTGTATAGTATGTGGAAATGGATATTTGGAGCGCTTTGAGGCCTATGGTGAAGAAGGAAATATCTTCCCAAAAAAACTAGACGAAAGCATTCTCGCAATCTTGTTTGCCATGTGTGTACTCAACTAACAGAGTTGAACCTATCTTTTGACAGAGCAGTTTTGAAACACTCTTTTTGTGGAATCTGCAAATGGATATTTGGATAGCTTCGAGGATTTCCTTGGAAACGGGAATATCCTCATATAAAATCTAGACGGAAGCATTCTCAGAACCTGCTTTGTCATGTTTGCATTCAACTCACAGAGCTGAACATTCCTGTTCATAGAGCAGGTTTGAAACACTCTTTCTGTACTATCTGGAAGTGGACATTTCGAGCGCTTTCAGGCCTATGGTGAAAAAGGAAATATCTTCAAATAAAAACTAGACAGAAGCATTCTCAGAAACTTATTTGTGATGTGTGTCCTCAACTCACAGAGTTCAACCTTTGTTTTGATACAGCAGTTTGGAAACACTCTTTTTGTAGAATCTACAAATGGATATTTGGAGACCATTGAAAATTTCGTTGGACACGGGAATATCTTCATATAAAATCTAGACAAAAGCATTCTCAGAATCTTCTTTGTGATGTTTGCATTCAACTCATAGAGTTGAACATTCCCTTTCATACAGCACGTTTGGAACACACTTTGTGGAGTATGTGGAAATGGACATTTCGAGCACTCTTAGGCCTAAGGTGAAAAGGGAAATATCTTCAAATAAAAACTAGCCAGCAGCATTCTCAGAAACCTCTTTGTGATGTGTGTACTCAACTAACAGAGTTGAACCTTCCTTTTCACAGAGCAGTTTGGAAACACTCTTTTTGTGGCATTTGCAAGTGGATATTTGGATAGCTTTGAGGATTTTGTTGGAAACGGGAATATTTTCATATAAAATCTAGACAGAAGCATTCTCAGAATCTTCTTTGTGATGTATGCCCTCAATTCACAGAGTTGAACCTTTGTTTGGATACAGCATTTTGGAAACATTCCTTTTGTAGAATCTGCAAGTTGATATTTGGATAGCTTTGAGGATTTCGTTGGAAACGGGAATATCTACATATAAAATCTAGACAGAAGCATTCTCAGAAACCTCTTTGTAATGCTTGCATTCAACTCATAGGTTTCAACATTCCCTATCATAGAGCAGGTTTGAAACACTCTTTTTGTAGTATGTGGAAGTGGACATTTGGAGCGCTTTGAGGCCTACGGTGAAAAAGGAAATATCTTCCCATAAAAACTAGACAGAAGCATTCTCAGAAACTTGTTTGTGACGTGTGTATTCAACTAACAGAGTTGAACCTTGCTTTTTACAGAGCAGCTTTGAAACACGCTTTTTGTGGAATCTGCAATTGGAAATTTCGATAGTTCTGAGGATTTCGTTGGAAACGGGATTGCAAATAGAAAGTAGACAGCAGCATTCTCAGAAACTGCTTTGTGATGTTTGCATTCAAGTCACCTAGTTGAACATTCCCTTTCATAGAGCAGGTTTGAATCACTGTTTCTGTCGTATCTGGAAGTGGATATTTCGAGCGTTTTCAGGCCTAAGGTGAGAAAGCAAATGTCTTCAAATAAGAACTAGACAGAAGCATTCTCAGAAACTTATTTGTGATGTGTGTCCTCAACTAACAGAGTTGAACCTTTCTTTTGACACAGCAGTTTGGAAACACTCTTTTTGTAGAATCTACAAGTGGATATTTTCAGAGCATTGAAAATTTCGTTGGAAACGGGAAAACCTTCATATAAAATCTAGACAGAAGCATTCTCTGAAACTTCTTTGTAATGTTTGCATTCAACTCATAGAGTTGAACATTCCCTTTCATACAGCAGGTTTGAAACACTCTTTTTGTAGTATGTGGAAGTGGACATTTGGAGCGCTTTGAGGCCTACGGTGAAAAAGGAAATATCTTCCCATAAAAACTAGACAGATAAGCATTCTCTGAAACTTGTTTGTGACGTGTGTATTCAACTAACAGAGTTGAACCTTTCTTTTTACAGAGCAGCTTTGAAACCCTGTTTCTGTGGAATCTGCAATTCGAAATTTCGATAGTTCTGAGGATTTCGTTGGAAACGGGATTACAAATAGAAAGTAGACAGCAGCATTCTCAGAAACTGCTTTGTGATGTTTGCATTCAAGTCACCTAGTTGAACATTCCCTTTCATAGAGCAGGTTTGAATCACTGTTTCTGTCGTATCTGGAAGTGGATATTTCGAGCGCTTTCAGGCCTAAGGTGAGAAAGGAAATGTCTTCAAATAAGAACTAGACAGAAGCATTCTCAGAAACTTATTTGTGATGTGTGTCCTCAACTAACAGAGATGAACCTTTGTTTTGATACAGCAGTTTGGAAACACTCTTTTTGTAGAATCTACAAGAGGATATTTTGAGAGCATTGAAAATTTCGTTGGAAGCGGGAAAACCTTCATATAAAATCTAGACAGCAGCATTCTCAGAAACTTCTTTGTGATGTTTGCATTCAACTCATAGAGTTGAACATTCCCATTCATACAGCAGGTTTGAGACACTCTTTGTATAGCATGTGGAAATGGATATTTGGAGCGCTTTGAGGCCTATGGTGAAGAAGGAATATCTTCCCAAAAAACTAGACGAAAGCATTCTCGCAATCTTGTTTGCCATGTGTGTACTCAACTAACAGAGTTGAACCTATCTTTTGACAGAGCAGTTTTGAAACACTCTTTTTGTGGAATCTGCAAGTGGATATTTGGATAGCTTCGAGGATTTCGTTGGAAACGGGAATATCCTCATTTAAAATCTAGACGGAAGCATTCTCAGAACCTGCTTTGTGATGTTTGCATTCAACTCACAGAGCTGAACATTCCCGTTCATAGAGCACGTTTGAAACACTCTTTCTGTACTATCTGGAAGTGGACATTTCGAGCGCTTTCAGGCCTATGGTGAAAAAGGAAACATCTTCAAATAAAAACTAGACAGAAGCATTCTCAGAAACTTATTTGTGATGTGTGTCCTCAACTCACAGAGTTCAACCTTTGTTTTGATACAGCAGTTTGGAAACACTCTTTTTGTAGAATCTACAAATGGATATTTGGAGACCTTTGAAAATTTCGTTGGACACGGGAATATCTTCATATAAAATCTAGACAAAAGCATTCTCAGAATCTTCTTTGTGATGTTTGCATTCAACTCATAGAGTTGAACATTCCCTTTCATACAGCACGTTTGAAACACACTTTGTGGAGTATGTGGAAATGGACATTTCGAGCACTCTTAGGCCTAAGGTGAAAAGGGAAATATCTTCAAATAAAAACTAGTCAGCAGCATTCTCAGAAACCTCTTTGTGATGTGTGTACTCAACTAACAGAGTTGAACCTTCCTTTTCACAGAGCAGTTTGGAAACACTCTTTTTGTGGCATTTGCAAGTGGATATTTGGATAGCTTTGAGGATTTCATTGGAAACGGGAATATTTTCATATAAAATCTAGACAGAAGCATTCTCAGAATCTTCTTTGTGATGTATGCCCTCAATTCACAGAGTTGAACCTTTGTTTGGATACAGCATTTTGGAAACATTCCTTTTGCAGAATCTGCAAGCTGATATTTGGATAGCTTTGAGGATTTCGTTGGAAACGGGAATATCTACATATAAAATCTAGACAGAAGCATTCTCAGAAACCTCTTTGTAATGCTTGCATTCAACTCATAGGTTTCAACATTCCCTATCATAGAGCAGGTTTGAAACACTCTTTTTGTAGTATGTGGAAGTGGACATTTGGAGCGCTTTGAGGCCTACCGTGAAAAAGGAAATATCTTCCCATAAAAACTAGACAGAAGCATTCTCAGAAACTTGTTTGTGACGTGTGTATTCAACTAACAGAGTTGAACCTTTCTTTTTACAGAGCAGCTTTGAAACCCTGTTTCTGTGGAATCTGCAATTGGAAATTTCGATAGTTCTGAGGATTTCGTTGGAAACGGGATTACAAATAGAAAGTAGACAGCAGCATTCTCAGAAACTGCTTTGTGATGTTTGCATTCAAGTCACATAGTTGAACATTCCCTTTCATAGAGCAGGTTTGAATCACTGTTTCTGTCGTATCTGGAAGTGGATATTTCGAGCGCTTTCAGGCCTAAGGTGAGAAAGGAAATGTCTTCAAATAAGAACTAGACAGAAGCATTCTCAGAAACTTATTTGTGATGTGTGTCCTCAACTAACAGAGATGAACCTTTGTTTTGATACAGCAGTTTGGAAACACTCTTTTTGTAGAATCTACAAGAGGATATTTTGAGAGCATTGAAAATTTCGTTGGAAGCGGGAAAACCTTCATATAAAATCTAGACAGAAGCATTCTCAGAAACTTCTTTGTGATGTTTGCATTCAACTCATAGAGTTGAACATTCCCTTTCATACAGCAGGTTTGAAACACTCTTTTTGTAGTATGTGGAAGTGGACATTTGGAGCGCTTTGAGGCCTACGGTGAAAAAGGAAATATCTTCCCATAAAAACTAGACAGAAGCATTCTCAGAAACTTGTTTGTGACGTGTGTATTCAACTAACAGAGTTGAACCTTTCTTTTTACAGAGCAGCTTTGAAACACGCTTTTTGTGGAATCTGCAATTGGAAATTTCGATAGTTCTGAGGATTTCGTTGGAAACGGGATTACAAATAGAAAGTAGACAGCAGCATTCTCAGAAACTGCTTTGTGATGTTTGCATTCAAGTCACCTAGTTGAACATTCCCTTTCATAGAGCAGGTTTGAATCACAGTTTCTGTCGTATCTGGAAGTGGATATTTCGAGCGTTTTCAGGCCTAAGGTGAGAAAGGAAATGTCTTCAAATAAGAACTAGACAGAAGCATTCTCAGAAACTTATTTGTGATGTGTGTCCTCAACTAACAGAGATGAACCTTTGTTTTGATACAGCAGTTTGGAAACACTCTTTTTGTAGAATCTACAAGAGGATATTTTGAGAGCATTGAAAATTTCATGGAAGCGGGAAAACCTTCATATAAAATCTAGACAGCAGCATTCTCAGAAACTTCTTTGTGATGTTTGCATTCAACTCATAGAGTTGAACATTCCCATTCATACAGCAGGTTTGAGACACTCTTTGTATAGCATGTGGAAATGGATATTTGGAGCGCTTTGAGGCCTATGGTGAAGAAGGAAATATCTTCCCAAAAAAACTAGACGAAAGCATTCTCGCAATCTTGTTTGCCATGTGTGTACTCAACTAACAGAGTTGAACCTATCTTTTGACAGAGCAGTTTTGAAACACTCTTTTTGTGGAATCTGCAAGTGGATATTTGGATAGCTTCGAGGATTTCGTTGGAAACGGGAATATCCTCATTTAAAATCTAGACGGAAGCATTCTCAGAACCTGCTTTGTGATGTTTGCATTCAACTCACAGAGCTGAACATTCCCGTTCATAGAGCAGGTTTGAAACACTCTTTCTGTACTATCTGGAAGTGGACATTTCGAGCGCTTTCAGGCCTATGGTGAAAAAGGAAACATCTTCAAATACAAACTAGACAGAAGCATTCTCAGAAACTTATTTGTGATGTGTGTCCTCAACTCACAGAGTTCAACCTTTGTTTTGATACAGCAGTTTGGAAACACTCTTTTTGTAGAATCTACAAATGGATATTTGGAGACCTTTGAAAATTTCGTTGGACACGGGAATATCTTCATATAAAATCTAGACAAAAGCATTCTCAGAATCTTCTTTGTGATGTTTGCATTCAACTCATAGAGTTGAACATTCCCTTTCATACAGCACGTTTGAAACCCACTTTGTGGAGTATGTGGAAATGGACATTTCGAGCACTCTTAGGCCTAAGGTGAAAAGGGAAATATCTTCAAATAAAAACTAGTCAGCAGCATTCTCAGAAACCTCTTTGTGATGTGTGTACTCAACTAACAGAGTTGAACCTTCCTTTTCACAGAGCAGTTTGGAAACACTCTTTTTGTGGCATTTGCAAGTGGATATTTGGATAGCTTTGAGGATTTCGTTGGAAACGGGAATATTTTCATATAAAATCTAGACAGAAGCATTCTCAGAATCTTCTTTGTGATGTATGCCCTCAATTCACAGAGTTGAACCTTTGTTTGGATACAGCATTTTGGAAACATTCCTTTTGTAGAATCTGCAAGTTGATATTTGGATAGCTTTGAGGATTTCGTTGGAAACGGGAATATCTACATATAAAATCTAGACAGAAGCATTCTCAGAAACCTCTTTGTAATGCTTGCATTCAACTCATAGGTTTCAACATTCCCTATCATAGAGCAGGTTTGAAACACTCTTTTTGTAGTATGTGGAAGTGGACATTTGGAGCGCTTTGAGGCCTACGGTGAAAAAGGAAATATCTTCCCATAAAAACTAGACAGAAGCATTCTCAGAAACTTGTTTGTGACGTGTGTATTCAACTAACAGAGATGAACCTTTCTTTTTACAGAGCAGCTTTGAAACACGCTTTTTGTGGAATCTGCAATTGGAAATTTCGATAGTTCTGAGGATTTCGTTGGAAACGGGATTACAAATAGAAAGTAGACAGCAGCATTCTCAGAAACTGCTTTGTGATGTTTGCATTCAAGTCACCTAGTTGAACATTCCCTTTCATAGGGCAGGTTTGAATCACTGTTTCTGTAGTATCTGGAAGTGGGTATTTCGAGCGCTTTCAGGCCTAAGGTGAGAAAGGAAATGTCTTCAAATAAGAACTAGACAGAAGCATTCTCAGAAACTTATTTGTGATGTGTGTCCTCAACTAACAGAGATGAACCTTTGTTTTGATACAGCAGTTTGGAAACACTCTTTTTGTAGAATCTACAAGAGGATATTTTGAGAGCATTGAAAATTTCGTTGGAAGCGGGAAAACCTTCATATAAAATCTAGACAGCAGCATTCTCAGAAACTTCTTTGTGATGTTTGCATTCAACTCATAGAGTTGAACATTCCCATTCATACAGCAGGTTTGAGACACTCTTTGTATAGCATGTGGAAATGGATATTTGGAGCGCTTTGAGGCCTATGGTGAAGAAGGAAATATCTTCCCAAAAAAACTAGACGAAAGCATTCTCGCAATCTTGTTTGCCATGTGTGTACTCAACTAACAGAGTTGAACCTATCTTTTGACAGAGCAGTTTTGAAACACTCTTTTTGTGGAATCTGCAAGTGGATATTTGGATAGCTTCGAGGATTTCGTTGGAAACGGGAATATCCTCATTTAAAATCTAGACGGAAGCATTCTCAGAACCTGCTTTGTGATGTTTGCATTCAACTCACAGAGCTGAACATTCCCGTTCATAGAGCAGGTTTGAAACACTCTTTCTGTACTATCTGGAAGTGGACATTTCGAGCGCTTTCAGGCCTATGGTGAAAAAGGAAACATCTTCAAATAAAAACTAGACAGAAGCATTCTCAGAAACTTATTTGTGATGTGTGTCCTCAACTCACAGTAGTTCAACCTTTGTTTTGATACAGCAGTTTGGAAACACTCTTTTTGTAGAATCTACAAATGGATATTTGGAGACCTTTGAAAATTTCGTTGGACACGGGAATATCTTCATATAAAATCTAGACAAAAGCATTCTCAGAATCTTCTTTGTGATGTTTGCATTCAACTCATAGAGTTGAACATTCCCTTTCATACAGCACGTTTGAAACACACTTTGTGGAGTATGTGGAAATGGACATTTCGAGCACTCTTAGGCCTAAGGTGAAAAGGGAAATATCTTCAAATAAAAACTAGTCAGCAGCATTCTCAGAAACCTCTTTGTGATGTGTGTACTCAACTAACAGAGTTGAACCTTCCTTTTCACAGAGCAGTTTGGAAACACTCTTTTTGTGGCATTTGCAAGTGGCTATTTGGATAGCTTTGAGGATTTCGTTGGAAACGGGAATATTTTCATATAAAATCTAGACAGAAGCATTCTCAGAATCTTCTTTGTGATGTATGCCCTCAATTCACAGAGTTGAACCTTTGTTTGGATACAGCATTTTGGAAACATTCCTTTTGTAGAATCTGCAAGTTGATATTTGGATAGCTTTGAGGATTTCGTTGGAAACGGGAATATCTACATATAAAATCTAGACAGAAGCATTCTCAGAAACCTCTTTGTAATGCTTGCATTCAACTCATAGGTTTCAACATTCCCTATCATAGAGCAGGTTTGAAACACTCTTTTTGTAGTATGTGGAAGTGGACATTTGGAGCGCTTTGAGGCCTACGGTGAAAAAGGAAATATCTTCCCATAAAAACTAGACAGAAGCATTCTCAGAAACTTGTTTGTGACGTGTGTATTCAACTAACAGAGATGAACCTTTCTTTTTACAGAGCAGCTTTGAAACACGCTTTTTGTGGAATCTGCAATTGGAAATTTCGATAGTTCTGAGGATTTCGTTGGAAACGGGATTACAAATAGAAAGTAGACAGCAGCATTCTCAGAAACTTATTTGTGATGTGTGTCCTCAACTAACAGAGTTGAACCTTTCTTTTGACACAGCAGTTTGGAAACACTCTTTTTGTAGAATCTACAAGTGGATATTTTGAGAGCATTGAAAATTTCATTGGAAACGGGAAAACCTTCATATAAAATCTAGACAGAAGCATTCTCAGAAACTTCTTTGTAATGTTTGCATTCAACTCATAGAGTTGAACATTCCCTTTCATACAGCAGGTTTGAAACACTCTTTTTGTAGTATGTGGACGTGGACATTTGGAGCGCTTTGAGGCCTACGGTGAAAAAGGAAATATCTTCCCATAAAAACTAGACAGAAGCATTCTCAGAAACTTGTTTGTGACGTGTGTATTCAACTAACAGAGTTGAACCTTTCTTTTTACAGAGCAGCTTTGAAACCCTGTTTCTGTGGAATCTGCAATTGGAAATTTCGATAGTTCTGAGGATTTCGTTGGAAACGGGATTACAAATAGAAAGTAGACAGCAGCATTCTCAGAAACTGCTTTCTGATGTTTGCATTCAAGTCACCTAGTTGAACATTCCCTTTCATAGAGCAGGTTTGAATCACTGTTTCTGTAGTATCTGGAAGTGGGTATTTCGAGCGCTTTCAGGCCTAAGGTGAGAAAGGAAATGTCTTCAAATAAGAACTAGACAGAAGCATTCTCAGAAACTTATTTGTGATGTGTGTCCTCAACTAACAGAGATGAACCTTTGTTTTGATACAGCAGTTTGGAAACACTCTTTTTGTAGAATCTACAAGAGGATATTTTGAGAGCATTGAAAATTTCGTTGGAAGCGGGAAAACCTTCATATAAAATCTAGACAGCAGCATTCTCAGAAACTTCTTTGTGATGTTTGCATTCAACTCATAGAGTTGAACTTTCCCATTCATACAGCAGGTTTGAGACACTCTTTGTATAGCATGCGGAAATGGATATTTGGAGCGCTTTGAGGACTATGGTGAAGAAGGAAATATCTTCCCAAAAAAACTAGACGAAAGCATTCTCGGAATCTTGTTTGCCATGTGTGTACTCAACTAACAGAGTTGAACCTATCTTTTGAGAGAGCAGTTTTGAAACACTCTTTCTGTGGAATCTGCAAGTGGATATTTGGATAGCTTCGAGGATTTCGTTGGAAACGGGAATATCCTCATTTAAAATCTAGACGGAAGCATTCTCAGAACCTGCTTTGTGATGTTTGCATTCAACTCACAGAGCTGAACATTCCCGTTCATAGAGCAGGTTTGAAACACTCTTTCTGTACTATCTGGAAGTGGACATTTCGAGCGCTTTCAGGCCTATGGTGAAAAAGGAAACATCTTCAAATAAAAACTAGACAGAAGCATTCTCAGAAACTTATTTGTGATGTGTGTCCTCAACTCACAGAGTTCAACCTTTGTTTTGATACAGCAGTTTGGAAACACTCTTTTTGTAGAATCTACAAATGGATATTTGGAGACCTTTGAAAATTTCGTTGGACACGGGAATATCTTCATATAAAATCTAGACAAAAGCATTCTCAGAATCTTCTTTGTGATGTTTGCATTCAACTCATAGAGTTGAACATTCCCTTTCATACAGCACGTTTGAAACACACTTTGTGGAGTATGTGGAAATGGACATTTCGAGCACTCTTAGGCCTAAGGTGAAAAGGGAAATATCTTCAAATAAAAACTAGTCAGCAGCATTCTCAGAAACCTCTTTGTGATGTGTGTACTCAACTAACAGAGTTGAACCTTCCTTTTCACAGAGCAGTTTGGAAACACTCTTTTTGTGGCATTTGCAAGTGGATATTTGGATAGCTTTGAGGATTTCGTTGGAAACGGGAATATTTTCATATAAAATCTAGACAGAAGCATTCTCAGAATCTTCTTTGTGATGTATGCCCTCAATTCACAGAGTTGAACCTTTGTTTGGATACAGCATTTTGGAAACATTCCTTTTGTAGAATCTGCAAGTTGATATTTGGATAGCTTTGAGGATTTCGTTGGAAACGGGAATATCTACATATAAAATCTAGACAGAAGCATTCTCAGAAACCTCTTTGTAATGTTTGCATTCAACTCATAGGTTTCAACATTCCCTATCATAGAGCAGGTTTGAAACACTCTTTTTGTAGTATGTGGAAGTGGACATTTGGAGCGCTTTGAGGCCTACGGTGAAAAAGGAAATATCTTCCCATAAAAACTAGACAGAAGCATTCTCAGAAACTTGTTTGTGACGTGTGTATTCAACTAACAGAGTTGAACCTTTCTTTTTACAGAGCAGCTTTGAAACACGCTTTTTGTGGAATCTGCAATTGGAAATTTCGATAGTTCTGAGGATTTCGTTGGAAACGGGATTACAAATAGAAAGTAGACAGCAGCATTCTCAGAAACTGCTTTGTGATGTTTGCATTCAAGTCACCTAGTTGAACATTCCCTTTCATAGAGCAGGTTTGAATCACAGTTTCTGTCGTATCTGGAAGTGGATATTTCGAGCGTTTTCAGGCCTAAGGTGAGAAAGGAAATGTCTTCAAATAAGAACTAGACAGAAGCATTCTCAGAAACTTATTTGTGATGTGTGTCCTCAACTAACAGAGATGAACCTTTGTTTTGATACAGCAGTTTGGAAACACTCTTTTTGTAGAATCTACAAGAGGATATTTTGAGAGCATTGAAAATTTCGTTGGAAGCGGGAAAACCTTCATATAAAATCTAGACAGCAGCATTCTCAGAAACTTCTTTGTGATGTTTGCATTCAACTCATAGAGTTGAACATTCCCATTCATACAGCAGGTTTGAGACACTCTTTGTATAGCATGTGGAAATGGATATTTGGAGCGCTTTGAGGCCTATGGTGAAGAAGGAAGTATCTTCCCAAAAAAACTAGACGAAAGCATTCTCGGAATCTTGTTTGCCATGTGTGTACTCAACTAACAGAGTTGAACCTATCTTTTGACAGAGCAGTTTTGAAACACTCTTTTTGTGGAATCTGCAAGTGGATATTTGGATAGCTTCGAGGATTTCGTTGGAAACGGGAATATCCTCATTTAAAATCTAGACGGAAGCATTCTCAGAACCTGCTTTGTGATGTTTGCATTCAACTCACAGAGCTGAACATTCCCGTTCATAGAGCAGGTTTGAAACACTCTTTCTGTACTATCTGGAAGTGGACATTTCGAGCGCTTTCAGGCCTATGGTGAAAAAGGAAACATCTTCAAATAAAAACTAGACAGAAGCATTCTCAGAAACTTATTTGTGATGTGTGTCCTCAACTCACAGAGTTCAACCTTTGTTTTGATACAGCAGTTTGGAAACACTCTTTTTGTAGAATCTACAAATGGATATTTGGAGACCTTTGAAAATTTCGTTGGACACGGGAATATCTTCATATAAAATCTAGACAAAAGCATTCTCAGAATCTTCTTTGTGATGTTTGCATTCAACTCATAGAGTTGAACGTTCCCTTTCATACAGCACGTTTGAAACACACTTTGTGGAGTATGTGGAAATGGACATTTCGAGCACTCTTAGGCCTAAGGTGAAAAGGGAAATATCTTCAAATAAAAACTAGTCAGCAGCATTCTCAGAAACCTCTTTGTGATGTGTGTACTCAACTAACAGAGTTGAACCTTCCTTTTCACAGAGCAGTTTGGAAACACTCTTTTTGTGGCATTTGCAAGTGGATATTTGGATAGCTTTGAGGATTTCGTTGGAAACGGGAATATTTTCATATAAAATCTAGACAGAAGCATTCTCAGAATCTTCTTTGTGATGTATGCCCTCAATTCACAGAGTTGAACCTTTGTTTGGATACAGCATTTTGGAAACATTCCTTTTGTAGAATCTGCAGGTTGATATTTGGATAGCTTTGAGGATTTCGTTGGAAACGGGAATATCTACATATAAAATCTAGACAGAAGCATTCTCAGAAACCTCTTTGTAATGCTTGCATTCAACTCATAGGTTTCAACATTCCCTATCATAGAGCAGGTTTGAAACACTCTTTTTGTAGTATGTGGAAGTGGACATTTGGAGCACTTTGAGGCCTACGGTGAAAAAGGAAATATCTTCCCATAAAAACTAGACAGAAGCATTCTCAGAAACTTGTTTGTGACGTGTGTATTCAACTAACAGAGTTGAACCTTTCTTTTTACAGAGCAGCTTTGAAACACGCTTTTTGTGGAATCTGCAATTGGAAATTTCGATAGTTCTGAGGATTTCGTTGGAAACGGGATTACAAATAGAAAGTAGACAGCAGCATTCTCAGAAACTACTTTGTGATGTTTGCATTCAAGTCACCTAGTTGAACATTCCCTTTCATAGAGCAGGTTTGAATCACTGTTTCTGTCGTATCTGGAAGTGGATATTTCGAGCGTTTTCAGGCCTAAGGTGAGAAAGGAAATGTCTTCAAATAAGAACTAGACAGAAGCATTCTCAGAAACTTATTTGTGATGTGTGTCCTCAACTAACAGAGTTGAACCTTTCTTTTGACACAGCAGTTTGGAAACACTCTTTTTGTAGAATCTACAAGTGGATATTTTGAGAGCATTGAAAATTTCGTTGGAAACGGGAAAACCTTCATATAAAATCTAGACAGAAGCATTCTCAGAAACTTCTTTGTAATGTTTGCATTCAACTCATAGAGTTAAACATTCCCTTTCATACAGCAGGTTTGAAACACTCTTTTTGTAGTATGTGGAAGTGGACATTTGGAGCGCTTTGAGGCCTACGGTGAAAAAGGAAATATCTTCCCATAAAAACTAGACAGAAGCATTCTCAGAAACTTGTTTGTGACGTGTGTATTCAACTAACAGAGTTGAACCTTTCTTTTTACAGAGCAGCTTTGAAACCCTGTTTCTGTGGAATCTGCAATTGGAAATTTCGATAGTTCTGAGGATTTCGTTGGAAACGGGATTACAAATAGAAAGTAGACAGCAGCATTCTCAGAAACTGCTTTGTGATGTTTGCATTCAAGTCACATAGGTGAACATTCCCTTTCATAGAGCAGGTTTGAATCACTGTTTCTGTAGTATCTGGAAGTGGGTATTTCGAGCGCTTTCAGGCCTAAGGTGAGAAAGGAAATGTCTTCAAATAAGAACTAGACAGAAGCATTCTCAGAAACTTATTTGTGATGTGTGTCCTCAACTAACAGAGATGAACCTTTGTTTTGATACAGCAGTTTGGAAACACTCTTTTTGTAGAATCTACAAGAGGATATTTTGAGAGCATTGAAAATTTCGTTGGAAGCGGGAAAACCTTCATATAAAATCTAGACAGAAGCATTCTCAGAAACTTCTTTGTGATGTTTGCATTCAACTCATAGAGTTGAACATTCCCATTCATACAGCAGGTTTGAGACACTCTTTGTATAGCATGTGGAAATGGATATTTGGAGCGTTTTGAGGCCTATGGTGAAGAAGGAAATATCTTCCCAAAAAAACTAGACGAAAGCATTCTCGGAATCTTGTTTGCCATGTGTGTACTCAACTAACAGAGTTGAACCTATCTTTTGACAGAGCAGTTTTGAAACACTCTTTTTGTGGAATCTGCAAGTGGATATTTGGATAGCTTCGAGGATTTCGTTGGAAACGGGAATATCCTCATTTAAAATCTAGACGGAAGCATTCTCAGAACCTGCTTTGTGATGTTTGCATTCAACTCAAGAGCTGAACATTCCCGTTCATAGAGCAGGTTTGAAACACTCTTTCTGTACTATCTGGAAGTGGACATTTCGAGCGCTTTCAGGCCTATGGTGAAAAAGGAAACATCTTCAAATAAAAACTAGACAGAAGCATTCTCAGAAACTTATTTGTGATGTGTGTCCTCAACTCACAGAGTTCAACCTTTGTTTTGATACAGCAGTTTGGAAACACTCTTTTTGTAGAATCTACAAATGGATATTTGGAGACCTTTGAAAATTTCGTTGGACACGGGAATATCTTCATATAAAATCTAGACAAAAGCATTCTCAGAGTCTTCTTTGTGACGTTTGCATTCAACTGATAGAGTTGAACATTCCCTTTCATACAGCACGTTTGAAACACACTTTGTGGAGTATGTGGAAATGGACATTTCGAGCACTCTTAGGCCTAAGGTGAAAAGGGAAATATCTTCAAATAAAAACTAGTCAGCAGCATTCTCAGAAACCTCTTTGTGATGTGTGTACTCAACTAACAGAGTTGAACCTTCCTTTTCACAGAGCAGTTTGGAAACACTCTTTTTGTGGCATTTGCAAGTGGATATTTGGATAGCTTTGAGGATTTCGTTGGAAACGGGAATATTTTCATATAAAATCTAGACAGAAGCATTCTCAGAATCTTCTTTGTGATGTATGCCCTCAATTCACAGAGTTGAACCTTTGTTTGGATACAGCATTTTGGAAACATTCCTTTTGTAGAATCTGCAAGTTGATATTTGGATAGTTTGAGGATTTCGTTGGAAACGGGAATATCTACATATAAAGTCTAGACAGAAGCATTCTCAGAAACCTCTTTGTAATGCTTGCATTCAACTCATAGGTTTCAACATTCCCTATCATAGAGCAGGTTTGAAACACTCTTTTTGTAGTATGTGGAAGTGGACATTTGGAGCGCTTTGAGGCCTACCGTGAAAAAGGAAATATCTTCCCATAAAAACTAGACAGAAGCATTCTCAGAAACTTGTTTGTGACGTGTGTATTCAACTAACAGAGTTGAACCTTTCTTTTTACAGAGCAGCTTTGAAACACGCTTTTTGTGGAATCTGCAATTGGAAATTTCGATAGTTCTGAGGATTTCGTTGGAAACGGGATTACAAATAGAAAGTAGACAGCAGCATTCTCAGAACTGCTTTGTGATGTTTGCATTCAAGTCACCTAGTTGAACATACCCTTTCATAGAGCAGATTTGAATCCCTGTTTCTGTCGTATCTGGAAGTGGATATTTCGAGCGTTTTCAGGCCTAAGGTGAGAAAGGAAATGTCTTCAAATAAGAACTAGACAGAAGCATTCTCAGAAACTTATTTGTGATGTGTGTCCTCAACTAACAGAGATGAACCTTTGTTTTGACACAGCAGTTTAGAAACACTCTTTTTGTAGAATCTACAAGAGGATATTTTGAGAGCATTGAAAATTTCATTGGAAGCGGGAAAACCTTCATATAAAATCTAGACAGCAGCATTCTCAGAAACTTCTTTGTGATGTTTGCATTCAACTCATAGAGTTGAACATTCCCATTCATACAGCAGGTTTGAGACACTCTTTGTATACTATGTGGAAATGGATATTTGGCGCGCTTTGAGGCCTATGGTAAAGAAGGGAATATCTTGCCAAAAAGACTAGACGAAAGCATTCTCACAGTCTTGTTTGCCATGTGTGTACTCAACTAACAGAGTTGAACCTATCTTTTGACAGAGCAGTTTTGAAACACTCTTTTTGTGGAATCTGCAAATGGATATTTGGATAGCTTCGAGGATTTCCTTGGAAACGGGAATATCCTCATATAAAATCTAGACGGAAGCATTCTCAGAACCTGCTTTGTGATGTTTGCATTCAACTCACAGAGCTGAACATTCCCGTTCATAGAGCAGGTTTGAAACACTCTTTCTGTACTATCTGGAAGTGGACATTTCGAGCGCTTTCAGGCCTATGGTGAAAAAGGAAACATCTTCAAATAAAAACTAGACAGGAAGCATTCTCTGAAAGTTATTTGTGATGTGTGTCCTCAACTCACGGAGTTCAACCTTCGTTTTGATACAGCAGTTTGGAAACACTCTTTTTGTAGAATCTACAAATGGATATTTGGAGACCTTTGAAAATTTCGTTGGACACGGGAATATCTTCATATAAAATCTAGACAAAAGCATTCTCAGAATCTTCTTTGTGATGTTTGCATTCAACTCATAGAGTTAAACATTCCCTTTCACACAGCACGTTTGAAACACACTTTGTGGAGTATGTGGAAATGGACATTTCGAGCACTCTTAGGCCTAAGGTGAAAAGGGAAATATCTTCAAATAAAAACTAGTCAGCAGCATTCTCAGAAACCTCTTTGTGATGTGTGTACTCAACTAACAGAGTTGAACCTTCCTTTTC
Source organism: Homo sapiens (assembly GCF_000001405.40). NCBI lineage: Eukaryota > Metazoa > Chordata > Mammalia > Primates > Hominidae > Homo > Homo sapiens. Next base: position 19,044,260 of record NC_000015.10, read on the forward strand.
ACAGAGCAGTTTGGAAACACTCTTTTTGTGGCATTTGCAAGTGGATATTTGGATAGCTTTAAGGATTTCGTTGGAAACGGGAATATTTTCATCTAAAATCTAGACAGAAGCATTCTCAGAATCTTCTTTGTGATGTATGCCCTCAATTCATAGAGTTGAACCTTTGTTTCGATACAGCATTTTGGAAACATTCCTTTTGTAGTATCTGCACGTTGATATTTGGATAGCTTTGAGGATTTCATTGCAAACGGGAATATCTACATATAAAATCTAGACAGAAGCATTCTCAGAAACCTCTTTGTAATGTTTGCATTCAACTCATAGGTTTCAACATTCCCTATCATAGAGCAGGTTTGAAACACTCTTTTTGTAGTATGTTGAAGTGGACATTTGGAGCGCTTTGAGGCCTACGGTGAAAAAGGAAATATCTTCCCATAAAAACTAGACAGAAGCATTCTCAGAAACTTGTTTCTGACGTGTATTCAACTAAAAGAGTTGAACCTTTCTTTTTACAGAGCAGCTTTGAAACACACTTTTGTGGAATCTGCAATTGGAAATTTCGATAGTTCTGAGAATTTCTTTGGAAACGGGATTACAAATAGAAAGTAGACAGCAGCATTCTCAGAAACTTATTTGTGATGTGTGTCCTCAACTAACAGAGTTGAACCTTTCTTTTGACACAGCAGTTTGGAAACACTCTTTTTGTAGAATCTACAAGTGGATATTTTGAGAGCATTGAAAATTTCGTTGGAAACGGGAAAACATTCATATAAAATCTAGACAGAAGCATTCTCAGAAACTTCTTTGTAATGTTTGCATTCAACTCATAGAGTTGAACATTCCCTTTCATACAGCAGGTTTGAAACACTCTTTTTGTAGTATGTGGAAGTGGACATTTGGAGCGCTTTGAGGCCTACGGTGAAAAAGGAAATATCTTCCCATAAAAACTAGACAGAAGCATTCTCAGAAACTTGTTTGTGACGTGTGTATTCAACTAACAGAGTTGAACCTTTCTTTTTACAGAGCAGCTTTGAAACCCTGTTTCTGTGGAATCTGCAATTTGAAACTTCGATAGTTCTGAGGATTTCGTTGGAAACGGGATTACAAATACAAAGTAGACAGCAGCATTCTCAGAAACTGCTTTGTGATGTTTGCATTCAAGTCACATTGTTGAACATTCCCTTTCATAGAGCAGGTTTGAATCACTGTTTCTGTAGTATCTGGAAGTGGGTATTTCGAGCGCTTTCAGGCCTAAGGTGAGAAAGGAAATGTCTTCAAATAAGAACTAGACAGAAGCATTCTCAGAAACTTATTTGTGATGTGTGTCCTCAACTAACAGAGATGAACCTTTGTTTTGATACAGCAGTTTGGAAACACTCTTTTTGTAGAATCTACAAGAGGATATTTTGAGAGCATTGAAAATTTCGTTGGAAGCGGGAAAACCTTCATATAAAATCTAGACAGCAGCATTCTCAGAAACTTCTTTGTGATGTTTGCATTCAACTCATAGAGTTGAACATTCCCATTCATACAGCAGGTTTGAGACACTCTTTGTATAGCATGTGGAAATGGATATTTGGAGCGCTTTGAGGCCTATGGTGAAGAAGGAAATATCTTCCCAAAAAAACTAGACGAAAGCATTCTCGCAATCTTGTTTGCCATGTGTGTACTCAACTAACAGAGTTGAACCTATCTTTTGACAGAGCAGTTTTGAAACACTCTTTTTGTGGAATCTGCAAGTGGATATTTGGATAGCTTCGAGGATTTCGTTGGAAACGGGAATATCCTCATTTAAAATCTAGACGGAAGCATTCTCAGAACCTGCTTTGTGATGTTTGCATTCAACTCACAGAGCTGAACATTCCCGTTCATAGAGCAGGTTTGAAACACTCTTTCTGTACTATCTGGAAGTGGACATTTCGAGCGCTTTCAGGCCTATGGTGAAAAAGGAAACATCTTCAAATAAAAACTAGACAGAAGCATTCTCAGAAACTTATTTGTGATGTGTGTCCTCAACTCACAGAGTTCAACCTTTGTTTTGATACAGCAGTTTGGAAACACTCTTTTTGTAGAATCTACAAATGGATATTTGGAGAACTTTGAAAATTTCGTTGGACATGGGAATATCTTCATATAAAATCTAGACAAAAGCATTCTCAGAATCTTCTTTGTGATGTTTGAATTCAACTCATAGAGTTGAACATTCCCTTTCATACAGCACGTTTGAAACACACTTTGTGGAGTATGTGGAAATGGACATTTCGAGCACTCTTAGGCCTAAGGTGAAAAGGGAAATATCTTCAAATAAAAACTAGTCAGCAAGCATTCTCAGAAACCTCTTTGTGATGTGTGTACTCAACTAACAGAGTTGAACCTTCCTTTTCACAGAGCAGTTTGGAAACACTCTTTTTGTGGCATTTGCAAGTGGATATTTGGATAGCTTTGAGGATTTCGTTGGAAACGGGAATATTTTCATATAAAATCTAGACAGAAGCATTCTCAGAATCTTCTTTGTGATGTATGCCCTCAATTCACAGAGTTGAACCTTTGTTTCGATACAGCATTTTGGAAACATTCCTTTTGTAGTATCTGCAAGTTGATATTTGGATAGCTTTGAGGATTTCGTTGGAAACGGGAATATCTACATATAAAATCTAGACAGAAGCATTCTCAGAAACCTCTTTGTAATGTTTGCATTCAACTCATAGGTTTCAACATTCCCTATCATAGAGCAGGTTTGAAACACTCTTTTTGTAGTATGTGGAAGTGGACATTTGGAGCGCTTTGAGGCCTACGGTGAAAAAGGAAATATCTTCCCATAAAAACTAGACAGAAGCATTCTCAGAAACTTGTTTGTGACGTGTGTATTCAACTAACAGAGTTGAACCTTTCTTTTTACAGAGCAGCTTTGAAACCCTGTTTCTGTGGAATCTGCAATTGGAAATTTTGATAGTTCTGAGGATTTCGTTGGAAACGGGATTACAAATAGAAAGTAGACAGCAGCATTCTCAGAAACTGCTTTGTGATGTTTGCATTCAAGTCACATAGTTGAACATTCCCTTTCATAGAGCAGGTTTGAATCACTGTTTCTGTAGTATCTGGAAGTGGGTATTTCGAGCGCTTTCAGGCCTAAGGTGAGAAAGGAAATGTCTTCAAATAAGAACTAGACAGAAGCATTCTCAGAAACTTATTTGTGATGTGTGTCCTCAACTAACAGAGATGAACCTTTGTTTTGATACAGCAGTTTGGAAACACTCTTTTTGTAGAATCTACAAGAGGATATTTTGAGAGCATTGAAAATTTCGTTGGAAGCGGGAAAACCTTCATATAAAATCTACACAGCAGCATTCTCAGAAACTTCTTTGTGATGTTTGCATTCAACTCATAGAGTTGAACATTCCCATTCATACAGCAGGTTTGAGACACTCTTTGTATAGCATGTGGAAATGGATATTTGGAGCGCTTTGAGGCCTATGGTGAAGAAGGAAATATCTTCCCAAAAAAACTAGACGAAAGCATTCTCGGAATCTTGTTTGCCATGTGTGTACTCAACTAACAGAGTTGAACCTATCTTTTGACAGAGCAGTTTTGAAACACTCTTTTTGTGGAATCTGCAAGTGGATATTTGGATAGCTTCGAGGATTTCGTTGGAAAAGGGAATATCCTCATTTAAAATCTAGACGGAAGCATTCTCAGAACCTGCTTTGTGATGTTTGCATTCAACTCACAGAGCTGACCATTCCCGTTCATAGAGCAGGTTTGAAACACTCTTTCTGTACTATCTGGAAGTGGACATTTCGAGCGCTTTCAGGCCTATGGTGAAAAAGGAAACATCTTCAAATAAAAACTAGACAGAAGCATTCTCAGAAACTTATTTGTGATGTGTGTCCTCAACTCACAGAGTTCAACCTTTGTTTTGATACAGCAGTTTGGAAACACTCTTTTTGTAGAATCTACAAATGGATATTTGGAGACCTTTGAAAATTTCGTTGGACACGGGAATATCTTCATATAAAATCTAGACAAAAGCATTCTCAGAATCTTCTTTGTGATGTTTGCATTCAACTCATAGAGTTGAACATTCCCTTTCATACAGCACGTTTGAAACACACTTTGTGGAGTATGTGGAAATGGACATTTCGAGCACTCTTAGGCCTAAGGTGAAAAGGGAAATATCTTCAAATAAAAACTAGTCAGCAGCATTCTCAGAAACCTCTTTGTGATGTGTGTACTCAACTAACAGAGTTGAACCTTCCTTTTCACAGAGCAGTTTGGAAACACTCTTTTTGTGGCATTTGCAAGTGGATATTTGGATAGCTTTGAGGATTTCGTTGGAAACGGGAATATTTTCATATAAAATCTAGACAGAAGCATTCTCAGAATCTTCTTTGTGATGTATGCCCTCAATTCACAGAGTTGAACCTTTGTTTGGATACAGCATTTTGGAAACATTCCTTTTGTAGAATCTGCAAGTTGATATTTGGATAGCTTTGAGGATTTCGTTGGAAACGGGAATATCTACATATAAAATCTAGACAGAAGCATTCTCAGAAACCTCTTTGTAATGCTTGCATTCAACTCATAGGTTTCAACATTCCCTATCATAGAGCAGGTTTGAAACACTCTTTTTGTAGTATGTGGAAGTGGACATTTGGAGCGCTTTGAGGCCTACCGTGAAAAAGGAAATATCTTCCCATAAAAACTAGACAGAAGCATTCTCAGAAACTTGTTTGTGACGTGTGTATTCAACTAACAGAGTTGAACCTTTCTTTTTACAGAGCAGCTTTGAAACACGCTTTTTGTGGAATCTGCAATTGGAAATTTCGATAGTTCTGAGGATTTCGTTGGAAACGGGATTACAAATAGAAAGTAGACAGCAGCATTCTCAGAAACTGCTTTGTGATGTTTGCATTCAAGTCACCTAGTTGAACATTCCCTTTCATAGAGCAGGTTTGAATCACTGTTTCTGTCGTATCTGGAAGTGGATATTTCGAGCGTTTTCAGGCCTAAGGTGAGAAAGGAAATGTCTTCAAATAAGAACTAGACAGAAGCATTCTCAGAAACTTATTTGTGATGTGTGTCCTCAACTAACAGAGTTGAACCTTTCTTTTGACACAGCAGTTTGGAAACACTCTTTTTGTAGAATCTACAAGTGGATATTTTGAGAGCATTGAAAATTTCGTTGGAAACGGGAAAACCTTCATATAAAATCTAGACAGAAGCATTCTCAGAAACTTCTTTGTAATGTTTGCATTCAACTCATAGAGTTGAACATTCCCTTTCATACAGCAGGTTTGAAACACTCTTTTTGTAGTATGTGGAAGTGGACATTTGGAGCGCTTTGAGGCCTACGGTGAAAAAGGAAATATCTTCCCATAAAAACTAGACAGAAGCAATCTCAGAAACTTGTTTGTGACGTGTGTATTCAACTAACAGAGTTGAACCTTTCCTTTTACAGAGCAGCTTTGAAACACGCTTTTTGTGGAATCTGCAATTGGAAATTTCGATAGTTCTGAGGATTTCGGTGGAAACGGGATTACAAATAGAAAGTAGACAGCAGCATTCTCAGAAACTGCTTTGTGATGTTTGCATTCAAGTCACCTAGTTGAACATTCCCTTTCATAGAGCAGGTTTGAATCACAGTTTCTGTCGTATCTGGAAGTGGATATTTCGAGCGTTTTCAGGCCTAAGGTGAGAAAGGAAATGTCTTCAAATAAGAACTAGACAGAAGCATTCTCAGAAACTTATTTGTGATGTGTGTCCTCAACTAACAGAGATGAACCTTTGTTTTGATACAGCAGTTTGGAAACACTCTTTTTGTAGAATCTACAAGAGGATATTTTGAGAGCATTGAAAATTTCGTTGGAAGCGGGAAAACCTTCATATAAAATCTAGACAGCAGCATTCTCAGAAACTTCTTTGTGATGTTTGCATTCAACTCATAGAGTTGAACATTCCCATTCATACAGCAGGTTTGAGACACTCTTTGTATAGCATGTGGAAATGGATATTTGGAGCGCTTTGAGGCCTATGGTGAAGAAGGAAATATCTTCCCAAAAAAACTAGACGAAAGCATTCTCGCAATCTTGTTTGCCATGTGTGTACTCAACTAACAGAGTTGAACCTATCTTTTGACAGAGCAGTTTTGAAACACTCTTTTTGTGGAATCTGCAAGTGGATATTTGGATAGCTTCGAGGATTTCGTTGGAAACGGGAATATCCTCATTTAAAATCTAGACGGAAGCATTCTCGGAACCTGCTTTGTGATGTTTGCATTCAACTCACAGAGCTGAACATTCCCGTTCATAGAGCAGGTTTGAAACACTCTTTCTGTACTATCTGGAAGTGGACATTTCGAGCGCTTTCAGGCCTATGGTGAAAAAGGAAACATCTTCAAATAAAAACTAGACAGAAGCATTCTCAGAAACTTATTTGTGATGTGTGTCCTCAACTCACAGAGTTCAACCTTTGTTTTGATACAGCAGTTTGGAAACACTCTTTTTGTAGAATCTACAAATGGATATTTGGAGACCTTTGAAAATTTCGTTGGACACGGGAATATCTTCATATAAAATCTAGACAAAAGCATTCTCAGAGTCTTCTTTGTGATGTTTGCATTCAACTCATAGAGTTGAACATTCCCTTTCATACAGCACGTTTGAAACACACTTTGTGGAGTATGTGGAAATGGACATTTCGAGCACTCTTAGGCCTAAGGTGAAAAGGGAAATATCTTCAAATAAAAACTAGTCAGCAGCATTCTCAGAAACCTCTTTGTGATGTGTGTACTCAACTAACAGAGTTGAACCTTCCTTTTCACAGAGCAGTTTGGAAACACTCTTTTTGTGGCATTTGCAAGTGGATATTTGGATAGCTTTGAGGATTTCGTTGGAAACGGGAATATTTTCATATAAAATCTAGACAGAAGCATTCTCAGAATCTTCTTTGTGATGTATGCCCTCAATTCACAGAGTTGAACCTTTGTTTGGATACAGCATTTTGGAAACATTCCTTTTGTAGAATCTGCAAGTTGATATTTGGATAGCTTTGAGGATTTCGTTGGAAACGGGAATATCTACATATAAAATCTAGACAGAAGCATTCTCAGAAACCTCTTTGTAATGCTTGCATTCAACTCATAGGTTTCAACATTCCCTATCATAGAGCAGGTTTGAAACACTCTTTTTGTAGTATGTGGAAGTGGACATTTGGAGCGCTTTGAGGCCTACCGTGAAAAAGGAAATATCTTCCCATAAAAACTAGACAGAAGCATTCTCAGAAACTTGTTTGTGACGTGTGTATTCAACTAACAGAGTTGAACCTTTCTTTTTACAGAGCAGCTTTGAAACACGCTTTTTGTGGAATCTGCAATTGGAAATTTCGATAGTTCTGAGGATTTCGTTGGAAACGGGATTACAAATAGAAAGTAGACAGCAGCATTCTCAGAAACTGCTTTGTGATGTTTGCATTCAAGTCACCTAGTTGAACATTCCCTTTCATAGAGCAGGTTTGAATCACAGTTTCTGTCGTATCTGGAAGTGGATATTTCGAGCGTTTTCAGGCCTAAGGTGAGAAAGGAAATGTCTTCAAATAAGAACTAGACAGAAGCATTCTCAGAAACTTATTTGTGATGTGTGTCCTCAACTAACAGAGATGAACCTTTGTTTTGATACAGCAGTTTGGAAACACTCTTTTTGTAGAATCTACAAGAGGATATTTTGAGAGCATTGAAAATTTCGTTGGAAGCGGGAAAACCTTCATATAAAATCTAGACAGCAGCATTCTCAGAAACTTCTTTGTGATGTTTGCATTCAACTCATAGAGTTGAACATTCCCATTCATACAGCAGGTTTGAGACACTCTTTGTATAGCATGTGGAAATGGATATTTGGAGCGCTTTGAGGCCTATGGTGAAGAAGGAAATATCTTCCCAAAAAAACTAGACGAAAGCATTCTCGCAATCTTGTTTGCCATGTGTGTACTCAACTAACAGAGTTGAACCTATCTTTTGACAGAGCAGTTTTGAAACACTCTTTTTGTGGAATCTGCAAGTGGATATTTGGATAGCTTCGAGGATTTCGTTGGAAACGGGAATATCCTCATTTAAAATCTAGACGGAAGCATTCTCAGAACCTGCTTTGTGATGTTTGCATTCAACTCACAGAGCTGAACATTCCCGTTCATAGAGCAGGTTTGAAACACTCTTTCTGTACTATCTGGAAGTGGACATTTCGAGCGCTTTCAGGCCTATGGTGAAAAAGGAAACATCTTCAAATAAAAACTAGACAGAAGCATTCTCAGAAACTTATTTGTGATGTGTGTCCTCAACTCACAGAGTTCAACCTTTGTTTTGATACAGCAGTTTGGAAACACTCTTTTTGTAGAATCTACAAATGGATATTTGGAGACCTTTGAAAATTTCGTTGGACACGGGAATATCTTCATATAAAATCTAGACAAAAGCATTCTCAGAATCTTCTTTGTGATGTTTGCATTCAACTCATAGAGTTGAACATTCCCTTTCATACAGCACGTTTGAAACACACTTTGTGGAGTATGTGGAAATGGACATTTCGAGCACTCTTAGGCCTAAGGTGAAAAGGGAAATATCTTCAAATAAAAACTAGTCAGCAGCATTCTCAGAAACCTCTTTGTGATGTGTGTACTCAACTAACAGAGTTGAACCTTCCTTTTCACAGAGCAGTTTGGAAACACTCTTTTTGTGGCATTTGCAAGTGGATATTTGGATAGCTTTGAGGATTTCGTTGGAAACGGGAATATTTTCATATAAAATCTAGACAGAAGCATTCTCAGAATCTTCTTTGTGATGTATGCCCTCAATTCACAGAGTTGAACCTTTGTTTGGATACAGCATTTTGGAAACATTCCTTTTGTAGAATCTGCAAGTTGATATTTGGATAGCTTTGAGGATTTCGTTGGAAACGGGAATATCTACATATAAAATCTAGACAGAAGCATTCTCAGAAACCTCTTTGTAATGCTTGCATTCAACTCATAGGTTTCAACATTCCCTATCATAGAGCAGGTTTGAAACACTCTCTTTGTAGTATGTGGAAGTGGACATTTGGAGCGCTTTGAGGCCTACGGTGAAAAAGGAAATATCTTCCCATAAAAACTAGACAGAAGCATTCTCAGAAACTTGTTTGTGACGTGTGTATTCAACTAACAGAGATGAACCTTTCTTTTTAAAGAGCAGCTTTGAAACACGCTTTTTGTGGAATCTGCAATTGGAAATTTCGATAGTTCTGAGGATTTCGTTGGAAACGGGATTACAAATAGAAAGTAGACAGCAGCATTCTCAGAAACTGCTTTGTGATGTTTGCATTCAAGTCACCTAGTTGAACATTCCCTTTCATAGAGCAGGTTTGAATCACTGTTTCTGTCGTATCTGGAAGTGGATATTTCGAGCGTTTTCAGGCCTAAGGTGAGAAAGGAAATGTCTTCAAATAAGAACTAGACAGAAGCATTCTCAGAAACTTATTTGTGATGTGTGTCCTCAACTAACAGAGTTGAACCTTTCTTTTGACACAGCAGTTTGGAAACACTCTTTTTGTAGAATCTACAAGTGGATATTTTGAGAGCATTGAAAATTTCGTTGGAAACGGGAAAACCTTCATATAAAATCTAGACAGAAGCATTCTCAGAAACTTCTTTGTAATGTTTGCATTCAACTCATAGAGTTGAACATTCCCTTTCATACAGCAGGTTTGAAACACTCTTTTTGTAGTATGTGGACGTGGACATTTGCAGCGCTTTGAGGCCTACGGTGAAAAAGGAAATATCTTCCCATAAAAACTAGACAGAAGCATTCTCAGAAACTTGTTTGTGACGTGTGTATTCAACTAACAGAGTTGAACCTTTCTTTTTACAGAGCAGCTTTGAAACCCTGTTTCTGTGGAATCTGCAATTGGAAATTTCGATAGTTCTGAGGATTTCGTTGCAAACGGGATTACAAATAGAAAGTAGACAGCAGCATTCTCAGAAACTGCTTTGTGATGTTTGCATTCAAGTCACATAGTTGAAAATTCCCTTTCATAGAGCAGGTTTGAATCACTGTTTCTGTAGTATCTGGAAGTGGGTATTTCGAGCGCTTTCAGGCCTAAGGTGAGAAAGGAAATGTCTTCAAATAAGAACTAGACAGAAGCATTCTCAGAAACTTATTTGTGATGTGTGTCCTCAACTAACAGAGATGAACCTTTGTTTTGATACAGCAGTTTGGAAACACTCTTTTTGTAGAATCTACAAGAGGATATTTTGAGAGCATTGAAAATTTCGTTGGAAGCGGGAAAACCTTCATATAAAATCTAGACAGCAGCATTCTCAGAAACTTCTTTGTGATGTTTGCATTCAACTCATAGAGTTGAACATTCCCATTTCATACAGCAGGTTTGAGACACTCTTTGTATAGCATGTGGAAATGGATATTTGGAGCGCTTTGAGGCCTATGGTGAAGAAGGAAATATCTTCCCAAAAAAACTAGACGAAAGCATTCTCGCAATCTTGTTTGCCATGTGTGTACTCAACTAACAGAGTTGAACCTATCTTTTGACAGAGCAGTTTTGAAACACTCTTTTTGTGGAATCTGCAAGTGGATATTTGGATAGCTTCGAGGATTTCGTTGGAAACGGGAATATCCTCATTTAAAATCTAGACGGAAGCATTCTCGGAACCTGCTTTGTGACGTTTGCATTCAACTCACAGAGCTGAACATTCCCGTTCATAGAGCAGGTTTGAAACACTCTTTCTGTACTATCTGGAAGTGGACATTTCGAGCGCTTTCAGGCCTATGGTGAAAAAGGAAACATCTTCAAATAAAAACTAGACAGAAGCATTCTCAGAAACTTATTTGTGATGTGTGTCCTCAACTCACAGAGTTCAACCTTTGTTTTGATACAGCAGTTTGGAAACACTCTTTTTGTAGAATCTACAAATGGATATTTGGAGACCTTTGAAAATTTCGTTGGACACGGGAATATCTTCATATAAAATCTAGACAAAAGCATTCTCAGAATCTTCTTTGTGATGTTTGAATTCAACTCATAGAGTTGAACATTCCCTTTCATACAGCACGTTTGAAACACACTTTGTGGAGTATGTGGAAATGGACATTTCGAGCACTCTTAGGCCTAAGGTGAAAAGGGAAATATCTTCAAATAAAAACTAGTCAGCAGCATTCTCAGAAACCTCTTTGTGATGTGTGTACTCAACTAACAGAGTTGAACCTTCCTTTTCACAGAGCAGTTTGGAAACACTCTTTTTGTGGCATTTGCAAGTGGATATTTGGATAGCTTTGAGGATTTCGTTGGAAACGGGAATATTTTCATATAAAATCTAGACAGAAGCATTCTCAGAATCTTCTTTGTGATGTATGCCCTCAATTCACAGAGTTGAACCTTTGTTTGGATACAGCATTTTGGAAACATTCCTTTTGTAGAATCTGCAAGTTGATATTTGGATAGCTTTGAGGATTTCGTTGGAAACGGGAATATCTACATATAAAATCTAGACAGAAGCATTCTCAGAAACCTCTTTGTAATGCTTGCATTCAACTCATAGGTTTCAACATTCCCTATCATAGAGCAGGTTTGAAACACTCTTTTTGTAGTATGTGGAAGTGGACATTTGGAGCGCTTTGAGGCCTACCGTGAAAAAGGAAATATCTTCCCATAAAAACTAGACAGAAGCATTCTCAGAAACTTGTTTGTGACGTGTGTATTCAACTAACAGAGATGAACCTTTCTTTTTACAGAGCAGCTTTGAAACACGCTTTTTGTGGAATCTGCAATTGGAAATTTCGATAGTTCTGAGGATTTCGTTGGAAACGGGATTACAAATAGAAAGTAGACAGCAGCATTCTCAGAAACTTATTTGTGATGTGTGTCCTCAACTAACAGAGTTGAACCTTTCTTTTGACACAGCAGTTTGGAAACACTCTTTTTGTAGAATCTACAAGTGGATATTTTGAGAGCATTGAAAATTTCGTTGGAAACGGGAAAACCTTCATATAAAATCTAGACAGAAGCATTCTCAGAAACTTCTTTGTAATGTTTGCATTCAACTCATAGAGTTGAACATTCCCTTTCATACAGCAGGTTTGAAACACTCTTTTTGTAGTATGTGGAAGTGGACATTTGGAGCGCTTTGAGGCCTACGGTGAAAAAGGAAATATCTTCCCATAAAAACTAGATAGAAGCATTCTCAGAAACTTGTTTGTGACGTGTGTATTCAACTAACAGAGTTGAAACTTTCTTTTTACAGAGCAGCTTTGAAACACGCTTTTTGTGGAATCTGCAATTGGAAATTTCGATAGTTCTGAGGATTTCGTTGGAAACGGGATTACAAATAGAAAGTAGACAACAGCATTCTCAGAAACTGCTTTGTGATGTTTGCATTCAACTCATAGAGTTGAACATTCCCATTCATACAGCAGGTTTGAGACACTCTTTGTATAGCATGTGGAAATGGATATTTGGAGCGCTTTGAGGCCTATGGTGAAGAAGGAAATATCTTCCCATAAAAACTAGACGAAAGCATTCTCGGAATCTTGTTTGCCATGTGTGTACTCAACTAACAGAGTTGAACCTATCTTTTGACAGAGCAGTTTTGAAACACTCTTTTTGTGGAATCTGCAAGTGGATATTTGGATAGCTTCGAGGATTTCGTTGGAAACGGGAATATCCTCATTTAAAATCTAGACGGAAGCATTCTCGGAACCTGCTTTGTGATGTTTGCATTCAACTCACAGAGCTGAACATTCCCGTTCATAGAGCAGGTTTGAAACACTCTTTCTGTACTATCTGGAAGTGGACATTTCGAGCGCTTTCAGGCCTATGGTGGAAAAGGAAACATCTTCAAATAAAAACTAGACAGAAGCATTCTCAGAAACTTATTTGTGATGTGTGTCCTCAACTCACAGAGTTCAACCTTTGTTTTGATACAGCAGTTTGGAAACACTCTTTTTGTAGAATCTACAAATGGATATTTGGAGACCTTTGAAAATTTCGTTGGACACGGGAATATCTTCATATAAAATCTAGACAAAAGCATTCTCAGAATCTTCTTTGTGATGTTTGCATTCAACTCATAGAGTTGAACATTCCCTTTCATACAGCACGTTTGAAACACACTTTGTGGAGTATGTGGAAATGGACATTTCGAGCACTCTTAGGCCTAAGGTGAAAAGGGAAATATCTTCAAATAAAAACTAGTCAGCAGCATTCTCAGAAACCTCTTTGTGATGTGTGTACTCAACTAACAGAGTTGAACCTTCCTTTTCACAGAGCAGTTTGGAAACACTCTTTTTGTGGCATTTGCAAGTGGATATTTGGATAGCTTTGAGGATTTCGTTGGAAACGGGAATATTTTCATATAAAATCTAGACAGAAGCATTCTCAGAATCTTCTTTGTGATGTATGCCCTCAATTCACAGAGTTGAACCTTTGTTTGGATACAGCATTTTGGAAACATTCCTTTTGTAGAATCTGCAAGTTGATATTTGGATAGCTTTGAGGATTTCGTTGGAAACGGGAATATCTACATATAAAATCTAGACAGAAGCATTCTCAGAAACCTCTTTGTAATGCTTGCATTCAACTCATAGGTTTCAACATTCCCTATCATAGAGCAGGTTTGAAACACTCTTTTTGTAGTATGTGGAAGTGGACATTTGGAGCGCTTTGAGGTCTACGGTGAAAAAGGAAATATCTTCCCATAAAAACTAGACAGAAGCATTCTCAGAAACTTGTTTGTGACGTGTGTATTCAACTAACAGAGTTGAACCTTTCTTTTTACAGAGCAGCTTTGAAACACGCTTTTTGTGGAATCTGCAATTGGAAATTTCGATAGTTCTGAGGATTTCGTTGGAAACGGGATTACAAATAGAAAGTAGACAGCAGCATTCTCAGAAACTGCTTTGTGATGTTTGCATTCAAGTCACCTAGTTGAACATTCCCTTTCATAGAGCAGGTTTGAATCACTGTTTCTGTCGTATCTGGAAGTGGATATTTCGAGCGTTTTCAGGCCTAAGGTGAGAAAGGAAATGTCTTCAAATAAGAACTAGACAGAAGCATTCTCAGAAACTTATTTGTGATGTGTGTCCTCAACTAACAGAGTTGAACCTTTCTTTTGACACAGCAGTTTGGAAACACTCTTTTTGTAGAATCTACAAGTGGATATTTTGAGAGCATTGAAAATTTCGTTGGAAACGGGAAAACCTTCATATAAAATCTAGACAGAAGCATTCTCAGAAACTTCTTTGTAATGTTTGCATTCAACTCATAGAGTTGAACATTCCCTTTCATACAGCAGGTTTGAAACACTCTTTTTGTAGTATGTGGAAGTGGACATTTGGAGCGCTTTGAGGCCTACGGTGAAAAAGGAAATATCTTCCCATAAAAACTAGACAGAAGCATTCTCAGAAACTTGTTTGTGACGTGTGTATTCAACTAACAGAGTTGAACCTTTCTTTTTACAGAACAGCTTTGAAACCCTGTTTTTGTGTAATCTGCAATTGGAAATTTCGATAGTTCTAAGGATTTCGTTGGAAACGGGATTACAAATAGAAAGTAGACAGCAGCATTCTCAGAAACTGCTTTGTGATGTTTGCATTCAAGTCACATAGTTGAAAATTCCCTTTCATAGAGCAGGTTTGAATCACTGTTTCTGTAGTATCTGGAAGTGGGTATTTCGAGCGCTTTCAGGCCTAAGGTGAGAAAGGAAATGTCTTCAAATAAGAACTAGACAGAAGCATTCTCAGAAACTTATTTGTGATGTGTGTCCTCAACTAACAGAGATGAACCTTTGTTTTGATACAGCAGTTTGGAAACACTCTTTTTGTAGAATCTACAAGAGGATATTTTGAGAGCATTGAAAATTTCGTTGGAAGCGGGAAAACCTTCATATAAAATCTAGACAGCAGCATTCTCAGAAACTTCTTTGTGATGTTTGCATTCAACTCATAGAGTTGAACATTCCCATTCATACAGCAGGTTTGAGACACTCTTTGTATAGCATGTGGAAATGGATATTTGGAGCGCTTTGAGGCCTATGGTGAAGAAGGAAATATCTTCCCAAAAAAACTAGACGAAAGCATTCTCGCAATCTTGTTTGCCATGTGTGTACTCAACTAACAGAGTTGAACCTATCTTTTGACAGAGCAGTTTTGAAACACTCTTTTTGTGGAATCTGCAAGTGGATATTTGGATAGCTTCGAGGATTTCGTTGGAAACGGGAATATCCTCATTTAAAATGCTAGACGGAAGCATTCTCAGAACCTGCTTTGTGATGTTTGCATTCAACTCACAGAGCTGAACATTCCCGTTCATAGAGCAGGTTTGAAACACTCTTTCTGTACTATCTGGAAGTGGACAATTCGAGCGCTTTCAGGCCTATGGTGAAAAAGGAAATATCTTCAAACAAAAACTAGACAGAAGCATTCTCAGAAACTTATTTGTGATGTGTGTCCTCAACTCACAGAGTTCAACCATTGTTTTGATACAGCAGTTTGGAAACACTCTTTTTGTAGAATCTACAAATGGATATTTGGAGACCTTTGAAAATTTCGTTGGACACGGGAATATCTTCATATAAAATCTAGACAAAAGCATTCTCAGAATCTTCTTTGTGATGTTTGCATTCAACTCATAGAGTTGAACATTCCCTTTCATACAGCACGTTTGAAACACACTTTGTGGAGTATGTGGAAATGGACATTTCGAGCACTCTTAGGCCTAAGGTGAAAAGGGAAATATCTTCAAATAAAAACTAGTCAGCAGCATTCTCAGAAACCTCTTTGTGATGTGTGTACTCAACTAACAGAGTTGAACCTTCCTTTTCACAGAGCAGTTTGGAAACACTCTTTTTGTGGCATTTGCAAGTGGATATTTGGATAGCTTTGAGGATTTCGTTGGAAACGGGAATATTTTCATATAAAATCTAGACAGAAGCATTCTCAGAATCTTCTTTGTGATGTATGCCCTCAATTCACAGAGTTGAACCTTTGTTTGGATACAGCATTTTGGAAACATTCCTTTTGTAGAATCTGCAAGTTGATATTTGGATAGTTTGAGGATTTCGTTGGAAACGGGAATATCTACATATAAAATCTAGACAGAAGCATTCTCAGAAACCTCTTTGTAATGCTTGCATTCAACTCATAGGTTTCAACATTCCCTATCATAGAGCAGGTTTGAAACACTCTTTTTGTAGTATGTGGAAGTGGACATTTGGAGCGCTTTGAGGCCTACGGTGAAAAAGGAAATATCTTCCCATAAAAACTAGACAGAAGCATTCTCAGAAACTTGTTTGTGACGTGTGTATTCAACTAACAGAGTTGAACCTTCCTTTTTACAGAGCAGCTTTGAAACACGCTTTTTGTGGAATCTGCAATTGGAAATTTCGATAGTTCTGAGGATTTCGTTGGAAACGGGATTACAAATAGAAAGTAGACAGCAGCATTCTCAGAAACTGCTTTGTGATGTTTGCATTCAAGTCACCTAGTTGAACATTCCCTTTCATAGAGCAGGTTTGAATCACTGTTTCTGTCGTATCTGGAAGTGGATATTTCGAGCGTTTTCAGGCCTAAGGTGAGAAAGGAAATGTCTTCAAATAAGAACTAGACAGAAGCATTCTCAGAAACTTATTTGTGATGTGTGTCCTCAACTAACAGAGTTGAACCTTTCTTTTGACACAGCAGTTTGGAAACACTCTTTTTGTAGAATCTACAAGTGGATATTTTGAGAGCATTGAAAATTTCGTTGGAAACGGGAAAACCTTCATATAAAATCTAGACAGAAGCATTCTCAGAAACTTCTTTGTAATGTTTGCATTCAACTCATAGAGTTGAACATTCCCTTTCATACAGCAGGTTTGAAACACTCTTTTTGTAGTATGTGGACGTGGACATTTGGAGCGCTTTGAGGCCTACGGTGAAAAAGGAAATATCTTCCCATAAAAACTAGACAGAAGCATTCTCAGAAACTTGTTTGTGACGTGTGTATTCAACTAACAGAGTTGAACCTTTCTTTTTACAGAGCAGCTTTGAAACCCTGTTTCTGTGGAATCTGCAATTGGAAATTTCGATAGTTCTGAGGATTTCGTTGGAAACGGGATTACAAATAGAAAGTAGACAGCCAGCATTCTCAGAAACTGCTTTGTGATGTTTGCATTCAAGTCACATAGTTGAACATTTCCTTTGATAGAGCAGGTTTGAATCACTGTCTGTGTAGTATCTGGAAGTGGGTGTTTCGAGCGCTTTCAGGCCTAAGATGAGAAAGGAAATGTCTTCAAATAAGAACTAGACAGAGCATTCTCAGAAACTTATTTGTGATGTGTGTCCTCAACTAACAGAGATGAACCTTTGTTTTGATACAGCAGTTTGGAAACACTCTTTTTGTAGAATCTACAAGAGGATATTTTGAGAGCATTGAAAATTTCGTTGGAAGCGGGAAAACCTTCATATAAAATCTAGACAGCAGCATTCTCAGAAACTTCTTTGTGATGTTTGCATTCAACTCATAGAGTTGAACATTCCCATTCATACAGCAGGTTTGAGACACTCTTTGTATAGCATGTGGAAATGGATATTTGGAGCGCTTTGAGGCCTATGGTGAAGAAGGAAATATCTTCCCAAAAAAACTAGACGAAAGCATTCTCGCAATCTTGTTTGCCATGTGTGTACTCAACTAACAGAGTTGAACCTATCTTTTGACAGAGCAGTTTTGAAACACTCTTTTTGTGGAATCTGCAAGTGGATATTTGGATAGCTTCGAGGATTTCGTTGGAAACGGGAATATCCTCATTTAAAATCTAGACGGAAGCATTCTCAGAACCTGCTTTGTGATGTTTGCATTCAACTCACAGAGCTGAACATTCCCGTTCATAGAGCAGGTTTGAAACACTCTTTCTGTACTATCTGGAAGTGGACATTTCGAGCGCTTTCAGGCCTATGGTGAAAAAGGAAACATCTTCAAATAAAAACTAGACAGAAGCATTCTCAGAAACTTATTTGTGATGTGTGTCCTCAACTCACAGAGTTCAACCTTTGTTTTGATACAGCAGTTTGGAAGCACTCTTTTTGTAGAATCTACAAATGGATATTTGGAGACCTTTGAAAATTTCGTTGGACACGGGAATATCTTCATATAAAATCTAGACAAAAGCATTCTCAGAATCTTCTTTGTGATGTTTGCATTCAACTCATAGAGTTGAACATTCCCTTTCATACAGCACGTTTGAAACACACTTTGTGGAGTATGTGGAAATGGACATTTCGAGCACTCTTAGGCCTAAGGTGAAAAGGGAAATATCTTCAAATAAAAACTAGTCAGCAGCATTCTCAGAAACCTCTTTGTGATGTGTGTACTCAACTAACAGAGTTGAACCTTCCTTTTCACAGAGCAGTTTGGAAACACTCTTTTTGTGGCATTTGCAAGTGGATATTTGGATAGCTTTGAGGATTTCGTTGGAAACGGGAATATTTTCATATAAAATCTAGACAGAAGCATTCTCAGAATCTTCTTTGTGATGTATGCCCTCAATTCACAGAGTTGAACCTTTGTTTGGATACAGCATTTTGGAAACATTCCTTTTGTAGAATCTGCAAGTTGATATTTGGATAGTTTGAGGATTTCGTTGGAAACGGGAATATCTACATATAAAATCTAGACAGAAGCATTCTCAGAAACCTCTTTGTAATGCTTGCATTCAACTCATAGGTTTCAACATTCCCTATCATAGAGCAGGTTTGAAACACTCTTTTTGTAGTATGTGGAAGTGGACATTTGGAGCGCTTTGAGGCCTACGGTGAAAAAGGAAATATCTTCCCATAAAAACTAGACAGAAGCATTCTCAGAAACTTGTTTGTGACGTGTGTATTCAACTAACAGAGTTGAACCTTTCTTTTTACAGAGCAGCTTTGAAACACGCTTTTTGTGGAATCTGCAATTGGAAATTTCGATAGTTCTGAGGATTTCGTTGGAAACGGGATTACAAATAGAAAGTAGACAGCAGCATTCTCAGAAACTGCTTTGTGATGTTTGCATTCAAGTCACCTAGTTGAACATTCCCTTTCATAGAGCAGGTTTGAATCACAGTTTCTGTCGTATCTGGAAGTGGATATTTCGAGCGTTTTCAGGCCTAAGGTGAGAAAGGAAATGTCTTCAAATAAGAACTAGACAGAAGCATTCTCAGAAACTTATTTGTGATGTGTGTCCTCAACTAACAGAGATGAACCTTTGTTTTGATACAGCAGTTTGGAAACACTCTTTTTGTAGAATCTACAAGAGGATATTTTGAGAGCATTGAAAATTTCGTTGGAAGCGGGAAAACCTTCATATAAAATCTAGACAGCAGCATTCTCAGAAACTTCTTTGTGATGTTTGCATTCAACTCATAGAGTTGAACATTCCCATTCATACAGCAGGTTTGAGACACTCTTTGTATAGCATGTGGGAATGGATATTTGGAGCGCTTTGAGGCCTATGGTGAAGAAGGAAATATCTTCCCAAAAAAACTAGACGAAAGCATTCTCGGAATCTTGTTTGCCATGTGTGTACTCAACTAACAGAGTTGAACCTATCTTTTGACAGAGCAGTTTTGAAACACTCTTTTTGTGGAATCTGCAAGTGGATATTTGGATAGCTTCGAGGATTTCGTTGGAAACGGGAATATCCTCATTTAAAATCTAGACGGAAGCATTCTCAGAACCTGCTTTGTGATGTTTGCATTCAACTCACAGAGCTGAACATTCCCGTTCATAGAGCAGGTTTGAAACACTCTTTCTGTACTATCTGGAAGTGGACATTTCGAGCGCTTTCAGGCCTATGGTGAAAAAGGAAACATCTTCAAATAAAAACTAGACAGAAGCATTCTCAGAAACTTATTTGTGATGTGTGTCCTCAACTCACAGAGTTCAACCTTTGTTTTGATACAGCAGTTTGGAAACACTCTTTTTGTAGAATCTACAAATGGATATTTGGAGACCTTTGAAAATTTCGTTGGACACGGGAATATCTTCATATAAAATCTAGACAAAAGCATTCTCAGAATCTTCTTTGTGATGTTTGCATTCAACTCATAGAGTTGAACATTCCCTTTCATACAGCACGTTTGAAACACACTTTGTGGAGTATGTGGAAATGGACATTTCGAGCACTCTTAGGCCTAAGGTGAAAAGGGAAATATCTTCAAATAAAAACTAGTCAGCAGCATTCTCAGAAACCTCTTTGTGATGTGTGTACTCAACTAACAGAGTTGAACCTTCCTTTTCACAGAGCAGTTTGGAAACACTCTTTTTGTGGCATTTGCAAGTGGATATTTGGATAGCTTTGAGGATTTCGTTGGAAACGGGAATATTTTCATATAAAATCTAGACAGAAGCATTCTCAGAATCTTCTTTGTGATGTATGCCCTCAATTCACAGAGTTGAACCTTTGTTTGGATACAGCATTTTGGAAACATTCCTTTTGTAGAATCTGCAAGTTGATATTTGGATAGTTTGAGGATTTCGTTGGAAACGGGAATATCTACATATAAAGTCTAGACAGAAGCATTCTCAGAAACCTCTTTGTAATGCTTGCATTCAACTCATAGGTTTCAACATTCCCTATCATAGAGCAGGTTTGAAACACTCTTTTTGTAGTATGTGGAAGTGGACATTTGGAGCGCTTTGAGGCCTACCGTGAAAAAGGAAATATCTTCCCATAAAAACTAGACAGAAGCATTCTCAGAAACTTGTTTGTGACGTGTGTATTCAACTAACAGAGTTGAACCTTTCTTTTTACAGAGCAGCTTTGAAACACGCTTTTTGTGGAATCTGCAATTGGAAATTTCGATAGTTCTGAGGATTTCGTTGGAAACGGGATTACAAATAGAAAGTAGACAGCAGCATTCTCAGAAACTGCTTTGTGATGTTTGCATTCAAGTCACCTAGTTGAACATTCCCTTTCATAGAGCAGGTTTGAATCACTGTTTCTGTCGTATCTGGAAGTGGATATTTCGAGCGTTTTCAGGCCTAAGGTGAGAAAGGAAATGTCTTCAAATAAGAACTAGACAGAAGCATTCTCAGAAACTTATTTGTGATGTGTGTCCTCAACTAACAGAGTTGAACCTTTCTTTTGACACAGCAGTTTGGAAACACTCTTTTTGTAGAATCTACAAGTGGATATTTTGAGAGCATTGAAAATTTCGTTGGAAACGGGAAAACCTTCATATAAAATCTAGACAGAAGCATTCTCAGAAACTTCTTTGTAATGTTTGCATTCAACTCATAGAGTTGAACATTCCCTTTCATACAGCAGGTTTGAAACACTCTTTTTGTAGTATGTGGAAGTGGACATTGGGAGCGCTTTGAGGCCTACGGTGAAAAAGGAAATATCTTCCCATAAAAACTAGACAGAAGCATTCTCAGAAACTTGTTTGTGACGTGTGTATTCAACTAACAGAGTTGAACCTTTCTTTTTACAGAGCAGCTTTGAAACCCTGTTTCTGTGGAATCTGCAATTGGAAATTTCGATAGTTCTGAGGATTTCGTTGGAAACGGGATTACAAATAGAAAGTAGACAGCAGCATTCTCAGAAACTGCTTTGTGATGTTTGCATTCAAGTCACCTAGTTGAACATTCCCTTTCATAGAGCAGGTTTGAATCACTGTTTCTGTAGTATCTGGAAGTGGGTATTTCGAGCGCTTTCAGGCCTAAGGTGAGAAAGGAAATGTCTTCAAATAAGAACTAGACAGAAGCATTCTCAGAAACTTATTTGTGATGTGTGTCCTCAACTAACAGAGATGAACCTTTGTTTTGATACAGCAGTTTGGAAACACTCTTTTTGTAGAATCTACAAGAGGATATTTTGAGAGCATTGAAAATTTCGTTGGAAGCGGGAAAACCTTCATATAAAATCTAGACAGCAGCATTCTCAGAAACTTCTTTGTGATGTTTGCATTCAACTCATAGAGTTGAACATTCCCATTCATACAGCAGGTTTGAGACACTCTTTGTATAGCATGTGGAAATGGATATTTGGAGCGCTTTGAGGCCTATGGTGAAGAAGGAAATATCTTCCCAAAAAAACTAGACGAAAGCATTCTCGGAATCTTGTTTGCCATGTGTGTACTCAACTAACAGAGTTGAACCTATCTTTTGACAGAGCAGTTTTGAAACACTCTTTTTGTGGAATCTGCAAGTGGATATTTGGATAGCTTCGAGGATTTCGTTGGAAACGGGAATATCCTCATTTAAAATCTAGACGGAAGCATTCTCAGAACCTGCTTTGTGATGTTTGCATTCAACTCACAGAGCTGACCATTCCCGTTCATAGAGCAGGTTTGAAACACTCTTTCTGTACTATCTGGAAGTGGACATTTCGAGCGCTTTCAGGCCTATGGTGAAAAAGGAAACATCTTCAAATAAAAACTAGACAGAAGCATTCTCAGAAACTTATTTGTGATGTGTGTCCTCAACTCACAGAGTTCAACCTTTGTTTCGATACAGCAGTTTGGAAACACTCTTTTTGTAGAATCTACAAATGGATATTTGGAGACCTTTGAAAATTTCGTTGGACACGGGAATATCTTCATATAAAATCTAGACAAAAGCATTCTCAGAATCTTCTTTGTGATGTTTGCATTCAACTCATAGAGTTGAACATTCCCTTTCATACAGCACGTTTGAAACACACTTTGTGGAGTATGTGGAAATGGACATTTCGAGCACTCTTAGGCCTAAGGTGAAAAGGGAAATATCTTCAAATAAAAACTAGTCAGCAGCATTCTCAGAAACCTCTTTGTGATGTGTGTACTCAACTAACAGAGTTGAACCTTCCTTTTCACAGAGCAGTTTGGAAACACTCTTTTTGTGGCATTTGCAAGTGGATATTTGGATAGCTTTGAGGATTTCGTTGGAAACGGGAATATTTTCATATAAAATCTAGACAGAAGCATTCTCAGAATCTTCTTTGTGATGTATGCCCTCAATTCACAGAGTTGAACCTTTGTTTGGATACAGCATTTTGGAAACATTCCTTTTGCAGAATCTGCAAGTTGATATTTGGATAGCTTTGAGGATTTCGTTGGAAACGGGAATATCTACATATAAAATCTAGACAGAAGCATTCTCAGAAACCTCTTTGTAATGCTTGCATTCAACTCATAGGTTTCAACATTCCCTATCATAGAGCAGGTTTGAAACACTCTTTTTGTAGTATGTGGAAGTGGACATTTGGAGCGCTTTGAGGCCTACGGTGAAAAAGGAAATATCTTCCCATAAAAACTAGACAGAAGCATTCTCAGAAACTTGTTTGTGACGTGTGTATTCAACTAACAGAGTTGAACCTTTCTTTTTTACAGAGCAGCTTTGAAACCCTGTTTCTGTGGAATCTGCAATTGGAAATTTCGATGGTTCTGAGGATTTCGTTGGAAACGGGATTACAAATAGAAAGTAGACAGCAGCATTCTCAGAAACTGCTTTGTGATGTTTGCATTCAAGTCACCTAGTTGAACATTCCCTTTCATAGAGCAGGTTTGAATCACTGTTTCTGTCGTATCTGGAAGTGGATATTTCGAGCGTTTTCAGGCCTAAGGTGAGAAAGGAAATGTCTTCAAATAAGAACTAGACAGAAGCATTCTCAGAAACTTATTTGTGATGTGTGTCCTCAACTAACAGAGTTGAACCTTTCTTTTGACACAGCAGTTTGGAAACACTCTTTTTGTAGAATCTACAAGTGGATATTTTGAGAGCATTGAAAATTTCGTTGGAAACGGGAAAACCTTCATATAAAATCTAGACAGAAGCATTCTCAGAAACTTCTTTGTAATGTTTGCATTCAACTCATAGAGTTGAACATTCCCTTTCATACAGCAGGTTTGAAACACTCTTTTTGTAGTATGTGGAAGTGGACATTTGGAGCGCTTTGAGGCCTACGGTGAAAAAGGAAATATCTTCCCATAAAAACTAGACAGAAGCATTCTCAGAAACTTGTTTGTGACGTGTGTATTCAACTAACAGAGTTGAACCTTTCTTTTTACAGAGCAGCTTTGAAACCCTGTTTCTGTGGAATCTGCAATTGGA
The DNA here is from genome assembly GCF_000001405.40 of Homo sapiens. Lineage (NCBI taxonomy): Eukaryota > Metazoa > Chordata > Mammalia > Primates > Hominidae > Homo > Homo sapiens. Next base: position 19,068,342 of record NC_000015.10, read on the forward strand.
AATTTCGATAGTTCTGAGGATTTCGTTGCAAACGGGATTACAAATAGAAAGTAGACAGCAGCATTCTCAGAAACTGCTTTGTGATGTTTGCATTCAACTCACCTAGTTGAACATTCCCTTTCATAGAGCAGGTTTGAATCACTGTTTCTGTAGTATCTGGAAGTGGGTATTTCGAGCGCTTTCAGGCCTAAGGTGAGAAAGGAAATGTCTTCAAATAAGAACTAGACAGAAGCATTCTCAGAAACTTATTTGTGATGTGTGTCCTCAACTAACAGAGATGAACCTTTGTTTTGATACAGCAGTTTGGAAACACTCTTTTTGTAGAATCTACAAGAGGATATTTTGAGAGCATTGAAAATTTCGTTGGAAGCGGGAAAACCTTCATATAAAATCTAGACAGCAGCATTCTCAGAAACTTCTTTGTGATGTTTGCATTCAACTCATAGAGTTGAACATTCCCATTCATACAGCAGGTTTGAGACACTCTTTGTATAGCATGTGGAAATGGATATTTGGAGCGCTTTGAGGCCTATGGTGAAGAAGGAAATATCTTCCCAAAAAAACTAGACGAAAGCATTCTCGGAATCTTGTTTGCCATGTGTGTACTCAACTAACCGAGTTGAACCTATCTTTTGAGAGAGCAGTTTTGAAACACTCTTTCTGTGGAATCTGCAAGTGGATATTTGGATAGCTTCGAGGATTTCCTTGGAAACGGGAATATCCTCATATAAAATCTAGACGGAAGCATTCTCAGAACCTGCTTTGTGATGTTTGCATTCAACTCACGGAGCTGAACATTCCTGTTCATAGAGTAGGTTTGAAACACTCTTTCTGTACTATCTGGAAGTGGACATTTCGAGCGCTTTCAGGCCTATGGTGAAAAAGGAAACATCTTCAAATAAAAACTAGACAGAAGCATTCTCAGAAACTTATTTGTGATGTGTGTCCTCAACTCACAGAGTTCAACCTTTGTTTTGATACAGCAGTTTGGAAACACTCTTTTTGTAGAATCTACAAATGGATATTTGGAGACCTTTGAAAATTTCGTTGGACACGGGAATATCTTCATATAAAATCTAGACAAAAGCATTCTCAGAATCTTCTTTGTGATGTTTGCATTCAACTCATAGAGTTGAACATTCCCTTTCATACAGCACGTTTGAAACACACTTTGTGGAGTATGTGGAAATGGACATTTCGAGCACTCTTAGGCCTAAGGTGAAAAGGGAAATATCTTCAAATAAAAACTAGTCAGCAGCATTCTCAGAAACCTCTTTGTGATGTGTGTACTCAACTAACAGAGTTGAACCTTCCTTTTCACAGAGCAGTTTGGAAACACTCTTTATGTGGCATTTGCAAGTGGATATTTGGATAGCTTTGAGGATTTCGTTGGAAACGGGAATATTTTCATATAAAATCTAGACAGAAGCATTCTCAGAATCTTCTTTGTGATGTATGCCCTCAATTCACAGAGTTGAACCTTTGTTTGGATACAGCATTTTGGAAACATTCCTTTTGTAGAATCTGCAAGTTGATATTTGGATAGCTTTGAGGATTTCGTTGGAAACGGGAATATCTACATATAAAATCTAGACAGAAGCATTCTCAGAAACCTCTTTGTAATGCTTGCATTCAACTCATAGGTTTCAACATTCCCTATCATAGAGCAGGTTTGAAACACTCTTTTTGTAGTATGTGGAAGTGGACATTTGGAGCGCTTTGAGGCCTACCGTGAAAAAGGAAATATCTTCCCATAAAAACTAGACAGAAGCATTCTCAGAAACTTGTTTGTGACGTGTGTATTCAACTAACAGAGTTGAACCTTTCTTTTTACAGAGCAGCTTTGAAACCCTGTTTCTGTGGAATCTGCAATTGGAAATTTCGATAGTTCTGAGGATTTCGTTGCAAACGGGATTACAAATAGAAAGTAGACAGCAGCATTCTCAGAAACTGCTTTGTGATGTTTGCATTCAAGTCACCTAGTTGAACATTCCCTTTCATAGAGCAGGTTTGAATCACAGTTTCTGTCGTATCTGGAAGTGGATATTTCGAGCGTTTTCAGGCCTAAGGTGAGAAAGGAAATGTCTTCAAATAAGAACTAGACAGAAGCATTCTCAGAAACTTATTTGTGATGTGTGTCCTCAACTAACAGAGATGAACCTTTGTTTTGATACAGCAGTTTGGAAACACTCTTTTTGTAGAATCTACAAGAGGATATTTTGAGAGCATTGAAAATTTCGTTGGAAGCGGGAAAACCTTCATATAAAATCTAGACAGCAGCATTCTCAGAAACTTCTTTGTGATGTTTGCATTCAACTCATAGAGTTGAACATTCCCATTCATACAGCAGGTTTGAGACACTCTTTGTATAGCATGTGGAAATGGATATTTGGAGCGCTTTGAGGCCTATGGTGAAGAAGGAAATATCTTCCCAAAAAAACTAGACGAAAGCATTCTCGCAATCTTGTTTGCCATGTGTGTACTCAACTAACAGAGTTGAACCTATCTTTTGACAGAGCAGTTTTGAAACACTCTTTTTGTGGAATCTGCAAGTGGATATTTGGATAGCTTCGAGGATTTCGTTGGAAACGGGAATATCCTCATTTAAAATCTAGACGGAAGCATTCTCAGAACCTGCTTTGTGATGTTTGCATTCAACTCACAGAGCTGAACATTCCCGTTCATGGAGCAGGTTTGAAACACTCTTTCTGTACTATCTGGAAGTGGACATTTCGAGCGCTTTCAGGCCTATGGTGAAAAAGGAAACATCTTCAAATAAAAACTAGACAGAAGCATTCTCAGAAACTTATTTGTGATGTGTGTCCTCAACTCACAGAGTTCAACCTTTGTTTTGATACAGCAGTTTGGAAACACTCTTTTTGTAGAATCTACAAATGGATATTTGGAGACCATTGAAAATTTCGTTGGACACGGGAATATCTTCATATAAAATCTAGACAAAAGCATTCTCAGAATCTTCTTTGTGATGTTTGCATTCAACTCATAGAGTTGAACATTCCCTTTCATACAGCACGTTTGGAACACACTTTGCGGAGTATGTGGAAATGGACATTTCGAGCACTCTTAGGCCTAAGGTGAAAAGGGAAATATCTTCAAATAAAAACTAGTCAGCAGCATTCTCAGAAACCTCTTTGTGATGTGTGTACTCAACTAACAGAGTTGAACCTTCCTTTTCACAGAGCAGTTTGGAAACACTCTTTTTGTGGCATTTGCAAGTGGATATTTGGATAGCTTTGAGGATTTCGTTGGAAACGGGAATATTTTCATATAAAATCTAGACAGAAGCATTCTCAGAATCTTCTTTGTGATGTATGCCCTCAATTCACAGAGTTGAACCTTTGTTTGGATACAGCATTTTGGAAACATTCCTTTTGTAGAATCTGCAAGTTGATATTTGGATAGCTTTGAGGATTTCATTGGAAACGGGAATATCTACATATAAAATCTAGACAGAAGCATTCTCAGAAACCTCTTTGTAATGCTTGCATTCAACTCATAGGTTTCAACATTCCCTATCATAGAGCAGGTTTGAAACACTCTTTTTGTAGTATGTGGAAGTGGACATTTGGAGCGCTTTGAGGCCTACGGTGAAAAAGGAAATATCTTCCCATAAAAACTAGACAGAAGCATTCTCAGAAACTTGTTTGTGACGTGTGTATTCAACAAACAGAGTTGAACCTTTCTTTTTACAGAGCAGCTTTGAAACACGCTTTTTGTGGAATCTGCAATTGGAAATTTCGATAGTTCTGAGGATTTCGTTGGAAACGGGATTACAAATAGAAAGTAGACAGCAGCATTCTCAGAAACTGCTTTGTGATGTTTGCATTCAAGTCACCTAGTAGAACATTCCCTTTCATAGAGCAGGTTTGAATCACTGTTTCTGTCGTATCTGGAAGTGGATATTTCGAGCGTTTTCAGGCCTAAGGTGAGAAAGGAAATGTCTTCAAATAAGAACTAGACAGAAGCATTCTCAGGAAACTTATTTGTGATGTGTGTCCTCAACTAACAGAGTTGAACCTTTCTTTTGACACAGCAGTTAGGAAACACTCTTTTTGTAGAATCTACAAGTCGATATTTTGAGAGCATTGAAAATTTCGTTGGAAACGGGAAAACCTTCATATAAAATCTAGACAGAAGCATTCTCAGAAACTTCTTTGTAATGTTTGCATTCAACTCATAGAGTTGAACATTCCCTTTCATACAGCAGGTTTGAAACACTCTTTTTGTAGTATGTGGAAGTGGACATTTGGAGCGCTTTGAGGCCTACGGTGAAAAAGGAAATATCTTCCCATAAAAACTAGACAGAAGCATTCTCAGAAACTTGTTTGTGACGTGTGTATTCAACTAACAGAGTTGAACCTTTCTTTTTACAGAGCAGCTTTGAAACCCTGTTTCTGTGGAATCTGCAATTGGAAATTTCGATAGTTCTGAGGATTTCGTTGGAAACGGGATTACAAATAGAAAGTAGACAGCAGCATTCTCAGAAACTGCTTTGTGATGTTTGCATTCAAGTCACCTAGTTGAACATTCGCTTTCATAGAGCAGGTTTGAATCACTGTTTCTGTAGTATCTGGAAGTGTGTATTTCGAGCGCTTTCAGGCCTAAGGTGAGAAAGGAAATGTCTTCAAATAAGAACTAGACAGAAGCATTCTCAGAAACTTATTTGTGATGTGTGTCCTCAACTAACAGAGATGAACCTTTGTTTTGATACAGCAGTTTGGAAACACTCTTTTTGTAGAATCTACAAGAGGATATTTTGAGAGCATTGAAAATTTCGTTGGAAGCGGGAAAACCTTCATATAAAATCTAGACAGCAGCATTCTCAGAAACTTCTTTGTGATGTTTGCATTCAACTCATAGAGTTGAACATTCCCATTCATACAGCAGGTTTGAGACACTCTTTGTATAGCATGTGGAAATGGATATTTGGAGCGCTTTGAGGCCTATGGTGAAGAAGGAAATATCTTCCCAAAAAAACTAGACGAAAGCATTCTCGCAATCTTGTTTGCCATGTGTGTACTCAACTAACAGAGTTGAACCTATCTTTTGACAGAGCAGTTTTGAAACACTCTTTTTGTGGAATCTGCAAGTGGATATTTGGATAGCTTCGAGGATTTCGTTGGAAACGGGAATATCCTCATTTAAAATGCTAGACGGAAGCATTCTCAGAACCTGCTTTGTGATGTTTGCATTCAACTCACAGAGCTGAACATTCCCGTTCATAGAGCAGGTTTGAAACACTCTTTCTGTACTATCTGGAAGTGGACAATTCGAGCGCTTTCAGGCCTATGGTGAAAAAGGAAATATCTTCAAACAAAAACTAGACAGAAGCATTCTCAGAAACTTATTTGTGATGTGTGTCCTCAACTCACAGAGTTCAACCTTTGTTTTGATACAGCAGTTTGGAAACACTCTTTTTGTAGAATCTACAAATGGATATTTGGAGACCTTTGAAAATTTCGTTGGACACGGGAATATCTTCATATAAAATCTAGACAAAAGCATTCTCAGAGTCTTCTTTGTGATGTTTGCATTCAACTCATAGAGTTGAACATTCCCTTTCATACAGCACGTTTGAAACACACTTTGTGGAGTATGTGGAAATGGACATTTCGAGCACTCTTAGGCCTAAGGTGAAAAGGGAAATATCTTCAAATAAAAACTAGTCAGCAGCATTCTCAGAAACCTCTTTGTGATGTGTGTACTCAACTAACAGAGTTGAACCTTCCTTTTCACAGAGCAGTTTGGAAACACTCTTTTTGTGGCATTTGCAAGTGGATATTTGGATAGCTTTGAGGATTTCGTTGGAAACGGGAATATTTTCATATAAAATCTAGACAGAAGCATTCTCAGAATCTTCTTTGTGATGTATGCCCTCAATTCACAGAGTTGAACCTTTGTTTGGATACAGCATTTTGGAAACATTCCTTTTGTAGAATCTGCAAGTTGATATTTGGATAGCTTTGAGGATTTCGTTGGAAACGGGAATATCTACATATAAAATCTAGACAGAAGCATTCTCAGAAACCTCTTTGTAATGCTTGCATTCAACTCATAGGTTTCAACATTCCCTATCATAGAGCAGGTTTGAAACACTCTTTTTGTAGTATGTGGAAGTGGACATTTGGAGCGCTTTGAGGCCTATGGTGAAAAAGGAAATATCTTCCCATAAAAACTAGACAGAAGCATTCTCAGAAACTTGTTTGTGACGTGTGTATTCAACTAACAGAGTTGAACCTTTCTTTTTACAGAGCAGCTTTGAAACACGCTTTTTGTGGAATCTGCAATTGGAAATTTCGATAGTTCTGAGGATTTCGGTGGAAACGGGATTACAAATAGAAAGTAGACAGCAGCATTCTCAGAAACTTATTTGTGATGTGTGTCCTCAACTAACAGAGTTGAACCTTTCTTTTGACACAGCAGTTTGGAAACACTCTTTTTGTAGAATCTACAAGTGGATATTTTGAGAGCATTGAAAATTTCGTTGGAAACGGGAAAACCTTCATATAAAATCTAGACAGAAGCATTCTCAGAAACTTCTTTGTAATGTTTGCATTCAACTCATAGAGTTGAACATTCCCTTTCATACAGCAGGTTTGAAACACTCTTTTTGTAGTATGTGGAAGTGGACATTTGGAGCGCTTTGAGGCCTACGGTGAAAAAGGAAATATCTTCCCATAAAAACTAGACAGAAGCATTCTCAGAAACTTGTTTGTGACGTGTGTATTCAACTAACAGAGTTGAACCTTTCTTTTTACAGAGCAGCTTTGAAACCCTGTTTCTGTGGAATCTGCAATTGGAAATTTCGATAGTTCTGAGGATTTCGTTGGAAACGGGATTACAAATAGAAAGTAGACAGCAGCATTCTCAGAAACTGCTTTGTGATGTTTGCATTCAAGTCACCTAGTTGAACATTCCCTTTCATAGAGCAGGTTTGAATCACTGTTTCTGTAGTATCTGGAAGTGGGTATTTCGAGCGCTTTCAGGCCTAAGGTGAGAAAGGAAATGTCTTCAAATAAGAACTAGACAGAAGCATTCTCAGAAACTTATTTGTGATGTGTGTCCTCAACTAACAGAGATGAACCTTTGTTTTGATACAGCAGTTTGGAAACACTCTTTTTGTAGAATCTACAAGAGGATATTTTGAGAGCATTGAAAATTTCGTTGGAAGCGGGAAAACCTTCATATAAAATCTAGACAGCAGCATTCTCAGAAACTTCTTTGTGATGTTTGCATTCAACTCATAGAGTTGAACATTCCCATTCATACAGCAGGTTTGAGACACTCTTTGTATAGCATGTGGAAATGGATATTTGGAGCGCTTTGAGGCCTATGGTGAAGAAGGAAATATCTTCCCAAAAAAACTAGACGAAAGCATTCTCGCAATCTTGTTTGCCATGTGTGTACTCAACTAACAGAGTTGAACCTATCTTTTGACAGAGCAGTTTTGAAACACTCTTTTTGTGGAATCTGCAAGTGGATATTTGGATAGCTTCGAGGATTTCGTTGGAAACGGGAATATCCTCATTTAAAATCTAGACGGAAGCATTCTCAGAACCTGCTTTGTGATGTTTGCATTCAACTCACAGAGCTGAACATTCCCGTTCATAGAGCAGGTTTGAAACACTCTTTCTGTACTATCTGGAAGTGGACATTTCGAGCGCTTTCAGGCCTATGGTGAAAAAGGAAACATCTTCAAATAAAAACTAGACAGAAGCATTCTCAGAAACTTATTTGTGATGTGTGTCCTCAACTCACAGAGTTCAACCTTTGTTTTGATACAGCAGTTTGGAAACACTCTTTTTGTAGAATCTACAAATGGATATTTGGAGACCTTTGAAAATTTCGTTGGACACGGGAATATCTTCATATAAAATCTAGACAAAAGCATTCTCAGAATCTTCTTTGTGATGTTTGCATTCAACTCATAGAGTTGAACATTCCCTTTCATACAGCACGTTTGAAACACACTTTGTGGAGTATGTGGAAATGGACATTTCGAGCACTCTTAGGCCTAAGGTGAAAAGGGAAATATCTTCAAATAAAAACTAGTCAGCAGCATTCTCAGAAACCTCTTTGTGATGTGTGTCCTCAACTAACAGAGTTGAACCTTTCCTTTGACACAGCAGATTGGAAACACTCTTTTTGTAGAATCTACAAGTGTATATTTTGAGAGCATTGAAAATTTCCTTGGAAACGGGAAAACCTTCATATAAAATCTAGACAGAAGCATTCTCAGAAACTTCTTTGTAATGTTTGCATTCAACTCATAGAGTTAAACATTCCCTTTCATACAGCAGGTTTGAAACACTCTTTTTGTAGTATGTGGAAGTGGACATTTGGAGCGCTTTGAGGCCTACGGTGAAAAAGGAAATATCTTCCCATAAAAACTAGACAGAAGCATTCTCAGAAACTTGTTTGTGACGTGTGTATTCAACTAACAGAGTTGAACCTTTCTTTTTACAGAGCAGCTTTGAAACCCTGTTTCTGTGGAATCTGCAATTGGAAATTTCGATAGTTCTGAGGATTTCGTTGCAAACGGGATTACAAATAGAAAGTAGACAGCAGCATTCTCAGAAACTGCTTTGTGATGTTTGCATTCAAGTCACCTAGTTGAACATTCCCTTTCATAGAGCAGGTTTGAATCACAGTTTCTGTCGTATCTGGAAGTGGATATTACGAGCGTTTTCAGGCCTAAGGTGAGAAAGGAAATGTCTTCAAATAAGAACTAGACAGAAGCATTCTCAGAAACTTATTTGTGATGTGTGTCCTCAACTAACAGAGATGAACCTTTGTTTTGATACAGCAGTTTGGAAACACTCTTTTTGTAGAATCTACAAGAGGATATTTTGAGAGCATTGAAAATTTCGTTGGAAGCGGGAAAACCTTCATATAAAATCTAGACAGAAGCATTCTCAGAAACTTCTTTGTGATGTTTGCATTCAACTCATAGAGTTGAACATTCCCATTCATACAGCAGGTTTGAGACACTCTTTGTATAGCATGTGGGAATGGATATTTGGAGCGCTTTGAGGCCTATGGTGAAGAAGGAAATATCTTCCCAAAAAAACTAGACGAAAGCATTCTCGGAATCTTGTTTGCCATGTGTGTACTCAACTAACAGAGTTGAACCTATCTTTTGACAGAGCAGTTTTGAAACACTCTTTTTGTGGAATCTGCAAGTGGATATTTGGATAGCTTCGAGGATTTCGTTGGAAACGGGAATATCCTCATTTAAAATCTAGACGGAAGCATTCTCAGAACCTGCTTTGTGATGTTTGCATTCAACTCACAGAGCTGAACATTCCCGTTCATAGAGCAGGTTTGAAACACTCTTTCTGTACTATCTGGAAGTGGACATTTCGAGCGCTTTCAGGCCTATGGTGAAAAAGGAAACATCTTCAAATAAAAACTAGACAGAAGCATTCTCAGAAACTTATTTGTGATGTGTGTCCTCAACTCACAGAGTTCAACCTTTGTTTTGATACAGCAGTTTGGAAACACTCTTTTTGTAGAATCTACAAATGGATATTTGGAGACCTTTGAAAATTTCGTTGGACACGGGAATATCTTCATATAAAATCTAGACAAAAGCATTCTCAGAATCTTCTTTGTGATGTTTGCATTCAACTCATAGAGTTGAACATTCCCTTTCATACAGCACGTTTGAAACACACTTTGTGGAGTATGTGGAAATGGACATTTCGAGCACTCTTAGGCCTAAGGTGAAAAGGGAAATATCTTCAAATAAAAACTAGTCAGCAGCATTCTCAGAAACCTCTTTGTGATGTGTGTACTCAACTAACAGAGTTGAACCTTCCTTTTCACAGAGCAGTTTGGAAACACTCTTTTTGTGGCATTTGCAAGTGGATATTTGGATAGCTTTGAGGATTTCTTTGAAACGGGAATATTTTCATATAAAATCTAGACAGAAGCATTCTCAGAATCTTCTTTGTGATGTATGCCCTCAATTCACAGAGTTGAACCTTTGTTTGGATACAGCATTTTGGAAACATTCCTTTTGCAGAATCTGCAAGTTGATATTTGGATAGCTTTGAGGATTTCGTTGGAAACGGGAATATCTACATATAAAATCTAGACAGAAGCATTCTCAGAAACCTCTTTGTAATGCTTGCATTCAACTCATAGGTTTCAACATTCCCTATCATAGAGCAGGTTTGAAACACTCTTTTTGTAGTATGTGGAAGTGGACATTTGGAGCGCTTTGAGGCCTACCGTGATAAAGGAAATATGTTCCCATAAAAACTAGACAGAAGCATTCTCAGAAACTTGTTTGGACGTGTGTATTCAACTAACAGAGTTGAACCTTTCTTTTTACAGAGCAGCTTTGAAACCCTGTTTCTGTGGAATCTGCAATTGGAAATTTCGATGGTTCTGAGGATTTCGTTGGAAACGGGATTACAAATAGAAAGTAGACAGCAGCATTCTCAGAAACTGCTTTGTGATGTTTGCATTCAAGTCACCTAGTTGAACATTCCCTTTCATAGAGCAGGTTTGAATCACTGTTTCTGTCGTATCTGGAAGTGGATATTTCGAGCGTTTTCAGGCCTAAGGTGAGAAAGGAAATGTCTTCAAATAAGAACTAGACAGAAGCATTCTCAGAAACTTATTTGTGATGTGTGTCCTCAACTAACAGAGATGAACCTTTGTTTTGATACAGCAGTTTGGAAACACTCTTTTTGTAGAATCTACAAGAGGATATTTTGAGAGCATTGAAAATTTCGTTGGAAGCGGGAAAACCTTCATATAAAATCTAGACAGCAGCATTCTCAGAAACTTCTTTGTGATGTTTGCATTCAACTCATAGAGTTGAACATTCCCATTCATACAGCAGGTTTGAGACACTCTTTGTATAGCATGTGGAAATGGATATTTGGAGCGCTTTGAGGCCTATGGTGAAGAAGGAAATATCTTCCCAAAAAAACTAGACGAAAGCATTCTCGGAATCTTGTTTGCCATGTGTGTACTCAACTAACAGAGTTGAACCTATCTTTTGACAGAGCAGTTTTGAAACACTCTTTTTGTGGAATCTGCAAGTGGATATTTGGATAGCTTCGAGGATTTCGTTGGAAACGGGAATATCCTCATTTAAAATCTAGACGGAAGCATTCTCAGAACCTGCTTTGTGATGTTTGCATTCAACTCACAGAGCTGAACATTCCCGTTCATAGAGCAGGTTTGAAACACTCTTTCTGTACTATCTGGAAGTGGACATTTCGAGCGCTTTCAGGCCTATGGTGAAAAAGGAAACATCTTCAAATAAAAACTAGACAGAAGCATTCTCAGAAACTTATTTGTGATGTGTGTCCTCAACTCACAGAGTTCAACCTTTGTTTTGATACAGCAGTTTGGAAACACTCTTTTTGTAGAATCTACAAATGGATATTTGGAGACCTTTGAAAATTTCGTTGGACACGGGAATATCTTCATATAAAATCTAGACAAAAGCATTCTCAGAATCTTCTTTGTGATGTTTGCATTCAACTCATAGAGTTGAACATTCCCTTTCATACAGCACGTTTGAAACACACTTTGTGGAGTATGTGGAAATGGACATTTTGAGCACTCTTAGGCCTAAGGTGAAAAGGGAAATATCTTCAAATAAAAACTAGTCAGCAGCATTCTCAGAAACCTCTTTGTGATGTGTGTACTCAACTAACAGAGTTGAACCTTCCTTTTCACAGAGCAGTTTGGAAACACTCTTTTTGTGGCATTTGCAAGTGGATATTTGGATAGCTTTGAGGATTTCGTTGGAAACGGGAATATTTTCATATAAAATCTAGACAGAAGCATTCTCAGAATCTTCTTTGTGATGTATGCCCTCAATTCACAGAGTTGAACCTTTGTTTGGATACAGCATTTTGGAAACATTCCTTTTGTAGAATCTGCAAGTTGATATTTGGATAGCTTTGAGGATTTCGTTGGAAACGGGAATATCTACATATAAAATCTAGACAGAAGCATTCTCAGAAACCTCTTTGTAATGCTTGCATTCAACTCATAGGTTTCAACATTCCCTATCATAGAGCAGGTTTGAAACACTCTTTTTGTAGTATGTGGAAGTGGACATTTGGAGCGCTTTGAGGCCTACGGTGAAAAAGGAAATATCTTCCCATAAAAACTAGACAGAAGCATTCTCAGAAACTTGTTTGTGACGTGTGTATTCAACTAACAGAGTTGAACCTTTCTTTTTACAGAGCAGCTTTGAAACACGCTTTTTGTGGAATCTGCAATTGGAAATTTCGATAGTTCTGAGGATTTCGTTGGAAACGGGATTACAAATAGAAAGTAGACAGCAGCATTCTCAGAAACTGCTTTGTGATGTTTGCATTCAAGTCACCTAGTTGAACATTCCCTTTCATAGAGCAGGTTTGAATCACTGTTTCTGTGGTATCTGGAAGTGGATATTTCGAGCGTTTTCAGGCCTAAGGTGAGAAAGGAAATGTCTTCAAATAAGAACTAGACAGAAGCATTCTCAGAAACTTATTTGTGATGTGTGTCCTCAACTAACAGAGTTGAACCTTTCTTTTGACACAGCAGTTTGGAAACACTCTTTTTGTAGAATCTACAAGTGGATATTTTGAGAGCATTGAAAATTTCGTTGGAAACGGGAAAACCTTCATATAAAATCTAGACAGAAGCATTCTCAGAAACTTCTTTGTAATGTTTGCATTCAACTCATAGAGTTGAACATTCCCTTTCATACAGCAGGTTTGAAACACTCTTTTTGTAGTATGTGGAAGTGGACATTTGGAGCGCTTTGAGGCCTACGGTGAAAAAGGAAATATCTTCCCATAAAAACTAGACAGAAGCATTCTCAGAAACTTGTTTGTGACGTGTGTATTCAACTAACAGAGTTGAACCTTTCTTTTTACAGAGCAGCTTTGAAACCCTGTTTCTGTGGAATCTGCAATTGGAAATTTCGATAGTTCTGAGGATTTCGTTGGAAACGGGATTACAAATAGAAAGTAGACAGCAGCATTCTCAGAAACTGCTTTGTGATGTTTGCATTCAAGTCACCTAGTTGAACATTCCCTTTCATAGAGCAGGTTTGAATCACTGTTTCTGTAGTATCTGGAAGTGGGTATTTCGAGCGCTTTCAGGCCTAAGGTGAGAAAGGAAATGTCTTCAAATAAGAACTAAACAGAAGCATTCTCAGAAACTTATTTGTGATGTGTGTCCTCAACTAACAGAGATGAACCTTTGTTTTGATACAGCAGTTTGGAAACACTCTTTTTGTAGAATCTACAAGAGGATATTTTGAGAGCATTGAAAATTTCGTTGGAAGCGGGAAAACCTTCATATAAAATCTAGACAGCAGCATTCTCAGAAACTTCTTTGTGATGTTTGCATTCAACTCATAGAGTTGAACATTCCCATTCATACAGCAGGTTTGAGACACTCTTTGTATAGCATGTGGAAATGGATATTTGGAGCGCTTTGAGGCCTATGGTGAAGAAGGAAATATCTTCCCAAAAAAACTAGACGAAAGCATTCTCGGAATCTTGTTTGCCATGTGTGTACTCAACTAACAGAGTTGAACCTATCTTTTTACAGAGCAGTTTTGAAACACTCTTTTTGTGGAATCTGCAAGTGGATATTTGGATAGCTTCGAGGATTTCTTTGGAAACGGGAATATCCTCATTTAAAATCTAGACGGAAGCATTCTCAGAACCTGCTTTGTGATGTTTGCATTCAACTCACAGAGCTGAACATTCCCGTTCATAGAGCAGGTTTGAAACACTCTTTCTGTACTATCTGGAAGTGGACATTTCGAGCGCTTTCAGGCCTATGGTGAAAAAGGAAACATCTTCAAATAAAAACTAGACAGAAGCATTCTCAGAAACTTATTTGTGATGTGTGTCCTCAACTCACAGAGTTCAACCTTTGTTTTGATACAGCAGTTTGGAAACACTCTTTTTGTAGAATCTACAAATGGATATTTGGAGACCTTTGAAAATTTCGTTGGACACGGGAATATCTTCATATAAAATCTAGACAAAAGCATTCTCAGAATCTTCTTTGTGATGTTTGCATTCAACTCATAGATTTGAACGTTCCCTTTCATACAGCACGTTTGAAACACACTTTGTGGAGTATGTGGAAATGGACATTTCGAGCACTCTTAGGCCTAAGGTGAAAAGGGAAATATCTTCAAATAAAAACTAGTCAGCAGCATTCTCAGAAACCTCTTTGTGATGTGTGTACTCAACTAACAGAGTTGAACCTTCCTTTTCACAGAGCAGTTTGGAAACACTCTTTTTGTGGCATTTGCAAGTGGATATTTGGATAGCTTTGAGGATTTCGTTGGAAACGGGAATATTTTCATATAAAATCTAGACAGAAGCATTCTCAGAATCTTCTTTGTGATGTATGCCCTCAATTCACAGAGTTGAACCTTTGTTTGGATACAGCATTTTGGAAACATTCCTTTTGTAGAATCTGCAAGTTGATATTTGGATAGTTTGAGGATTTCGTTGGAAACGGGAATATCTACATATAAAATCTAGACAGAAGCATTCTCAGAAACCTCTTTGTAATGCTTGCATTCAACTCATAGGTTTCAACATTCCCTATCATAGAGCAGGTTTGAAACACTCTTTTTGTAGTATGTGGAAGTGGACATTTGGAGCGCTTTGAGGCCTACGGTGAAAAAGGAAATATCTTCCCATAAAAACTAGACAGAAGCATTCTCAGAAACTTGTTTGTGACGTGTGTATTCAACTAACAGAGTTGAACCTTTCTTTTTACAGAGCAGCTTTGAAACACGCTTTTTGTGGAATCTGCAATTGGAAATTTCGATAGTTCTGAGGATTTCGTTGGAAACGGGATTACAAATAGAAAGTAGACAGCAGCATTCTCAGAAACTGCTTTGTGATGTTTGCATTCAAGTCACCTAGTTGAACATTCCCTTTCATAGAGCAGGTTTGAATCACTGTTTCTGTCGTATCTGGAAGTGGATATTTCGAGCGTTTTCAGGCCTAAGGTGAGAAAGGAAATGTCTTCAAATAAGAACTAGACAGAAGCATTCTCAGAAACTTATTTGTGATGTGTGTCCTCAACTAACAGAGTTGAACCTTTCTTTTGACACAGCAGTTTGGAAACACTCTTTTTGTAGAATCTACAAGTGGATATTTTGAGAGCATTGAAAATTTCGTTGGAAACGGGAAAACCTTCATATAAAATCTAGACAGAAGCATTCTCAGAAACTTCTTTGTAATGTTTGCATTCAACTCATAGAGTTGAACATTCCCTTTCATACAGCAGGTTTGAAACACTCTTTTTGTAGTATGTGGAAGTGGACATTTGGAGCGCTTTGAGGCCTACGGTGAAAAAGGAAATATCTTCCCATAAAAACTAGACAGAAGCATTCTCAGAAACTTGTTTGTGACGTGTGTATTCAACTAACAGAGTTGAACCTTTCTTTTTACAGAGCAGCTTTGAAACCCTGTTTCTGTGGAATCTGCAATTGGAAATTTCGATAGTTCTGAGGATTTCGTTGGAAACGGGATTACAAATAGAAAGTAGACAGCAGCATTCTCAGAAACTGCTTTGTGATGTTTGCATTCAAGTCACCTAGTTGAACATTCGCTTTCATAGAGCAGGTTTGAATCACTGTTTCTGTAGTATCTGGAAGTGTGTATTTCGAGCGCTTTCAGGCCTAAGGTGAGAAAGGAAATGTCTTCAAATAAGAACTAGACAGAAGCATTCTCAGAAACTTATTTGTGATGTGTGTCCTCAACTAACAGAGATGAACCTTTGTTTTGATACAGCAGTTTGGAAACACTCTTTTTGTAGAATCTACAAGAGGATATTTTGAGAGCATTGAAAATTTCGTTGGAAGCGGGAAAACCTTCATATAAAATCTAGACAGCAGCATTCTCAGAAACTTCTTTGTGATGTTTGCATTCAACTCATAGAGTTGAACATTCCCATTCATACAGCAGGTTTGAGACACTCTTTGTATAGCATGTGGAAATGGATATTTGGAGCGCTTTGAGGCCTATGGTGAAGAAGGAAATATCTTCCCAAAAAAACTAGACGAAAGCATTCTCGGAATCTTGTTTGCCATGTGTGTACTCAACTAACAGAGTTGAACCTATCTTTTGACAGAGCAGTTTTGAAACACTCTTTTTGTGGAATCTGCAAGTGGATATTTGGATAGCTTCGAGGATTTCGTTGGAAACGGGAATATCCTCATTTAAAACCTAGACGGAAGCATTCTCAGAACCTGCTTTGTGATGTTTGCATTCAACTCACAGAGCTGAACATTCCCGTTCATAGAGCAGGTTTGAAACACTCTTTCTGTACTATCTGGAAGTGGACATTTCGAGCGCTTTCAGGCCTATGGTGAAAAAGGAAACATCTTCAAATAAAAACTAGACAGAAGCATTCTCAGAAACTTATTTGTGATGTGTGTCCTCAACTCACAGAGTTCAACCTTTGTTTTGATACAGCAGTTTGGAAACACTCTTTTTGTAGAATCTACAAATGGATATTTGGAGACCTTTGAAAATTTCGTTGGACACGGGAATATCTTCATATAAAATCTAGACAAAAGCATTCTCAGAATCTTCTTTGTGATGTTTGCATTCAACTCATAGAGTTGAACATTCCCTTTCATACAGCACGTTTGAAACACACTTTGTGGAGTATGTGGAAATGGACATTTCGAGCACTCTTAGGCCTAAGGTGAAAAGGGAAATATCTTCAAATAAAAACTAGTCAGCAGCATTCTCAGAAACCTCTTTGTGATGTGTGTACTCAACTAACAGAGTTGAACCTTCCTTTTCACAGAGCAGTTTGGAAACACTCTTTTTGTGGCATTTGCAAGTGGATATTTGGATAGCTTTGAGGATTTCGTTGGAAACGGGAATATTTTCATATAAAATCTAGACAGAAGCATTCTCAGAATCTTCTTTGTGATGTATGCCCTCAATTCACAGAGTTGAACCTTTGTTTGGATACAGCATTTTGGAAACATTCCTTTTGCAGAATCTGCAAGCTGATATTTGGATAGCTTTGAGGATTTCGTTGGAAACGGGAATATCTACATATAAAATCTAGACAGAAGCATTCTCAGAAACCTCTTTGTAATGCTTGCATTCAACTCATAGGTTTCAACATTCCCTATCATAGAGCAGGTTTGAAACACTCTTTTTGTAGTATGTGGAAGTGGACATTTGGAGCGCTTTGAGGCCTACGGTGAAAAAGGAAATATCTTCCCATAAAAACTAGACAGAAGCATTCTCAGAAACTTGTTTGTGACGTGTGTATTCAACTAACAGAGTTGAACCTTTCTTTTTACAGAGCAGCTTTGAAACACGCTTTTTGTGGAATCTGCAATTGGAAATTTCGATAGTTCTGAGGATTTCGTTGGAAACGGGATTACAAATAGAAAGTAGACAGCAGCATTCTCAGAAACTGCTTTGTGATGTTTGCATTCAAGTCACCTAGTTGAACATACCCTTTCATAGAGCAGGTTTGAATCACTGTTTCTGTCGTATCTGGAAGTGGATATTTCGAGCGTTTTCAGGCCTAAGGTGAGAAAGGAAATGTCTTCAAATAAGAACTAGACAGAAGCATTCTCAGAAACTTATTTGTGATGTGTGTCCTCAACTAACAGAGTTGAACCTTTCTTTTGACACAGCAGTTTGGAAACACTCTTTTTGTAGAATCTACAAGTGGATATTTTGAGAGCATTGAAAATTTCGTTGGAAACGGGAAAACCTTCATATAAAATCTAGACAGAAGCATTCTCAGAAACTTCTTTGTAATGTTTGCATTCAACTCATAGAGTTGAACATTCCCTTTCATACAGCAGGTTTGAAACACTCTTTTTGTAGTATGTGGAAGTGGACACTTGGAGCGCTTTGAGGCCTACGGTGAAAAAGGAAATATCTTCCCATAAAAACTAGACAGAAGCATTCTCAGAAACTTGTTTGTGACGTGTGTATTCAACTAACAGAGTTGAACCTTTCTTTTTACAGAGCAGCTTTGAAACACGCTTTTTGTGGAATCTGCAATTGGAAATTTCGATAGTTCTGAGGATTTCGTTGGAAACGGGATTACAAATAGAAAGTAGACAGCAGCATTCTCAGAAACTGCTTTGTGATGTTTGCATTCAAGTCACATAGTTGAACATTCCCTTTCATAGAGCAGGTTTGAATCACTGTTTCTGTAGTATCTGGAAGTGGGTATTTCGAGCGCTTTCAGGCCTAAGGTGAGAAAGGAAATGTCTTCAAATAAGAACTAGACAGAAGCATTCTCAGAAACTTATTTGTGATGTGTGTCCTCAACTAACAGAGATGAACCTTTGTTTTGATACAGCAGTTTGGAAACACTCTTTTTGTAGAATCTACAAGAGGATATTTTGAGATCATTGAAAATTTCGTTGGAAGCGGGAAAACCTTCATATAAAATCTAGACAGAAGCATTCTCAGAAACTTCTTTGTGATGTTTGCATTCAACTCATAGAGTTGAACATTCCCATTCATACAGCAGGTTTGAGACACTCTTTGTATAGCATGTGGAAATGGATATTTGGAGCGCTTTGAGGCCTATGGTGAAGAAGGAAATATCTTCCCAAAAAAACTAGACGAAAGCATTCTCGCAATCTTGTTTGCCATGTGTGTACTCAACTAACAGAGTTGAACCTATCTTTTGACAGAGCAGTTTTGAAACACTCTTTTTGTGGAATCTGCAAGTGGATATTTGGATAGCTTCGAGGATTTCGTTGGAAACGGGAATATCCTCATTTAAAATCTAGACGGAAGCATTCTCAGAACCTGCTTTGTGATGTTTGCATTCAACTCACAGAGCTGAACATTCCCGTTCATAGAGCAGGTTTGAAACACTCTTTCTGTACTATCTGGAAGTGGACATTTCGAGCGCTTTCAGGCCTATGGTGAAAAAGGAAACATCTTCAAATAAAAACTAGACAGAAGCATTCTCAGAAACTTATTTGTGATGTGTGTCCTCAACTCACAGAGTTCAACCTTTGTTTTGATACAGCAGTTTGGAAACACTCTTTTTGTAGAATCTACAAATGGATATTTGGAGACCTTTGAAAATTTCGTTGGACACGGGAATATCTTCATATAAAATCTAGACAAAAGCATTCTCAGAATCTTCTTTGTGATGTTTGCATTCAACTCATAGAGTTGAACATTCCCTTTCATACAGCACGTTTGAAACACACTTTGTGGAGTATGTGGAAATGGACATTTCGAGCACTCTTAGGCCTAAGGTGAAAAGGGAAATATCTTCAAATAAAAACTAGTCAGCAGCATTCTCAGAAACCTCTTTGTGATGTGTGTACTCAACTAACAGAGTTGAACCTTCCTTTTCACAGAGCAGTTTGGAAACACTCTTTTTGTGGCATTTGCAAGTGGATATTTGGATAGCTTTGAGGATTTCGTTGGAAACGGGAATATTTTCATATAAAATCTAGACAGAAGCATTCTCAGAATCTTCTTTGTGATGTATGCCCTCAATTCACAGAGTTGAACCTTTGTTTGGATACAGCATTTTGGAAACATTCCTTTTGCAGAATCTGCAAGTTGATATTTGGATAGCTTTGAGGATTTCGTTGGAAACGGGAATATCTACATATAAAATCTAGACAGAAGCATTCTCAGAAACCTCTTTGTAATGTTTGCATTCAACTCATAGGTTTCAACATTCCCTATCATAGAGCAGGTTTGAAACACTCTTTTTGTAGTATGTGGAAGTGGACATTTGGAGCGCTTTGAGGCCTACGGTGAAAAAGGAAATATGCTTCCCATAAAAACTAGACAGAAGCATTCTCAGAAACTTGTTTGTGACGTGTGTATTCAACTAACAGAGTTGAACCTTTCTTTTTACAGAGCAGCTTTGAAACCCTGTTTCTGTGGAATCTGCAATTGGAAATTTCGATAGTTGCTGAGGATTTCGTTGGAAACGGGATTACAAATAGAAAGTAGACAGCAAGCATTCTCAGAAACTGCTTTGTGATGTTTGCATTCAAGTCACCTAGTTGAACATTCCCTTTCATAGAGCATGTTTGAATCACTGTTTCTGTCGTATCTGGAAGTGGATATTTCGAGCGTTTTCAGGCCTAAGGTGAGAAAGGAAATGTCTTCAAATAAGAACTAGACAGAAGCATTCTCAGAAACTTATTTGTGATGTGTGTCCTCAACTAACAGAGTTGAACCTTTCTTTTGACACAGCAGTTTGGAAACACTCTTTTTGTAGAATCTACAAGTGGATATTTTGAGAGCATTGAAAATTTCGTTGGAAACGGGAAAACCTTCATATAAAATCTAGACAGAAGCATTCTCAGAAACTTCTTTGTAATGTTTGCATTCAACTCATAGAGTTGAACATTCCCTTTCATACAGCAGGTTTGAAACACTCTTTTTGTAGTATGTGGAAGTGGACATTTGGAGCGCTTTGAGGCCTACGGTGAAAAAGGAAATATCTTCCCATAAAAACTAGACAGAAGCATTCTCAGAAACTTGTTTGTGACGTGTGTATTCAACTAACAGAGTTGAACCTTTCTTTTTACAGAGCAGCTTTGAAACCCTGTTTCTGTGGAATCTGCAATTGGAAATTTCGATAGTTCTGAGGATTTCGTTGGACACGGGATTACAAATAGAAAGTAGACAGCAGCATTCTCAGAAACTGCTTTGTGATGTTTGCATTCAAGTCACCTAGTTGAACATTCCCTTTCATAGAGCAGGTTTGAATCACTGTTTCTGTAGTATCTGGAAGTGGGTATTTCGAGCGCTTTCAGGCCTAAGGTGAGAAAGGAAATGTCTTCAAATAAGAACTAGACAGAAGCATTCTCAGAAACTTATTTGTGATGTGTGTCCTCAACTAACAGAGATGAACCTTTGTTTTGATACAGCAGTTTGGAAACACTCTTTTTGTAGAATCTACAAGAGGATATTTTGAGAGCATTGAAAATTTCGTTGGAAGCGGGAAAACCTTCATATAAATTCTAGACAGCAGCATTCTCAGAAACTTCTTTGTGATGTTTGCATTCAACTCATAGAGTTGAACATTCCCATTCATACAGCAGGTTTGAGACACTCTTTGTATAGCATGTGGAAATGGATATTTGGAGCGCTTTGAGGCCCATGGTGAAGAAGGAAATATCTTCCCAAAAAAACTAGACGAAAGCATTCTCGGAATCTTGTTTGCCATGTGTGTACTCAACTAACAGAGTTGAACCTATCTTTTGACAGAGCAGTTTTGAAACACTCTTTTTGTGGAATCTGCAAGTGGATATTTGGATAGCTTCGAGGATTTCGTTGGAAACGGGAATATCCTCATTTAAAATCTAGACGGAAGCATTCTCAGAACCTGCTTTGTGATGTTTGCATTCAACTCACAGAGCTGAACATTCCCGTTCATAGAGCAGGTTTGAAACACTCTTTCTGTACTATCTGGAAGTGGACATTTCGAGCGCTTTCAGGCCTATGGTGAAAAAGGAAACATCTTCAAATAAAAACTAGACAGAAGCATTCTCAGAAACTTATTTGTGATGTGTGTCCTCAACTCACAGAGTTCAACCTTTGTTTTGATACAGCAGTTTGGAAACACTCTTTTTGTAGAATCTACAAATGGATATTTGGAGACCTTTGAAAATTTCGTTGGACACGGGAATATCTTCATATAAAATGCTAGACAAAAGCATTCTCAGATTCTTCTTTGTGATGTTTGCATTCAACTCATAGAGTTGAGCATTCCCTTTCATACAGCACGTTAGAAACACACTTTGTGTAGTAAGTGGAAATGGACATTTCGAGCACTCTTAGGCCTAAGGTGAAAAGGGAAATATCTTCAAATAAAAACTAGTCAGCCAGCATTCTCAGAAACCTCTTTGTGATGTGTGTACTCAACTAACAGAGTTGAACCTTCCTTTTCACAGAGCAGTTTGGAAACACTCTTTTTGTGGCATTTGCAAGTGGATATTTGGATAGCTTTGAGGATTTCGTTGGAAACGGGAATATTTTCATATAAAATCTAGACAGAGCATTCTCAGAATCTTCTTTGTGATGTATGCCCTCAATTCACAGAGTTGAACCTTTGTTTGGATACAGCATTTTGGAAACATTCCTTTTGTAGAATCTGCAAGTTGATATTTGGATAGCTTTGAGGATTTCGTTGGAAACGGGAATATCTACATATAAAATCTAGACAGAAGCATTCTCAGAAACCTCTTTGTAATGCTTGCATTCAACTCATAGGTTTCAACATTCCCTATCATAGAGCAGGTTTGAAACACTCTTTTTGTAGTATGTGGAAGTGGACATTTGGAGCGCTTTGAGGCCTACGGTGAAAAAGGAAATATCTTCCCATAAAAACTAGACAGAAGCATTCTCAGAAACTTGTTTGTGACGTGTGTATTCAACTAACAGAGTTGAACCTTTCTTTTTACAGAGCAGCTTTGAAACCCTGTTTCTGTGGAATCTGCAATTGGAAATTTCGATAGTTCTGAGGATTTCGTTGGAAACGGGATTACAAATAGAAAGTAGACAGCAGCATTCTCAGAAACTGCTTTGTGATGTTTGCATTCAAGTCACCTAGTTGAACATTCCCTTTCATAGAGCAGGTTTGAATCACTGTTTCTGTCGTATCTGGAAGTGGATATTTCGAGCGTTTTCAGGCCTAAGGTGAGAAAGGAAATGTCTTCAAATAAGAACTAGACAGAAGCATTCTCAGAAACTTATTTGTGATGTGTGTCCTCAACTAACAGAGTTGAACCTTTCTTTTGACACAGCAGTTTGGAAACACTCTTTTTGTAGAATCTACAAGTGGATATTTTGAGAGCATTGAAAATTTCGTTGGAAACGGGAAAACCTTCATATAAAATCTAGACAGAAGCATTCTCAGAAACTTCTTTGTAATGTTTGCATTCAACTCATAGAGTTGAACATTCCCTTTCATACAGCAGGTTTGAAACACTCTTTTTGTAGTATGTGGAAGTGGACATTTGGAGCGCTTTGAGGCCTACGGTGAAAAAGGAAATATCTTCCCATAAAAACTAGACAGAAGCA
The DNA here is from genome assembly GCF_000001405.40 of Homo sapiens. NCBI lineage: Eukaryota > Metazoa > Chordata > Mammalia > Primates > Hominidae > Homo > Homo sapiens. The sequence goes on from NC_000015.10 coordinate 19,091,429, forward strand.
TTCTCAGAAACTTGTTTGTGACGTGTGTATTCAACTAACAGAGTTGAACCTTTCTTTTTACAGAGCAGCTTTGAAACCCTGTTTCTGTGGAATCTGCAATTGGAAATTTCGATAGTTCTGAGGATTTCGTTGGAAACGGGATTACAAATAGAAAGTAGACAGCAGCATTCTCAGAAACTGCTTTGCGATGTTTGCATTCAAGTCACATAGTTGAACATTCCCTTTCATAGAGCAGGTTTGAATCACTGTTTCTGTAGTATCTGGAAGTGGGTATTTCGAGCGCTTTCAGGCCTAAGGTGAGAAAGGAAATGTCTTCAAATAAGAACTAGACAGAAGCATTCTCAGAAACTTATTTGTGATGTGTGTCCTCAACTAACAGAGATGAACCTTTGTTTTGATACAGCAGTTTGGAAACACTCTTTTTGTAGAATCTACAAGAGGATATTTTGAGAGCATTGAAAATTTCGTTGGAAGCGGGAAAACCTTCATATAAAATCTAGACAGCAGCATTCTCAGAAACTTCTTTGTGATGTTTGCATTCAACTCATAGAGTTGAACATTCCCATTCATACAGCAGGTTTGAGACACTCTTTGTATAGCATGTGGAAATGGATATTTGGAGCGCTTTGAGGCCTATGGTGAAGAAGGAAATATCTTCCCAAAAAAACTAGACGAAAGCATTCTCGGAATCTTGTTTGCCATGTGTGTACTCAACTAACAGAGTTGAACCTATCTTTTGACAGAGCAGTTTTGAAACACTCTTTTTGTGGAATCTGCAAGTGGATATTTGGATAGCTTCGAGGATTTCGTTGGAAACGGGAATATCCTCATTTAAAATCTAGACGGAAGCATTCTCAGAACCTGCTTTGTGATGTTTGCATTCAACTCACAGAGCTGAACATTCCCGTTCATAGAGCAGGTTTGAAACACTCTTTCTGTACTATCTGGAAGTGGACATTTCGAGCGCTTTCAGGCCTATGGTGAAAAAGGAAACATCTTCAAATAAAAACTAGACAGAAGCATTCTCAGAAACTTATTTGTGATGTGTGTCCTCAACTCACAGAGTTCAACCTTTGTTTTGATACAGCAGTTTGGAAACACTCTTTTTGTAGAATCTACAAATGGATATTTGGAGACCTTTGAAAATTTCGTTGGACACGGGAATATCTTCATATAAAATCTAGACAAAAGCATTCTCAGAATCTTCTTTGTGATGTTTGCATTCAACTCATAGAGTTGAACATTCCCTTTCATACAGCACGTTTGAAACACACTTTGTGGAGTATGTGGAAATGGACATTTCGAGCACTCTTAGGCCTAAGGTGAAAAGGGAAATATCTTCAAATAAAAACTAGTCAGCAGCATTCTCAGAAACCTCTTTGTGATGTGTGTACTCAACTAACAGAGTTGAACCTTCCTTTTCACAGAGCAGTTTGGAAACACTCTTTTTGTGGCATTTGCAAGTGGATATTTGGATAGCTTTGAGGATTTCGTTGGAAACGGGAATATTTTCATATAAAATCTAGACAGAAGCATTCTCAGAATCTTCTTTGTGATGTATGCCCTCAATTCACAGAGTTGAACCTTTGTTTGGATACAGCATTTTGGAAACATTCCTTTTGTAGAATCTGCAAGTTGATATTTGGATAGCTTTGAGGATTTCGTTGGAAACGGGAATATCTATCTACATATAAAATCTAGACAGAAGCATTCTCAGAAACTTCTTTGTAATGCTTGCATTCAACTCATAGGTTTCAACATTCCCTATCATAGAGCAGGTTTGAAACACTCTTTTTGTAGTATGTGGAAGTGGACATTTGGAGCGCTTTGAGGCCTACGGTGAAAAAGGAAATATCTTCCCATAAAAACTAGACAGAAGCATTCTCAGAAACTTGTTTGTGACGTGTGTATTCAACTAACAGAGTTGAACCTTTCTTTTTACAGAGCAGCTTTGAAACCCTGTTTCTGTGGAATCTGCAATTGGAAATTTCGATAGTTCTGAGGATTTCGTTGGAAACGGGATTACAAATAGAAAGTAGACAGCAGCATTCTCAGAAACTGCTTTGTGATGTTTGCATTCAAGTCACCTAGTTGAACATTCCCTTTCATAGAGCAGGTTTGAATCACTGTTTCTGTCGTATCTGGAAGTGGATATTTCGAGCGTTTTCAGGCCTAAGGTGAGAAAGGAAATGTCTTCAAATAAGAACTAGACAGAAGCATTCTCAGAAACTTATTTGTGATGTGTGTCCTCAACTAACAGAGATGAACCTTTGTTTTGATACAGCAGTTTGGAAACACTCTTTTTGTAGAATCTACAAGAGGATATTTTGAGAGCATTGAAAATTTCGTTGGAAGCGGGAAAACCTTCATATAAAATCTAGACAGAAGCATTCTCAGAAACTTCTTTGTAATGTTTGCATTCAACTCATAGAGTTGAACATTCCCTTTCATACAGCAGGTTTGAAACACTCTTTTTGTAGTATGTGGAAGTGGACATTTGGAGCGCTTTGAGGCCTACGGTGAAAAAGGAAATATCTTCCCATAAAAACTAGACAGAAGCATTCTCAGAAACTTGTTTGTGACGTGTGTATTCAACTAACAGAGTTGAACCTTTCTTTTTACAGAGCAGCTTTGAAACACGCTTTTTGTGGAATCTGCAATTGGAAATTTCGATAGTTCTGAGGATTTCGTTGGAAACGGGATTACAAATAGAAAGTAGACAGCAGCATTCTCAGAAACTGCTTTGTGATGTTTGCATTCAAGTCACCTAGTTGAACATTCCCTTTCATAGAGCAGGTTTGAATCACAGTTTCTGTCGTATCTGGAAGTGGATATTTCGAGCGTTTTCAGGCCTAAGGTGAGAAAGGAAATGTCTTCAAATAAGAACTAGACAGAAGCATTCTCAGAAACTTATTTGTGATGTGTGTCCTCAACTAACAGAGATGAACCTTTGTTTTGATACAGCAGTTTGGAAACACTCTTTTTGTAGAATCTACAAGAGGATATTTTGAGAGCATTGAAAATTTCGTTGGAAGCGGGAAAACCTTCATATAAAATCTAGACAGCAGCATTCTCAGAAACTTCTTTGTGATGTTTGCATTCAACTCATAGAGTTGAACATTCCCATTCATACAGCAGGTTTGAGACACTCTTTGTATAGCATGTGGAAATGGATATTTGGAGCGCTTTGAGGCCTATGGTGAAGAAGGAAATATCTTCCCAAAAAAACTAGACGAAAGCATTCTCGCAATCTTGTTTGCCATGTGTGTACTCAACTAACAGAGTTGAACCTATCTTTTGACAGAGCAGTTTTGAAACACTCTTTTTGTGGAATCTGCAAGTGGATATTTGGATAGCTTCGAGGATTTCGTTGGAAACGGGAATATCCTCATTTAAAATCTAGACGGAAGCATTCTCAGAACCTGCTTTGTGATGTTTGCATTCAACTCACAGAGCTGAACATTCCCGTTCATAGAGCAGGTTTGAAACACTCTTTCTGCACTATCTGGAAGTGGACATTTCGAGCGCTTTCAGGCCTATGGTGAAAAAGGAAACATCTTCAAATAAAAACTAGACAGAAGCATTCTCAGAAACTTATTTGTGATGTGTGTCCTCAACTCACAGAGTTCAACCTTTGTTTTGATACAGCAGTTTGGAAACACTCTTTTTGTAGAATCTACAAATGGATATTTGGAGACCTTTGAAAATTTCGTTGGACACGGGAATATCTTCATATAAAATCTAGACAAAAGCATTCTCAGAATCTTCTTTGTGATGTTTGCATTCAACTCATAGAGTTGAACATTCCCTTTCATACAGCACGTTTGAAACACACTTTGTGGAGTATGTGGAAATGGACATTTCGAGCACTCTTAGGCCTAAGGTGAAAAGGGAAATATCTTCAAATAAAAACTAGTCAGCAGCATTCTCAGAAACCTCTTTGTGATGTGTGTACTCAACTAACAGAGTTGAACCTTCCTTTTCACAGAGCAGTTTGGAAACACTCTTTTTGTGGCATTTGCAAGTGGATATTTGGATAGCTTTGAGGATTTCGTTGGAAACGGGAATATTTTCATATAAAATCTAGACAGAAGCATTCTCAGAATCTTCTTTGTGATGTATGCCCTCAATTCACAGAGTTGAACCTTTGTTTGGATACAGCATTTTGGAAACATTCCTTTTGTAGAATCTGCAAGTTGATATTTGGATAGTTTGAGGATTTCGTTGGAAACGTGAATATCTACATATAAAATCTAGACAGAAAGCATTCTCAGAAACCTCTTTGTAATGCTTGCATTCAACTCATAGGTTTCAACATTCCCTATCATAGAGCAGGTTTGAAACACTCTTTTTGTAGTATGTGGAAGTGGACATTTGGAGCGCTTTGAGGCCTACGGTGAAAAAGGAAATATCTTCCCATAAAAACTAGACAGAGCATTCTCAGAAACTTGTTTGTGACGTGTGTATTCAACTAACAGAGTTGAACCTTTCTTTTTACAGAGCAGCTTTGAAACACGCTTTTTGTGGAATCTGCAATTGGAAATTTCGATAGTTCTGAGGATTTCGTTGGAAACGGGATTACAAATAGAAAGTAGACAGCAGCATTCTCAGAAACTGCTTTGTGATGTTTGCATTCAAGTCACCTAGTTGAACATTCCCTTTCATAGAGCAGGTTTGAATCACAGTTTCTGTCGTATCTGGAAGTGGATATTTCGAGCGCTTTCAGGCCTAAGGTGAGAAAGGAAATGTCTTCCAATAAGAACTAGACAGAAGCATTCTCAGAAACTTATTTGTGATGTGTGTCCTCAACTAACAGAGATGAACCTTTGTTTTGATACAGCAGTTTGGAAACACTCTTTTTGTAGAATCTACAAGAGGATATTTTGAGAGCATTGAAAATTTCGTTGGAAGCGGGAAAACCTTCATATAAAAATCTAGACAGCAGCATTTCTCAGAAACTTCTTTGTGATGTTTGCATTCAACTCATAGAGTTGAACATTCCCATTCATACAGCAGGTTTGAGACACTCTTTGTATAGCATGTGGAAATGGATATTTGGAGCGCTTTGAGGCCTATGGTGAAGAAGGAAATATCTTCCCAAAAAAACTAGACGAAAGCATTCTCGCAATCTTGTTTGCCATGTGTGTACTCAACTAACAGAGTTGAACCTATCTTTTGACAGAGCAGTTTTGAAACACTCTTTTTGTGGAATCTGCAAGTGGATATTTGGATAGCTTCGAGGATTTCGTTGGAAACGGGAATATCCTCATTTAAAATCTAGACGGAAGCATTCTCAGAACCTGCTTTGTGATGTTTGCATTCAACTCACAGAGCTGAACATTCCCGTTCATAGAGCAGGTTTGAAACACTCTTTCTGTACTATCTGGAAGTGGACATTTCGAGCGCTTTCAGGCCTATGGTGAAAAAGGAAACATCTTCAAATAAAAACTAGACAGAAGCATTCTCAGAAACTTATTTGTGATGTGTGTCCTCAACTCACAGAGTTCAACCTTTGTTTTGATACAGCAGTTTGGAAACACTCTTTTTGTAGAATCTACAAATGGATATTTGGAGACCTTTGAAAATTTCGTTGGACACGGGAATATCTTCATATAAAATCTAGACAAAAGCATTCTCAGAGTCGTCTTTGTGATGTTTGCATTCAACTCATAGAGTTGAACATTCCCTTTCATACAGCACGTTTGAAACACACTTTGTGGAGTATGTGGAAATGGACATTTCGAGCACTCTTAGGCCTAAGGTGAAAAGGGAAATATCTTCAAATAAAAACTAGTCAGCAGCATTCTCAGAAACCTCTTTGTGATGTGTGTACTCAACTAACAGAGTTGAACCTTCCTTTTCACAGAGCAGTTTGGAAACACTCTTTTTGTGGCATTTGCAAGTGGATATTTGGATAGCTTTGAGGATTTCGTTGGAAACGGGAATATTTTCATATAAAATCTAGACAGAAGCATTCTCAGAATCTTCTTTGTGATGTATTCCCTCAATTCACAGAGTTGAACCTTTGTTTGGATACAGCATTTTGGAAACATTCCTTTTGTAGAATCTGCAAGTTGATATTTGGATAGCTTTGAGGATTTCGTTGGAAACGGGAATATCTACATATAAAATCTAGACAGAAGCATTCTCAGAAACCTCTTTGTAATGCTTGCATTCAACTCATAGGTTTCAACATTCCCTATCATAGAGCAGGTTTGAAACACTCTTTTTGTAGTATGTGGAAGTGGACATTTGGAGCGCTTTGAGGCCTACGGTGAAAAAGGAAATATCTTCCCATAAAAACTAGCCAGAAGCATTCTCAGAAACTTGTTTGTGACGTGTGTATTCAACTAACAGAGTTGAACCTTTCTTTTTACAGAGCAGCTTTGAAACCCTGTTTCTGTGGAATCTGCAATTGGAAATTTCGATAGTTCTGAGGATTTCGTTGGAAACGGGATTACAAATAGAAAGTAGACAGCAGCATTCTCAGAAACTGCTTTGTGATGTTTGCATTCAAGTCACCTAGTTGAACATTCCCTTTCATAGAGCAGGTTTGAATCACTGTTTCTGTAGTATCTGGAAGGTGGGTATTTCGAGCGCTTTCAGGCCTAAGGTGAGAAAGGAAATGTCTTCAAATAAGAACTAGACAGAAGCATTCTCAGAAACTTATTTGTGATGTGTGTCCTCAACTAACAGAGATGAACCTTTGTTTTGATACAGCAGTTTGGAAACACTCTTTTTGTAGAATCTACAAGAGGATATTTTGAGAGCATTGAAAATTTCGTTGGAAGCGGGAAAACCTTCATATAAAATCTAGACAGCAGCATTCTCAGAAACTTCTTTGTGATGTTTGCATTCAACTCATAGAGTTGAACATTCCCATTCATACAGCAGGTTTGAGACACTCTTTGTATAGCATGTGGAAATGGATATTTGGAGCGCTTTGAGGCCTATGGTGAAGAAGGAAATATCTTCCCCAAAAAACTAGACGAAAGCATTCTCGGAATCTTGTTTGCCATGTGTGTACTCAACTAACAGAGTTGAACCTATCTTTTGACAGAGCAGTTTTGAAACACTCTTTTTGTGGAATCTGCAAGTGGATATTTGGATAGCTTCGAGGATTTCGATGGAAACGGGAATATCCTCATTTAAAATCTAGACGGAAGCATTCTCAGAACCTGCTTTGTGATGTTTGCATTCAACTCACAGAGCTGAACATTCCCGTTCATAGAGCAGGTTTGAAACACTCTTTCTGTACTATCTGGAAGTGGACATTTCGAGCGCTTTCAGGCCTATGGTGAAAAAGGAAACATCTTCAAATAAAAACTAGACAGAAGCATTCTCAGAAACTTATTTGTGATGTGTGTCCTCAACTCACAGAGTTCAACCTTTGTTTTGATACAGCAGTTTGGAAACACTCTTTTTGTAGAATCTACAAATGGATATTTGGAGACCTTTGAAAATTTCGTTGGACACGGGAATATCTTCATATAAAATCTAGACAAAAGCATTCTCAGAATCTTCTTTGTGATGTTTGCATTCAACTCATAGAGTTGAACATTCCCTTTCATACAGCACGTTTGAAACACACTTTGTGGAGTATGTGGAAATGGACATTTCGAGCACTCTTAGGCCTAAGGTGAAAAGGGAAATATCTTCAAATAAAAACTAGTCAGCAGCATTCTCAGAAACCTCTTTGTGATGTGTGTACTCAACTAACAGAGTTGAACCTTCCTTTTCACAGAGCAGTTTGGAAACACTCTTTTTGTGGCATTTGCAAGTGGATATTTGGATAGCTTTGAGGATTTCGTTGGAAACGGGAATATTTTCATATAAAATCTAGACAGAAGCATTCTCAGAATCTTCTTTGTGATGTATGCCCTCAATTCACAGAGTTGAACCTTTGTTTGGATACAGCATTTTGGAAACATTCCTTTTGTAGAATCTGCAAGTTGATATTTGGATAGCTTTGAGGATTTCGTTGGAAACGGGAATATCTACATATAAAATCTAGACAGAAGCATTCTCAGAAACCTCTTTGTAATGTTTGCATTCAACTCATAGGTTTCAACATTCCCTATCATAGAGCAGGTTTGAAACACTCTTTTTGTAGTATGTGGAAGTGGACATTTGGAGCGCTTTGAGGCCTACGGTGAAAAAGGAAATATCTTCCCATAAAAACTAGACAGAAGCATTCTCAGAAACTTGTTTGTGACGTGTGTATTCAACTAACAGAGTTGAACCTTTCTTTTTACAGAGCAGCTTTGAAACCCTGTTTCTGTGGAATCTGCAATTGGAAATTTCGATAGTTCTGAGGATTTCGTTGCAAACGGGATTACAAATAGAAAGTAGACAGCAGCATTCTCAGAAACTGCTTTGTGATGTTTGCATTCAAGTCACATAGTTGAACATTCCCTTTCATAGAGCAGGTTTGAATCACTGTTTCTGTCGTATCTGGAAGTGGATATTTCGAGCGTTTTCAGGCCTAAGGTGAGAAAGGAAATGTCTTCAAATAAGAACTAGACAGAAGCATTCTCAGAAACTTGTGATGTGTGTCCTCAACTAACAGAGTTGAACCTTTCTTTTGACACAGCAGTTTGGAAACACTCTTTTTGTAGAATCTACAAGTGGATATTTTGAGAGCATTGAAAATTTCGTTGGAAACGGGAAAACCTTCATATAAAATCTAGACAGAAGCATTCTCAGAAACTTCTTTGTGATGTTTGCATTCAACTCATAGAGTTGAACATTCCCTTTCATACAGCAGGTTTGAAACACTCTTTTTGTAGTATGTGGAAGTGGACATTTGGAGCGCTTTGAGGCCTACGGTGAAAAAGGAAATATCTTCCCATAAAAACTAGACAGAAGCATTCTCAGAAACTTGTTTGTGACGTGTGTATTCAACTAACAGAGTTGAACCTTTCTTTTTACAGAGCAGCTTTGAAACACGCTTTTTGTGGAATCTGCAATTGGAAATTTCGATAGTTCTGAGGATTTCGTTGGAAACGGGATTACAAATAGAAAGTAGACAGCAGCATTCTCAGAAACTGCTTTGTGATGTTTGCATTCAAGTCACCTAGTTGAACATTCCCTTTCATAGAGCAGGTTTGAATCACTGTTTCTGTAGTATCTGGAAGTGGGTATTTCGAGCGCTTTCAGGCCTAAGGTGAGAAAGGAAATGTCTTCAAATAAGAACTAGACAGAAGCATTCTCAGAAACTTATTTGTGATGTGTGTCCTCAACTAACAGAGATGAACCTTTGTTTTGATACAGCAGTTTGGAAACACTCTTTTTGTAGAATCTACAAGAGGATATTTTGAGAGCATTGAAAATTTCGTTGGAAGCGGGAAAACCTTCATATAAAATCTAGACAGCAGCATTCTCAGAAACTTCTTTGTGATGTTTGCATTCAACTCATAGAGTTGAACATTCCCATTCATACAGCAGGTTTGAGACACTCTTTGTATAGCATGTGGAAATGGATATTTGGAGCGCTTTGAGGCCTATGGTGAAGAAGGAAATATCTTCCCAAAAAAACTAGACGAAAGCATTCTCGGAATCTTGTTTGCCATGTGTGTACTCAACTAACAGAGTTGAACCTATCTTTTGACAGAGCAGTTTTGAAACACTCTTTTTGTGGAATCTGCAAGTGGATATTTGGATAGCTTCGAGGATTTCGTTGGAAACGGGAATATCCTCATTTAAAATCTAGACGGAAGCATTCTCAGAACCTGCTTTGTGATGTTTGCATTCAACTCACAGAGCTGAACATTCCCGTTCATAGAGCAGGTTTGAAACACTCTTTCTGTACTATCTGGAAGTGGACATTTCGAGCGCTTTCAGGCCTATGGTGAAAAAGGAAACATCTTCAAATAAAAACTAGACAGAAGCATTCTCAGAAACTTATTTGTGATGTGTGTCCTCAACTCACAGAGTTCAACCTTTGTTTTGATACAGCAGTTTGGAAACACTCTTTTTGTAGAATCTACAAATGGATATTTGGAGACCTTTGAAAATTTCGTTGGACACGGGAATATCTTCATATAAAACCTAGACAAAAGCATTCTCAGAATCTTCTTTGTGATGTTTGCATTCAACTCATAGAGTTGAACATTCCCTTTCATACAGCACGTTTGAAACACACTTTGTGGAGTATGTGGAAATGGACATTTCGAGCACTCTTAGGCCTAAGGTGAAAAGGGAAATATCTTCAAATAAAAACTAGTCAGCAGCATTCTCAGAAACCTCTTTGTGATGTGTGTACTCAACTAACAGAGTTGAACCTTCCTTTTCACAGAGCAGTTTGGAAACACTCTTTTTGTGGCATTTGCAAGTGGATATTTGGATAGCTTTGAGGATTTCGTTGGAAACGGGAATATTTTCATATAAAATCTAGACAGAAGCATTCTCAGAATCTTCTTTGTGATGTATGCCCTCAATTCACAGAGTTGAACCTTTGTTTGGATACAGCATTTTGGAAACATTCCTTTTGTAGAATCTGCAAGTTGATATTTGGATAGCTTTGAGGATTTCGTTGGAAACGGGAATATCTACATATAAAATCTAGACAGAAGCATTCTCAGAAACCTCTTTGTAATGCTTGCATTCAACTCATAGGTTTCAACATTCCCTATCATAGAGCAGGTTTGAAACACTCTTTTTGTAGTATGTGGAAGTGGACATTTGGAGCGCTTTGAGGCCTACGGTGAAAAAGGAAATATCTTCCCATAAAAACTAGACAGAAGCATTCTCAGAAACTTGTTTGTGACGTGTGTATTCAACTAACAGAGTTGAACCTTTCTTTTTACAGAGCAGCTTTGAAACACGCTTTTTGTGGAATCTGCAATTGGAAATTTCGATAGTTCTGAGGATTTCGTTGGAAACGGTATTACAAATAGAAAGTAGACAGCAGCATTCTCAGAAACTGCTTTGTGATGTTTGCATTCAAGTCACCTAGTTGAACATTCCCTTTCATAGAGCAGGTTTGAATCACTGTTTCTGTCGTATCTGGAAGTGGATATTTCGAGCGTTTTCAGGCCTAAGGTGAGAAAGGAAATGTCTTCAAATAAGAACTAGACAGAAGCATTCTCAGAAACTTATTTGTGATGTGTGTCCTCAACTAACAGAGTTGAACCTTTCTTTTGACACAGCAGTTTGGAAACACTCTTTTTGTAGAATCTACAAGTGGATATTTTGAGAGCATTGAAAATTTCGTTGGAAACGGGAAAACCTTCATATAAAATCTAGACAGAAGCGTTCTCAGAAACTTCTTTGTAATGTTTGCATTCAACTCATAGAGTTGAACATTCCCTTTCATACAGCAGGTTTGAAACACTCTTTTTGTAGTATGTGGAAGTGGACATTTGGAGCGCTTTGAGGCCTACGGTGAAAAAGGAAATATCTTCCCATAAAAACTAGACAGAAGCATTCTCAGAAACTTGTTTGTGACGTGTGTATTCAACTAACAGAGTTGAACCTTTCTTTTTACAGAGCAGCTTTGAAACCCTGTTTCTGTGGAATCTGCAATTGGAAATTTCGATAGTTCTGAGGATTTCGTTGGAAACGGGATTACAAATAGAAAGTAGACAGCAGCATTCTCAGAAACTGCTTTGTGATGTTTGCATTCAAGTCACATAGTTGAACATTCCCTTTCATAGAGCAGGTTTGAATCACTGTTTCTGTAGTATCTGGAAGTGGGTATTTCGAGCGCTTTCAGGCCTAAGGTGAGAAAGGAAATGTCTTCAAATAAGAACTAGACAGAAGCATTCTCAGAAACTTATTTGTGATGTGTGTCCTCAACTAACAGAGATGAACCTTTGTTTTGATACAGCAGTTTGGAAACACTCTTTTTGTAGAATCTACAAGAGGATATTTTGAGAGCATTGAAAATTTCGTTGGAAGCGGGAAAACCTTCATATAAAATCTAGACAGCAGCATTCTCAGAAACTTCTTTGTGATGTTTGCATTCAACTCATAGAGTTGAACATTCCCATTCATACAGCAGGTTTGAGACACTCTTTGTATAGCATGTGGAAATGGATATTTGGAGCGCTTTGAGGCCTATGGTGAAGAAGGAAATATCTTCCCAAAAAAACTAGACGAAAGCATTCTCGGAATCTTGTTTGCCATGTGTGTACTCAACTAACAGAGTTGAACCTATCTTTTGACAGAGCAGTTTTGAAACACTCTTTTTGTGGAATCTGCAAGTGGATATTTGGATAGCTTCGAGGATTTCGTTGGAAACGGGAATATCCTCATTTAAAATCTAGACGGAAGCATTCTCAGAACCTGCTTTGTGATGTTTGCATTCAACTCACAGAGCTGAACATTCCCGTTCATAGAGCAGGTTTGAAACACTCTTTCTGTACTATCTGGAAGTGGACATTTCGAGCGCTTTCAGGCCTATGGTGAAAAAGGAAACATCTTCAAATAAAAACTAGACAGAAGCATTCTCAGAAACTTATTTGTGATGTGTGTCCTCAACTCACAGAGTTCAACCTTTGTTTTGATACAGCAGTTTGGAAACACTCTTTTTGTAGAATCTACAAATGGATATTTGGAGACCTTTGAAAATTTCGTTGGACACGGGAATATCTTCATATAAAATCTAGACAAAAGCATTCTCAGAATCTTCTTTGTGATGTTTGCATTCAACTCATAGAGTTGAACATTCCCTTTCATACAGCACGTTTGAAACACACTTTGTGGAGTATGTGGAAATGGACATTTCGAGCACTCTTAGGCCTAAGGTGAAAAGGGAAATATCTTCAAATAAAAACTAGTCAGCAGCATTCTCAGAAACCTCTTTGTGATGTGTGTACTCAACTAACAGAGTTGAACCTTCCTTTTCACAGAGCAGTTTGGAAACACTCTTTTTGTGGCATTTGCAAGTGGATATTTGGATAGCTTTGAGGATTTCGTTGGAAACGGGAATATTTTCATATAAAATCTAGACAGAAAGCATTCTCAGAATCTTCTTTGTGATGTATGCCCTCAATTCACAGAGTTGAACCTTTGTTTGGATACAGCATTTTGGAAACATTCCTTTTGCAGAATCTGCAAGTTGATATTTGGATAGCTTTGAGGATTTCGTTGGAAACGGGAATATCTACATATAAAATCTAGACAGAAGCATTCTCAGAAACCTCTTTGTAATGCTTGCATTCAACTCATAGGTTTCAACATTCCCTATCATAGAGCAGGTTTGAAACACTCTTTTTGTAGTATGTGGAAGTGGACATTTGGAGCGCTTTGAGGCCTACGGTGAAAAAGGAAATATCTTCCCATAAAAACTAGACAGAAGCATTCTCAGAAACTTGTTTGTGACGTGTGTATTCAACTAACAGAGTTGAACCTTTCTTTTTACAGAGCAGCTTTGAAACCCTGTTTCTGTGGAATCTGCAATTGGAAATTTCGATAGTTCTGAGGATTTCGTTGGAAACGGGATTACAAATAGAAAGTAGACAGCAGCATTCTCAGAAACTGCTTTGTGATGTTTGCATTCAAGTCACCTAGTTGAACATTCCCTTTCATAGAGCAGGTTTGAATCACTGTTTCTGTCGTATCTGGAAGTGGATATTTCGAGCGTTTTCAGGCCTAAGGTGAGAAAGGAAATGTCTTCAAATAAGAACTAGACAGAAGCATTCTCAGAAACTTATTTGTGATGTGTGTCTTCAACTAACAGAGTTGAACCTTTCTTTTGACACAGCAGTTTGGAAACACTCTTTTTGTAGAATCTACAAGTGGATATTTTGAGAGCATTGAAAATTTCCTTGGAAACGGGAAAACTTTCATATAAAATCTAGACAGAAGCATTCTCAGAAACTTCTTTGTAATGTTTGCATTCAACTCATAGAGTTGAACATTCCCTTTCATACAGCAGGTTTGAAACACTCTTTTTGTAGTATGTGGAAGTGGACATTTGGAGCGCTTTGAGGCCTACGGTGAAAAAGGAAATATCTTCCCATAAAAACTAGACAGAAGCATTCTCAGAAACTTGTTTGTGACGTGTGTATTCAACTAACAGAGTTGAACCTTTCTTTTTACAGAGCAGCTTTGAAACCCTGTTTCTGTGGAATCTGCAATTGGAAATTTCGATAGTTCTGAGGATTTCGTTGGAAACGGGATTACAAATAGAAAGTAGACAGCAGCATTCTCAGAAACTGCTTTGTGATGTTTGCATTCAAGTCACCTAGTAGAACATTCCCTTTCATAGAGCAGGTTTGAATCACTGTTTCTGTAGTATCTGGAAGTGGGTATTTCGAGCGCTTTCAGGCCTAAGGTGAGAAGGGAAATGTCTTCAAATAAGAACTAGACAGAAGCATTCTCAGAAACTTATTTGTGATGTGTGTCCTCAACTAACAGAGATGAACCTTTGTTTTGATACAGCAGTTTGGAAACACTCTTTTTGTAGAATCTACAAGAGGATATTTTGAGAGCATTGAAAATTTCGTTGGAAGCGGGAAAACCTTCATATAAAATCTAGACAGCAGCATTCTCAGAAACTTCTTTGTGATGTTTGCATTCAACTCATAGAGTTGAACATTCCCATTCATACAGCAGGTTTGAGACACTCTTTGTATAGCATGTGGAAATGGATATTTGGAGCGCTTTGAGGCCTATGGTGAAGAAGGAAATATCTTCCCAAAAAAACTAGACGAAAGCATTCTCGCAATCTTGTTTGCCATGTGTGTACTCAACTAACAGAGTTGAACCTATCTTTTGACAGAGCAGTTTTGAAACACTCTTTTTGTGGAATCTGCAAGTGGATATTTGGATAGCTTCGAGGATTTCGTTGGAAACGGGAATATCCTCATTTAAAATCTAGACGGAAGCATTCTCGGAACCTGCTTTGTGATGTTTGCATTCAACTCACAGAGCTGAACATTCCCGTTCATAGAGCAGGTTTGAAACACTCTTTCTGTACTATCTGGAAGTGGACATTTCGAGCGCTTTCAGGCCTATGGTGAAAAAGGAAACATCTTCAAATAAAAACTAGACAGAAGCATTCTCAGAAACTTATTTGTGATGTGTGTCCTCAACTCACAGAGTTCAACCTTTGTTTTGATACAGCAGTTTGGAAACACTCTTTTTGTAGAATCTACAAATGGATATTTGGAGACCTTTGAAAATTTCGTTGGACACGGGAATATCTTCATATAAAATCTAGACAAAAGCATTCTCAGAATCTTCTTTGTGATGTTTGCATTCAACTCATAGAGTTGAACATTCCCTTTCATACAGCACGTTTGAAACACACTTTGTGGAGTATGTGGAAATGGACATTTCGAGCACTCTTAGGCCTAAGGTGAAAAGGGAAATATCTTCAAATAAAAACTAGTCAGCAGCATTCTCAGAAACCTCTTTGTGATGTGTGTACTCAACTAACAGAGTTGAACCTTCCTTTTCACAGAGCAGTTTGGAAACACTCTTTTTGTGGCATTTGCAAGTGGATATTTGGATAGCTTTGAGGATTTCGTTGGAAACGGGAATATTTTCATATAAAATCTAGACAGAAGCATTCTCAGAATCTTCTTTGTGATGTATGCCCTCAATTCACAGAGTTGAACCTTTGTTTGGATACAGCATTTTGGAAACATTCCTTTTGTAGAATCTGCAAGTTGATATTTGGATAGCTTTGAGGATTTCGTTGGAAACGGGAATATCTACATATAAAATCTAGACAGAAGCATTCTCAGAAACCTCTTTGTAATGCTTGCATTCAACTCATAGGTTTCAACATTCCCTATCATAGAGCAGGTTTGAAACACTCTTTTTGTAGTATGTGGAAGTGGACATTTGGAGCGCTTTGAGGCCTACCGTGAAAAAGGAAATATCTTCCCATAAAAACTAGACAGAAGCATTCTCAGAAACTTGTTTGTGACGTGTGTATTCAACTAACAGAGTTGAACCTTTCTTTTTACAGAGCAGCTTTGAAACCCTGTTTCTGTGGAATCTGCAATTGGAAATTTCGATAGTTCTGAGGATTTCGTTGGAAACGGGATTACAAATAGAAAGTAGACAGCAGCATTCTCAGAAACTGCTTTGTGATGTTTGCATTCAAGTCACCTAGTTGAACATTCCCTTTCATAGAGCAGGTTTGAATCACTGTTTCTGTAGTATCTGGAAGTGGGTATTTCGAGCGCTTTCAGGCCTAAGGTGAGAAAGGAAATGTCTTCAAATAAGAACTAGACAGAAGCATTCTCAGAAACTTATTTGTGATGTGTGTCCTCAACTAACAGAGATGAACCTTTGTTTTGATACAGCAGTTTGGAAACACTCTTTTTGTAGAATCTACAAGAGGATATTTTGAGAGCATTGAAAATTTCGTTGGAAGCGGGAAAACCTTCATATAAAATCTAGACAGCAGCATTCTCAGAAACTTCTTTGTGATGTTTGCATTCAACTCATAGAGTTGAACATTCCCATTCATACAGCAGGTTTGAGACACTCTTTGTATAGCATGTGGAAATGGATATTTGGAGCGCTTTGAGGCCTATGGTGAAGAAGGAAATATCTTCCCAAAAAAACTAGACGAAAGCATTCTCGGAATCTTGTTTGCCATGTGTGTACTCAACTAACAGAGTTGAACCTATCTTTTGACAGAGCAGTTTTGAAACACTCTTTTTGTGGAATCTGCAAGTGGATATTTGGATAGCTTCGAGGATTTCGTTGGAAACGGGAATATCCTCATTTAAAATCTAGACGGAAGCATTCTCAGAACCTGCTTTGTGATGTTTGCATTCAACTCACAGAGCTGAACATTCCCGTTCATAGAGCAGGTTTGAAACACTCTTTCTGTACTATCTGGAAGTGGACATTTCGAGCGCTTTCAGGCCTATGGTGAAAAAGGAAACATCTTCAAATAAAAACTAGACAGAAGCATTCTCAGAAACTTATTTGTGATGTGTGTCCTCAACTCACAGAGTTCAACCTTTGTTTTGATACAGCAGTTTGGAAACACTCTTTTTGTAGAATCTACAAATGGATATTTGGAGACCTTTGAAAATTTCGTTGGACACGGGAATATCTTCATATAAAATCTAGACAAAAGCATTCTCAGAATCTTCTTTGTGATGTTTGCATTCAACTCATAGAGTTGAACATTCCCTTTCATACAGCACGTTTGAAACACACTTTGTGGAGTATGTGGAAATGGACATTTCGAGCACTCTTAGGCCTAAGGTGAAAAGGGAAATATCTTCAAATAAAAACTAGTCAGCAGCATTCTCAGAAACCTCTTTGTGATGTGTGTACTCAACTAACAGAGTTGAACCTTCCTTTTCACAGAGCAGTTTGGAAACACTCTTTTTGTGGCATTTGCAAGTGGATATTTGGATAGCTTTGAGGATTTCGTTGGAAACGGGAATATTTTCATATAAAATCTAGACAGAAGCATTCTCAGAATCTTCTTTGTGATGTATGCCCTCAATTCACAGAGTTGAACCTTTGTTTGGATACAGCATTTTGGAAACATTCCTTTTGTAGAATCTGCAAGTTGATATTTGGATAGCTTTGAGGATTTCGTTGGAAACGGGAATATCTACATATAAAATCTAGACAGAAGCATTCTCAGAAACCTCTTTGTAATGCTTGCATTCAACTCATAGGTTTCAACATTCCCTATCATAGAGCAGGTTTGAAACACTCTTTTTGTAGTATGTGGAAGTGGACATTTGGAGCGCTTTGAGGCCTACCGTGAAAAAGGAAATATCTTCCCATAAAAACTAGACAGAAGCATTCTCAGAAACTTGTTTGTGACGTGTGTATTCAACTAACAGAGTTGAACCTTTCTTTTTACAGAGCAGCTTTGAAACACGCTTTTTGTGGAATCTGCAATTGGAAATTTCGATAGTTCTGAGGATTTCGTTGGAAACGGGATTACAAATAGAAAGTAGACAGCAGCATTCTCAGAAACTGCTTTGTGATGTTTGCATTCAAGTCACCTAGTTGAACATTCCCTTTCATAGAGCAGGTTTGAATCACTGTTTCTGTCGTATCTGGAAGTGGATATTTCGAGCGTTTTCAGGCCTAAGGTGAGAAAGGAAATGTCTTCAAATAAGAACTAGACAGAAGCATTCTCAGAAACTTATTTGTGATGTGTGTCCTCAACTAACAGAGTTGAACCTTTCTTTTGACACAGCAGTTTGGAAACACTCTTTTTGTAGAATCTACAAGTGGATATTTTGAGAGCATTGAAAATTTCGTTGGAAACGGGAAAACCTTCATATAAAATCTAGACAGAAGCATTCTCAGAAACTTCTTTGTAATGTTTGCATTCAACTCATAGAGTTGAACATTCCCTTTCATACAGCAGGTTTGAAACACTCTTTTTGTAGTATGTGGAAGTGGACATTTGGAGCGCTTTGAGGCCTACGGTGAAAAAGGAAATATCTTCCCATAAAAACTAGACAGAAGCATTCTCAGAAACTTGTTTGTGACGTGTGTATTCAACTAACAGAGTTGAACCTTTCTTTTTACAGAGCAGCTTTGAAACCCTGTTTCTGTGGAATCTGCAATTGGAAATTTCGATAGTTCTGAGGATTTCGTTGGAAACGGGATTACAAATTGAAAGTAGACAGCAGCATTCTCAGAAACTGCTTTGTGATGTTTGCATTCAAGTCACATAGTTGAACATTCCCTTTCATAGAGCAGGTTTGAATCACTGTTTCTGTAGTATCTGGAAGTGGGTATTTCGAGCGCTTTCAGGCCTAAGGTGAGAAAGGAAATGTCTTCAAATAAGAACTAGACAGAAGCATTCTCAGAAACTTATTTGTGATGTGTGTCCTCAAGTAACAGAGATGAACCTTTGTTTTGATACAGCAGTTTGGAAACACTCTTTTTGTAGAATCTACAAGAGGATATTTTGAGAGCATTGAAAATTTCGTTGGAAGCGGGAAAACCTTCATATAAAATCTAGACAGCAGCATTCTCAGAAACTTCTTTGTGATGTTTGCATTCAACTCATAGAGTTGAACATTCCCATTCATACAGCAGGTTTGAGACACTCTTTGTATAGCATGTGGAAATGGATATTTGGAGCGCTTTGAGGCCTATGGTGAAGAAGGAAATATCTTCCCAAAAAAACTAGACGAAAGCATTCTCGGAATCTTGTTTGCCATGTGTGTACTCAACTAACAGAGTTGAACCTATCTTTTGACAGAGCAGTTTTGAAACACTCTTTTTGTGGAATCTGCAAGTGGATATTTGGATAGCTTCGAGGATTTCGTTGGAAACGGGAATATCCTCATTTAAAATCTAGACGAAGCATTCTCAGAACCTGCTTTGTGATGTTTGCATTCAACTCACAGAGCTGAACATTCCCGTTCATAGAGCAGGTTTGAAACACTCTTTCTGTACTATCTGGAAGTGGACATTTCGAGCGCTTTCAGGCCTATGGTGAAAAAGGAAACATCTTCAAATAAAAACTAGACAGAAGCATTCTCAGAAACTTATTTGTGATGTGTGTCCTCAACTCACAGAGTTCAATCTTTGTTTTGATACAGCAGTTTGGAAACAATCTTTATTTGGAGACCTTTGAAAATTTCGTTGGACACGGGAATATCTTCATATAAAATCTAGACAAAAGCATTCTCAGAATCTTCTTTGTGATGTTTGCATTCAACTCATAGAGTTGAACATTCCCTTTCATACAGCACGTTTGAAACACACTTTGTGGAGTATGTGGAAATGGACATTTCGAGCACTCTTAGGCCTAAGGTGAAAAGGGAAATATCTTCAAATAAAAACTAGTCAGCAGCATTCTCAGAAACCTCTTTGTGATGTGTGTACTCAACTAACAGAGTTGAACCTTCCTTTTCACAGAGCAGTTTGGAAACACTCTTTTTGTGGCATTTGCAAGTGGATATTTGGATAGCTTTGAGGATTTCGTTGGAAACGGGAATATTTTCATATAAAATCTAGACAGAAGCATTCTCAGAATCTTCTTTGTGATGTATGCCCTCAATTCACAGAGTTGAACCTTTGTTTGGATACAGCATTTTGGAAACATTCCTTTTGTAGAATCTGCAAGTTGATATTTGGATAGCTTTGAGGATTTCGTTGGAAACGGGAATATCTACATATAAAATCTAGACAGAAGCATTCTCAGAAACCACTTTGTAATGCTTGCATTCAACTCATAGGTTTCAACATTCCCTATCATAGAGCAGGTTTGAAACACTCTTTTTGTAGTATGTGGAAGTGGACATTTGGAGCGCTTTGAGGCCTACGGTGAAAAAGGAAATATCTTCCCATAAAAACTAGACAGAAGCATTCTCAGAAACTTGTTTGTGACGTGTGTATTCAACTAACAGAGTTGAACCTTTCTTTTTACAGAGCAGCTTTGAAACACGCTTTTTGTGGAATCTGCAATTGGAAATTTCGATAGTTCTGAGGATTTCGTTGGAAACGGGATTACAAATAGAAAGTAGACAGCAGCATTCTCAGAAACTGCTTTGTGATGTTTGCATTCAAGTCACCTAGTTGAACATTCCCTTTCATAGAGCAGGTTTGAATCACTGTTTCTGTCGTATCTGGAAGTGGATATTTCGAGCGTTTTCAGGCCTAAGGTGAGAAAGGAAATGTCTTCAAATAAGAACTAGACAGAAGCATTCTCAGAAACTTATTTGTGATGTGTGTCCTCAACTAACAGAGTTGAACCTTTCTTTTGACACAGCAGTTTGGAAACACTCTTTTTGTAGAATCTACAAGTGCATATTTTGAGAGCATTGAAAATTTCGTTGGAAACGGGAAAACCTTCATATAAAATCTAGACAGAAGCATTCTCAGAAACTTCTTTGTAATGTTTGCATTCGACTCATAGAGTTGAACATTCCCTTTCATACAGCAGGTTTGAAACACTCTTTTTGTAGTATGTGGAAGTGGACATTTGGAGCGCTTTGAGGCCTACGGTGAAAAAGGAAATATCTTCCCATAAAAACTAGACAGAAGCATTCTCAGAAACTTGTTTGTGACGTGTGTATTCAACTAACAGAGTTGAACCTTTCTTTTTACAGAGCAGCTTTGAAACCCTGTTTCTGTGGAATCTGCAATTGGAAATTTCGATAGTTCTGAGGATTTCGTTGCAAACGGGATTACAAATAGAAAGTAGACAGCAGCATTCTCAGAAACTGCTTTGTGATGTTTGCATTCAAGTCACATAGTTGAACATTCCCTTTCATAGAGCAGGTTTGAATCACTGTTTCTGTAGTATCTGGAAGTGGGTATTTCGAGCGCTTTCAGGCCTAAGGTGAGAAAGGAAATGTCTTCAAATAAGAACTAGACAGAAGCATTCTCAGAAACTTATTTGTGATGTGTGTCCTCAACTAACAGAGATGAACCTTTGTTTTGATACAGCAGTTTGGAAACACTCTTTTTGTAGAATCTACAAGAGGATATTTTGAGAGCATTGAAAATTTCGTTGGAAGCGGGAAAACCTTCATATAAAATCTAGACAGCAGCATTCTCAGAAACTTCTTTGTGATGTTTGCATTCAACTCATAGAGTTGAACATTCCCATTCATACAGCAGGTTTGAAACACTCTTTGTATAGCATGTGGAAATGGATATTTGGAGCGCTTTGAGGCCTATGGTGAAGAAGGAAATATCTTCCCAAAAAAACTAGACGAAAGCATTCTCGGAATCTTGTTTGCCATGTGTGTACTCAACTAACAGAGTTGAACCTATCTTTTGACAGAGCAGTTTTGAAACACTCTTTTTGTGGAATCTGCAAGTGGATATTTGGATAGCTTCGAGGATTTCGTTGGAAACGGGAATATCCTCATTTAAAATCTAGACGGAAGCATTCTCAGAACCTGCTTTGTGATGTTTGCATTCAACTCACAGAGCTGAACATTCCCGTTCATAGAGCAGGTTTGAAACACTCTTTCTGTACTATCTGGAAGTGGACATTTCGAGCGCTTTCAGGCCTATGGTGAAAAAGGAAACATCTTCAAATAAAAACTAGACAGAAGCATTCTCAGAAACTTATTTGTGATGTGTGTCCTCAACTCACAGAGTTCAACCTTTGTTTTGATACAGCAGTTTGGAAACACTCTTTTTGTAGAATCTACAAATGGATATTTGGAGACCTTTGAAAATTTCGTTGGACAAGGGAATATCTTCATATAAAATCTAGACAAAAGCATTCTCAGAATCTTCTTTGTGATGTTTGCATTCAACTCATAGAGTTGAACATTCACTTTCATACAGCACGTTTGAAACACACTTTGTGGAGTATGTGGAAATGGACATTTCGAGCACTCTTAGGCCTAAGGTGAAAAGGGAAATATCTTCAAATAAAAACTAGTCAGCAGCATTCTCAGAAACCTCTTTGTGATGTGTGTACTCAACTAACAGAGTTGAACCTTCCTTTTCACAGAGCAGTTTGGAAACACTCTTTTTGTGGCATTTGCAAGTGGATATTTGGATAGCTTTGAGGATTTCGTTGGAAACGGGAATATTTTCATATAAAATCTAGACAGAAGCATTCTCAGAATCTTCTTTGTGATGTATGCCCTCAATTCACAGAGTTGAACCTTTGTTTGGATACAGCATTTTGGAAACATTCCTTTTGTAGAATCTGCAAGTTGATATTTGGATAGCTTTGAGGATTTCGTTGGAAACGGGAATATCTACATATAAAATCTAGACAGAAGCATTCTCAGAAACCTCTTTGTAATGCTTGCATTCAACTCATAGGTTTCAACATTCCCTATCATAGAGCAGGTTTGAAACACTCTTTTTGTAGTATGTGGAAGTGGACATTTGGAGCGCTTTGAGGCCTACGGTGAAAAAGGAAATATCTTCCCATAAAAACTAGACAGAAGCATTCTCAGAAACTTGTTTGTGACGTGTGTATTCAACTAACAGAGTTGAACCTTTCTTTTTACAGAGCAGCTTTGAAACACGCTTTTTGTGGAATCTGCAATTGGAAATTTCGATAGTTCTGAGGATTTCGTTGGAAACGGGATTACAAATAGAAAGTAGACAGCAGCATTCTCAGAAACTGCTTTGTGATGTTTGCATTCAAGTCACCTAGTTGAACATTCCCTTTCATAGAGCAGGTTTGAATCACTGTTTCTGTCGTATCTGGAAGTGGATATTTCGAGCGTTTTCAAGCCTAAGGTGAGAAAGGAAATGTCTTCAAATAAGAACTAGACAGAAGCATTCTCAGAAACTTATTTGTGATGTGTGTCCTCAACTAACAGAGCTGAACCTTTCTTTTGACACAGCAGTTTGGAAACACTCTTTTTGTAGAATCTACAAGTGGATATTTTGAGAGCATTGAAAATTTCGTTGGAAACGGGAAAACCTTCATATAAAATCTAGACAGAAGCATTCTCAGAAACTTCTTTGTAATGTTTGCATTCAACTCATAGAGTTGAACATTCCCTTTCATACAGCAGGTTTGAAACACTCTTTTTGTAGTATGTGGAAGTGGACATTTGGAGCGCTTTGAGGCCTACGGTGAAAAAGGAAATATCTTCCCATAAAAACTAGATAGAAGCATTCTCAGAAACTTGTTTGTGACGTGTGTATTCAACTAACAGAGTTGAACCTTTCTTTTTACAGAGCAGCTTTGAAACACGCTTTTTGTGGAATCTGCAATTGGAAATTTCGATAGTTCTGAGGATTTCGTTGGAAACGGGATTACAAATAGAAAGTAGACAACAGCATTCTCAGAAACTTATTTGTGATGTGTGTCCTCAACTAACAGAGTTGAACCTTTCTTTTGACACAGCAGTTTGGAAACACTCTTTTTGTAGAATCTACAAGTGGATATTTTGAGAGCATTGAAAATTTCGTTGGAAACGGGAAAACCTTCATATAAAATCTAGACAGAAGCATTCTCAGAAACTTCTTTGTAATGTTTGCATTCAACTCATAGAGTTGAACATTCCCTTTCATACAGCAGGTTTGAAACACTCTTTTTGTAGTATGTGGAAGTGGACATTTGGAGCGCTTTGAGGCCTACGGTGAAAAAGGAAATATCTTCCCATAAAAACTAGACAGAAGCATTCTCAGAAACTTGTTTGTGACGTGTGTATTCAACTAACAGAGTTGAACCTTTCTTTTTACAGAGCAGCTTTGAAACCCTGTTTCTGTGGAATCTGCAATTGGAAATTTCGATAGTTCTGAGGATTTCGTTGGAAACGGGATTACAAATAGAAAGTAGACAGCAGCATTCTCAGAAACTGCTTTGTGATGTTTGCATTCAAGTCACATAGTTGAACATTCCCTTTCATAGAGCAGGTTTGAATCACTGTTTCTGTAGTATCTGGAAGTGGGTATTTCGAGCGCTTTCAGGCCTAAGGTGAGAAAGGAAGTGTCTTCAAATAAGAACTAGACAGAAGCATTCTCAGAAACTTATTTGTGATGTGTGTCCTCAACTAACAGAGATGAACCTTTGTTTTGATACAGCAGTTTGGAAACACTCTTTTTGTAGAATCTACAAGAGGATATTTTGAGAGCATTGAAAATTTCGTTGGAAGCGGGAGAACCTTCATATAAAATCTAGACAGCAGCATTCTCAGAAACTTCTTTGTGATGTTTGCATTCATCTCATAGAGTTGAACATTCCCATTCATACAGCAGGTTTGAGACACTCTTTGTATAGCATGTGGAAATGGATATTTGGAGCGCTTTGAGGCCTATGGTGAAGAAGGAAATATCTTCCCAAAAAAACTAGACGAAGGCATTCTCGCAATCTTGTTTGCCATGTGTGTACTCAACTAACAGAGTTGAACCTATCTTTTGACAGAGCAGTTTTGAAACACTCTTTTTGTGGAATCTGCAAGTGGATATTTGGATAGCTTCGAGGATTTCGTTGGAAACGGGAATATCCTCATTTAAAATCTAGACGGAAGCATTCTCAGAACCTGCTTTGTGATGTTTGCATTCAACTCACAGAGCTGAACATTCCCGTTCATAGAGCAGGTTTGAAACACTCTTTCTGTACTATCTGGAAGTGGACATTTCGAGCGCTTTCAGGCCTATGGTGAAAAAGGAAACATCTTCAAATAAAAACTAGACAGAAGCATTCTCAGAAACTTATTTGTGATGTGTGTCCTCAACTCACAGAGTTCAACCTTTGTTTTGATACAGCAGTTTGGAAACACTCTTTTTGTAGAATCTACAAATGGATATTTGGAGACCTTTGAAAATTTCGTTGGACACGGGAATATCTTCATATAAAATCTAGACAAAAGCATTCTCAGAATCTTCTTTGTGATGTTTGCATTCAACACATAGAGTTGAACATTCCCTTTCATACAGCACGTTTGAAACACACTTTGTGGAGTATGTGGAAATGGACATTTCGAGCACTCTTAGGCCTAAGGTGAAAAGGGAAATATCTTCAAATAAAAACTAGTCAGCAGCATTCTCAGAAACCTCTTTGTGATGTGTGTACTCAACTAACAGAGTTGAACCTTCCTTTTCACAGAGCAGTTTGGAAACACTCTTTTTGTGGCATTTGCAAGTGGATATTTGGATAGCTTTGAGGATTTCGTTGGAAACGGGAATATTTTCATATAAAATCTAGACAGAAGCATTCTCAGAATCTTCTTTGTGATGTATGCCCTCAATTCACAGAGTTGAACCTTTGTTTGGATACAGCATTTTGGAAACATTCCTTTTGTAGAATCTGCAAGTTGATATTTGGATAGTTTGAGGATTTCGTTGGAAACGGGAATATCTACATATAAAATCTAGACAGAAGCATTCTCAGAAACCTCTTTGTAATGCTTGCATTCAACTCATAGGTTTCAACATTCCCTATCATAGAGCAGGTTTGAAACACTCTTTTTGTAGTATGTGGAAGTGGACATTTGGAGCGCTTTGAGGCCTACGGTGAAAAAGGAAATATCTTCCCATAAAAACTAGACAGAAGCATTCTCAGAAACTTGTTTGTGACGTGTGTATTCAACTAACAGAGTTGAACCTTTCTTTTTACAGAGCAGCTTTGAAACACGCTTTTTGTGGAATCTGCAATTGGAAATTTCGATAGTTCTGAGGATTTCGTTGGAAACGGGATTACAAATAGAAAGTAGACAGCAGCATTCTCAGAAACTGCTTTGTGATGTTTGCATTCAAGTCACCTAGTTGAACATTCCCTTTCATAGAGCAGGTTTGAATCACTGTTTCTGTCGTATCTGGAAGTGGATATTTCGAGCGTTTTCAGGCCTAAGGTGAGAAAGGAAATGTCTTCAAATAAGAACTAGACAGAAGCATTCTCAGAAACTTATTTGTGATGTGTGTCCTCAACTAACAGAGTTGAACCTTTCTTTTGACACAGCAGTTTGGAAACACTCTTTTTGTAGAATCTACAAGTGGATATTTTGAGAGCATTGAAAATTTCGTTGGAAACGGGAAAACCTTCATATAAAATCTAGACAGAAGCATTCTCAGAAACTTCTTTGTAATGTTTGCATTCGACTCATAGAGTTGAACATTCCCTTTCATACAGCAGGTTTGAAACACTCTTTTTGTAGTATGTGGAAGTGGACATTTGGAGCGCTTTGTGGCCTACGGTGAAAAAGGAAATATCTTCCCATAAAAACTAGACAGAAGCATTCTCAGAAACTTGTTTGTGACGTGTGTATTCAACTAACAGAGTTGAACCTTTCTTTTTACAGAGCAGCTTTGAAACCCTGTTTCTGTGGAATCTGCAATTGGAAATTTCGATAGATCTGAGGATTTCGTTGGAAACGGGATTACAAATAGAAAGTAGACAGCAGCATTCTCAGAAACTGCTTTGTGATGTTTGCATTCAAGTCACCTAGTTGAACATTCCCTTTCATAGAGCAGGTTTGAATCACTGTTTCTGTAGTATCTGGAAGTGGGTATTTCGAGCGCTTTCAGGCCTAAGGTGAGAAAGGAAATGTCTTCAAATAAGAACTAGACAGAAGCATTCTCAGAAACTTATTTGTGATGTGTGTCCTCAACTAACAGAGATGAACCTTTGTTTTGATACAGCAGTTTGGAAACACTCTTTTTGTAGAATCTACAAGAGGATATTTTGAGAGCATTGAAAATTTTGTTGGAAGCGGGAAAACCTTCATATAAAATCTAGACAGCAGCATTCTCAGAAACTTCTTTGTGATGTTTGCATTCAACTCATAGAGTTGAACATTCCCATTCATACAGCAGGTTTGAGACACTCTTTGTATAGTATGTGGAAATGGATATTTGGCGCGCTTTGAGGCCTATGGTGAAGAAGGGAATATCTTCCCAAAAAGACTAGACGAAAGCATTCTCACAATCTTGTTTGCCATGTGTGTACTCAACTAACACAGTTGAACCTATCTTTTGACAGAGCAGTTTTGAAACACTCTTTTTGTGGAATCTGCAAATGGATATTTGGATAGCTTCGAGGATTTCCTTGGAAACGGGAATATCCTCATATAAAATCTAGACGGAAGCATTCTCAGAACCTGCTTTGTGATGTTTGCATTCAACTCACAGAGCTGAACATTCCCGTTCATAGAGCAGGTTTGAAACACTCTTTCTGTACTATCTGGAAGTGGACATTTCGAGCGCTTTCAGGCCTATGGTGAAAAAGGAAACATCTTCAAATAAAAACTAGACAGAAGCATCCTCAGAAACTTATTTGTGATGTGTGTCCTCAACTCACAGAGTTCAACCTTTGTTTTGATACAGCAGTTTGGAAACACTCTTTTTGTAGAATCTACAAATGGATATTTGGAGACCTTTGAAAATTTCGTTGGACACGGGAATATCTTCATATAAAATCTAGACAAAAGCATTCTCAGAATCTTCTTTGTGATGTTTGCATTCAACTCATAGAGTTGAACATTCCCTTTCATACAGCACGTTTGGAACACACTTTGTGGAGTATGTGGAAATGGACATTTCGAGCACTCTTAGGCCTAAGGTGAAAAGGGAAATATCTTCAAATAAAAACTAGCCAGCAGCATTCTCAGAAACCTCTTTGTGATGTGTGTACTCAACTAACAGAGTTGAACCTTCCTTTTCACAGAGCAGTTTGGAAACACTCTTTTTGTGGCATTTGCAAGTGGATATTTGGATAGCTTTGAGGATTTCGTTGGAAACGGGAATATTTTCATATAAAATCTAGACAGAAGCATTCTCAGAATCTTCTTTGTGATGTATGCCCTCAATTCACAGAGTTGAACCTTTGTTTGGATACAGCATTTTGGAAACATTCCTTTTGTAGAATCTGCAAGTTGATATTTGGATAGCTTTGAGGATTTCGTTGGAAACGGGAATATCTACATATAAAATCTAGACAGAAGCATTCTCAGAAACCTCTTTGTAATGCTTGCATTCAACTCATAGGTTTCAACATTCCCTATCATAGAGCAGGTTTGAAACACTCTTTTTGTAGTATGTGGAAGTGGACATTTGGAGCGCTTTGAGTTCTACGGTGAAAAAGGAAATATCTTCCCATAAAAACTAGACAGAAGCATTCTCAGAAACTTGTTTGTGACGTGTGTATTCAACTAACAGAGTTGAACCTTTCTTTTTACAGAGCAGCTTTGAAACCCTGTTTCTGTGGAATCTGCAATTGGAAATTTCGATAGTTCTGAGGATTTCGTTGGAAACGGGATTACAAATAGAAAGTAGACAGCAGCATTCTCAGAAACTGCTTTGTGATGTTTGCATTCAAGTCACATAGTTGAACATTCCCTTTCATAGAGCAGGTTTGAATCACTGTTTCTGTAGTATCTGGAAGTGGGTATTTCGAGCGCTTTCAGGCCTAAGGTGAGAAAGGAAATGTCTTCAAATAAGAACTAGACAGAAGCATTCTCAGAAACTTATTTGTGATGTGTGTCCTCAACTAACAGAGATGAACCTTTGTTTTGATACAGCAGTTTGGAAACACTCTTTTTGTAGAATCTACAAGAGGATATTTTGAGAGCATTGAAAATTTCGTTGGAAGCGGGAAAACCTTCATATAAAATCTAGACAGCAGCATTCTCAGAAACTTCTTTGTGATGTTTGCATTCAACTCATAGAGTTGAACATTCCCATTCATACAGCAGGTTTGAGACACTCTTTGTATAGCATGTGGAAATGGATATTTGGAGCGCTTTGAGGCCTATGGTGAAGAAGGAAATATCTTCCCAAAAAAACTAGACGAAAGCATTCTCGCAATCTTGTTTGCCATGTGTGTACTCAACTAACAGAGTTGAACCTATCTTTTGACAGAGCAGTTTTGAAACACTCTTTTTGTGGAATCTGCAAGTGGATATTTGGATAGCTTCGAGGATTTCGTTGGAAACGGGAATATCCTCATTTAAAATCTAGACGGAAGCATTCTCAGAACCTGCTTTGTGATGTTTGCATTCAACTCACAGAGCTGAACATTCCCGTTCATAGAGCAGGTTTGAAACACTCTTTCTGTACTATCTGGAAGTGGACATTTCGAGCGCTTTCAGGCCTATGGTGAAAAAGGAAACATCTTCAAATAAAAACTAGACAGAAGCATTCTCAGAAACTTATTTGTGATGTGTGTCCTCAACTCACAGAGTTCAACCTTTGTTTTGATACAGCAGTTTGGAAACACTCTTTTTGTAGAATCTACAAATGGATATTTGGAGACCTTTGAAAATTTCGTTGGACACGGGAATATCTTCATATAAAATCTAGACAAAAGCATTCTCAGAATCTTCTTTGTGATGTTTGCATTCAACTCATAGAGTTGAACATTCCCTTTCATACAGCACGTTTGAAACACACTTTGTGGAGTATGTGGAAATGGACATTTCGAGCACTCTTAGGCCTAAGGTGAAAAGGGAAATATCTTCAAATAAAAACTAGTCAGCAGCATTCTCAGAAACCTCTTTGTGATGTGTGTACTCAACTAACAGAGTTGAACCTTCCTTTTCACAGAGCAGTTTGGAAACACTCTTTTTGTGGCATTTGCAAGCGGATATTTGGATAGCTTTGAGGATTTTGTTGGAAACGGGAATATTTTCATATAAAATCTAGACAGAAGCATTCTCAGAATCTTCTTTGTGATGTATGCCCTCAATTCACAGAGTTGAACCTTTGTTTGGATACAGCATTTTGGAAACATTCCTTTTGTAGAATCTGCAAGTTGATATTTGGATAGCTTTGAGGATTTCGTTGGAAACGGGAATATCTACATATAAAATCTAGACAGAAGCATTCTCAGAAACCTCTTTGTAATGTTTGCATTCAACTCATAGGTTTCAACATTCCCTATCATAGAGCAGGTTTGAAACACTCTTTTTGTAGTATGTGGAAGTGGACATTTGGAGCGCTTTGAGGCCTACGGTGAAAAAGGAAATATCTTCCCATAAAAACTAGACAGAAGCATTCTCAGAAACTTGTTTGTGACGTGTGTATTCAACTAACAGAGTTGAACCTTTCTTTTTACAGAGCAGCTTTGAAACCCTGTTTCTGTGGAATCTGCAATTGGAAATTTCGATAGTTCTGAGGATTTCGTTGGAAACGGGATTACAAATAGAAAGTAGACAGCAGCATTCTCAGAAACTGCTTTGTGATGTTTGCATTCAAGTCACCTAGTTGAACATTCCCTTTCATAGAGCAGGTTTGAATCACTGTTTCTGTAGTATCTGGAAGTGGGTATTTCGAGCGCTTTCAGGCCTAAGGTGAGAAAGGAAATGTCTTCAAATAAGAACTAGACAGAAGCATTCTCAGAAACTTATTTGTGATGTGTGTCCTCAACTAACAGAGATGAACCTTTGTTTTGATACAGCAGTTTGGAAACACTCTTTTTGTAGAATCTACAAGAGGATATTTTGAGAGCATTGAAAATTTCGTTGGAAGCGGGAAAACCTTCATATAAAATCTAGACAGCAGCATTCTCAGAAACTTCTTTGTGATGTTTGCATTCACCTCATAGAGTTGAACATTCCCATTCATACAGCAGGTTTGAGACACTCTTTGTATAGCATGTGGAAATGGATATTTGGAGCACTTTGAGGCCTATGGTGAAGAAGGAAATATCTTCCCAAAAAAACTAGACGAAAGCATTCTCGGAATCTTGTTTGCCATGTGTGTACTCAACTAACAGAGTTGAACCTATCTTTTGACAGAGCAGTTTTGAAACACTCTTTTTGTGGAATCTGCAAGTGGATATTTGGATAGCTTCGAGGATTTCGTTGGAAACGGGAATATCCTCATTTAAAATCTAGACGGAAGCATTCTCAGAACCTGCTTTGTGATGTTTGCATTCAACTCACAGAGCTGAACATTCCCGTTCATAGAGCAGGTTTGAAACACTCTTTCTGTACTATCTGGAAGTGGACATTTCGAGCGCTTTCAGGCCTATGGTGAAAAAGGAAACATCTTCAAATAAAAACTAGACAGAAGCATTCTCAGAAACTTATTTGTGATGTGTGTCCTCAACTCACAGAGTTCAACCTTTGTTTTGATACAGCAGTTTGGAAACACTCTTTTTGTAGAATCTACAAATGGATATTTGGAGACCTTTGAAAATTTCGTTGGACACGGGAATATCTTCATATAAAATCTAGACAAAAGCATTCTCAGAATCTTCTTTGTGATGTTTGCATTCAACTCATAGAGTTGAACATTCCCTTTCATACAGCACGTTTGAAACACACTTTGTGGAGTATGTGGAAATGGACATTTCGAGCACTCTTAGGCCTAAGGTGAAAAGGGAAATATCTTCAAATAAAAACTAGTCAGCAGCATTCTCAGAAACCTCTTTGTGATGTGGGTACTCAACTAACAGAGTTGAACCTTCCTTTTCACAGAGCAGTT
The DNA here is from genome assembly GCF_000001405.40 of Homo sapiens. NCBI lineage: Eukaryota > Metazoa > Chordata > Mammalia > Primates > Hominidae > Homo > Homo sapiens. The sequence continues at coordinate 19,123,193 of NC_000015.10, forward strand.
TGGAAACACTCTTTTTGTGGCATTTGCAAGTGGATATTTGGATAGCTTTGAGGATTTCGTTGGAAACAGGAATATTTTCATATAAAATCTAGACAGAAGCATTCTCAGAATCTTCTTTGTGATGTATGCCCTCAATTCACAGAGTTGAACCTTTGTTTGGATACAGCATTTTGGAAACATTCCTTTTGTAGAATCTGCAAGTTGATATTTGGATAGTTTGAGGATTTCGTTGGAAACGGGAATATCTACATATAAAATCTAGACAGAAGCATTCTCAGAAACCTCTTTGTAATGCTTGCATTCAACTCATAGGTTTCAACATTCCCTATCATAGAGCAGGTTTGAAACACTCTTTTTGTAGTATGTGGAAGTGGACATTTGGAGCGCTTTGAGGCCTACGGTGAAAAAGGAAATATCTTCCCATAAAAACTAGACAGAAGCATTCTCAGAAACTTGTTTGTGACGTGTGTATTCAACTAACAGAGTTGAACCTTCCTTTTTACAGAGCAGCTTTGAAACACGCTTTTTGTGGAATCTGCAATTGGAAATTTCGATAGTTCTGAGGATTTCGTTGGAAACGGGATTACAAATAGAAAGTAGACAGCAGCATTCTCAGAAACTGCTTTGTGATGTTTGCATTCAAGTCACCTAGTTGAACATTCCCTTTCATAGAGCAGGTTTGAATCACTGTTTCTGTCGTATCTGGAAGTGGATATTTCGAGCGTTTTCAGGCCTAAGGTGAGAAAGGAAATGTCTTCAAATAAGAACTAGACAGAAGCATTCTCAGAAACTTATTTGTGATGTGTGTCCTCAACTAACAGAGTTGAACCTTTCTTTTGACACAGCAGTTTGGAAACACTCTTTTTGTAGAATCTACAAGTGGATATTTTGAGAGCATTGAAAATTTCGTTGGAAACGGGAAAACCTTCATATAAAATCTAGACAGAAGCATTCTCAGAAACTTCTTTGTCATGTTTGCATTCGACTCATAGAGTTGAACATTCCCTTTCATACAGCAGGTTTGAAACACTCTTTTTGTAGTATGTGGAAGTGGACATTTGGAGCGCTTTGAGGCCTACGGTGAAAAAGGAAATATCTTCCCATAAAAACTAGACAGAAGCATTCTCAGAAACTTGTTTGTGACGTGTGTATTCAACTAACAGAGTTGAACCTTTCTTTTTACAGAGCAGCTTTGAAACCCTGTTTCTGTGGAATCTGCAATTGGAAATTTCGATAGTTCTGAGGATTTCGTTGGAAACGGGATTACAAATAGAAAGTAGACAGCAGCATTCTCAGAAACTGCTTTGTGATGTTTGCATTCAAGTCACCTAGTTGAACATTCCCTTTCATAGAGCAGGTTTCAATCACTGTTTCTGTAGTATCTGGAAGTGGGTATTTCGAGCGCTTTCAGGCCTAAGGTGAGAAAGGAAATGTCTTCAAATAAGAACTAGACAGAAGCATTCTCAGAAACTTATTTGTGATGTGTGTCCTCAACTAACAGAGATGAACCTTTGTTTTGATACAGCAGTTTGGAAACACTCTTTTTGTAGAATCTACAAGAGGATATTTTGAGAGCATTGAAAATTTCGTTGGAAGCGGGAAAACCTTCATATAAAATCTAGACAGCAGCATTCTCAGAAACTTCTTTGTGATGTTTGCATTCAACTCATAGAGTTGAACATTCCCATTCATACAGCAGGTTTGAGACACTCTTTGTATAGCATGTGGAAATGGATATTTGGAGCGCTTTGAGGCCTATGGTGAAGAAGGAAATATCTTCCCAAAAAAACTAGACGAAAGCATTCTCGGAATCTTGTTTGCCATGTGTGTACTCAACTAACAGAGTTGAACCTATCTTTTGACAGAGCAGTTTTGAAACACTCTTTTTGTGGAATCTGCAAGTGGATATTTGGATAGCTTCGAGGATTTCGTTGGAAACGGGAATATCCTCATTTAAAATCTAGACGGAAGCATTCTCAGAACCTGCTTTGTGATGTTTGCATTCAACTCACAGAGCTGAACATTCCCGTTCATAGAGCAGGTTTGAAACACTCTTTCTGTACTATCTGGAAGTGGACATTTCGAGCGCTTTCAGGCCTATGGTGAAAAAGGAAACATCTTCAAATAAAAACTAGACAGAAGCATTCTCAGAAACTTATTTGTGATGTGTGTCCTCAACTCACAGAGTTCAACCTTTGTTTTGATACAGCAGTTTGGAAACACTCTTTTTGTAGAATCTACAAATGGATATTTGGAGACCTTTGAAAATTTCGTTGGACACGGGAATATCTTCATATAAAATCTAGACAAAAGCATTCTCAGAATCTTCTTTGTGATGTTTGCATTCAACTCATAGAGTTGAACATTCCCTTTCATACAGCACGTTTGAAACACACTTTGTGGAGTATGTGGAAATGGACATTTCGAGCACTCTTAGGCCTAAGGTGAAAAGGGAAATATCTTCAAATAAAAACTAGTCAGCAGCATTCTCAGAAACCTCTTTGTGATGTGTGTACTCAACTAACAGAGTTGAACCTTCCTTTTCACAGAGCAGTTTGGAAACACTCTTTTTGTGGCATTTGCAAGTGGATATTTGGATAGCTTTGAGGATTTCGTTGGAAACGGGAATATTTTCATATAAAATCTAGACAGAAGCATTCTCAGAATCTTCTTTGTGATGTATGCCCTCAATTCACAGAGTTGAACCTTTGTTTGGATACAGCATTTTGGAAACATTCCTTTTGTAGAATCTGCAAGTTGATATTTGGATAGCTTTGAGGATTTCGTTGGAAACGGGAATATCTACATATAAAATCTAGACAGAAGCATTCTCAGAAACCTCTTTGTAATGTTTGCATTCAACTCATAGGTTTCAACATTCCCTATCATAGAGCAGGTTTGAAACACTCTTTTTGTAGTATGTGGAAGTGGACATTTGGAGCGCTTTGAGGCCTACGGTGAAAAAGGAAATATCTTCCCATAAAAACTAGACAGAAGCATTCTCAGAAACTTGTTTGTGACGTGTGTATTCAACTAACAGAGTTGAACCTTTCTTTTTACAGAGCAGCTTTGAAACCCTGTTTCTGTGGAATCTGCAATTGGAAATTTTGATAGTTCTGAGGATTTCGTTGGAAACGGGATTACAAATAGAAAGTAGACAGCAGCATTCTCAGAAACTGCTTTGTGATGTTTGCATTCAAGTCACATAGTTGAACATTCCCTTTCATAGAGCAGGTTTGAATCACTGTTTCTGTCGTATCTGGAAGTGGGTATTTCGAGCGCTTTCAGGCCTAAGGTGAGAAAGGAAATGTCTTCAAATAAGAACTAGACAGAAGCATTCTCAGAAACTTATTTGTGATGTGTGTCCTCAACTAACAGAGATGAACCTTTGTTTTGATACAGCAGTTTGGAAACACTCTTTTTGTAGAATCTACAAGAGGATATTTTGAGAGCATTGAAAATTTCGTTGGAAGCGGGAAAACCTTCATATAAAATCTAGACAGCCAGCATTCTCAGCAAACTTCTTTGTGATGTTTGCATTCAACTCATAGAGTTGAACATTCCCATTCATACAGCAGGTTTGAGACACTCTTTGTATAGCATGTGGAAATGGATATTTGGAGCGCTTTGAGGCCTATGGTGAAGAAGGAAATATCTTCCCAAAAAAACTAGACGAAAGCATTCTCGCAATCTTGTTTGCCATGTGTGTACTCAACTAACAGAGTTGAACCTATCTTTTGACAGAGCAGTTTTGAAACACTCTTTTTGTGGAATCTGCAAGTGGATATTTGGATAGCTTCGAGGATTTCGTTGGAAACGGGAATATCCTCATTTAAAATCTAGACGGAAGCATTCTCAGAACCTGCTTTGTGATGTTTGCATTCAACTCACAGAGCTGAACATTCCCGGTCATAGAGCAGGTTTGAAACACTCTTTCTGTACTATCTGGAAGTGGACATTTCGAGCGCTTTCAGGCCTATGGTGAAAAAGGAAACATCTTCAAATAAAAACTAGACAGAAGCATTCTCAGAAACTTATTTGTGATGTGTGTCCTCAACTCACAGAGTTCAACCTTTGTTTTGATACAGCAGTTTGGAAACACTCTTTTTGTAGAATCTACAAATGGATATTTGGAGACCTTTGAAAATTTCGTTGGACACGGGAATATCTTCATATAAAATCTAGACAAAAGCATTCTCAGAGTCTTCTTTGTGATGTTTGCATTCAACTCATAGAGTTGAACATTCCCTTTCATACAGCACGTTTGAAACACACTTTGTGGAGTATGTGGAAATGGACATTTCGAGCACTCTTAGGCCTAAGGTGAAAAGGGAAATATCTTCAAATAAAAACTAGTCAGCAAGCATTCTCAGAAACCTCTTTGTGATGTGTGTACTCAACTAACAGAGTTGAACTTCCTTTTCACAGAGCAGTTTGGAAACACTCTTTTTGTGGCATTTGCAAGTGGATATTTGGATAGCTTTGAGGATTTCGTTGGAAACGGGAATATTTTCATATAAAATCTAGACAGAAGCATTCTCAGAATCTTCTTTGTGATGTATGCCCTCAATTCACAGAGTTGAACCTTTGTTTGGATACAGCATTTTGGAAACATTCCTTTTGCAGAATCTGCAAGCTGATATTTGGATAGCTTTGAGGATTTCGTTGGAAACGGGAATATCTACATATAAAATCTAGACAGAAGCATTCTCAGAAACCTCTTTGTAATGCTTGCATTCAACTCATAGGTTTCAACATTCCCTATCATAGAGCAGGTTTGAAACACTCTTTTTGTAGTATGTGGAAGTGGACATTTGGAGCGCTTTGAGGCCTACGGTGAAAAAGGAAATATCTTCCCATAAAAACTAGACAGAAGCATTCTCAGAAACTTGTTTGTGACGTGTGTATTCAACTAACAGAGTTGAACCTTTCTTTTTACAGAGCAGCTTTGAAACACGCTTTTTGTGGAATCTGCAATTGGAAATTTCGATAGTTCTGAGGATTTCGTTGGAAACGGGATTACAAATAGAAAGTAGACAGCAGCATTCTCAGAAACTGCTTTCTGATGTTTGCATTCAAGTCACCTAGTTCAACATTCCCTTTCATAGAGCAGGTTTGAATCACTGTTTCTGTCGTATCTGGAAGTGGATATTTCGAGCGTTTTCAGGCCTAAGGTGAGAAAGGAAATGTCTTCAAATAAGAACTAGACAGAAGCATTCTCAGAAACTTATTTGTGATGTGTGTCCTCAACTAACAGAGATGAACCTTTGTTTTGATACAGCAGTTTGGAAACACTCTTTTTGTAGAATCTACAAGAGGATATTTTGAGAGCATTGAAAATTTCGTTGGAAGCGGGAAAACCTTCATATAAAATCTAGACAGCAGCATTCTCAGAAACTTCTTTGTGATGTTTGCATTCAACTCATAGAGTTGAACATTCCCATTCATACAGCAGGTTTGAGACACTCTTTGTATAGCATGTGGAAATGGATATTTGGAGCGCTTTGAGGCCTATGGTGAAGAAGGAAATATCTTCCCAAAAAAACTAGACGAAAGCATTCTCGGAATCTTGTTTGCCATGTGTGTACTCAACTAACAGAGTTGAACCTATCTTTTGACAGAGCAGTTTTGAAACACTCTTTTTGTGGAATCTGCAAGTGGATATTTGGATAGCTTCGAGGATTTCGTTGGAAACGGGAATATCCTCATTTAAAATCTAGACGGAAGCATTCTCAGAACCTGCTTTGTGATGTTTGCATTCAACTCACAGAGCTGAACATTCCCGTTCATAGAGCAGGTTTGAAACACTCTTTCTGTACTATCTGGAAGTGGACATTTCGAGCGCTTTCAGGCCTATGGTGAAAAAGGAAACATCTTCAAATAAAAACTAGACAGAAGCATTCTCAGAAACTTATTTGTGATGTGTGTCCTCAACTCACAGAGTTCAACCTTTGTTTTGATACAGCAGTTTGGAAACACTCTTTTTGTAGAATCTACAAATGGATATTTGGAGACCTTTGAAAATTTCGTTGGACACGGGAATATCTTCATATAAAATCTAGACAAAAGCATTCTCAGAATCTTCTTTGTGATGTTTGCATTCAACACATAGAGTTGAACATTCTCTTTCATACAGCACGTTTGAAACACACTTTGTGGAGTATGTGGAAATGGACATTTCGAGCACTCTAGGCCTAAGGTGAAAAGGGAAATATCTTCAAATAAAAACTAGTCAGCAGCATTCTCAGAAACCTCTTTGTGATGTGTGTACTCAACTAACAGAGTTGAACCTTCCTTTTCACAGAGCAGTTTGGAAACACTCTTTTTGTGGCATTTGCAAGTGGATATTTGGATAGCTTTGAGGATTTCGTTGGAAACGGGAATATTTTCATATAAAATCTAGACAGAAGCATTCTCAGAATCTTCTTTGTGATGTATGCCCTCAATTCACAGAGTTGAACCTCTGTTTGGATACAGCATTTTGGAAACATTCCTTTTGCAGAATCTGCAAGCTGATATTTGGATAGCTTTGAGGATTTCATTGGAAACGGGAATATCTACATATAAAATCTAGACAGAAGCATTCTCAGAAACCTCTTTGTAATGCTTGCATTCAACTCATAGGTTTCAACATTCCCTATCATAGAGCAGGTTTGAAACACTCTTTTTGTAGTATGTGGAAGTGGACATTTGGAGCGCTTTGAGGCCTACGGTGAAAAAGGAAATATCTTCCCATAAAAACTAGACAGAAGCATTCTCAGAAACTTGTTTGTGACGTGTGTATTCACCTAACAGAGTTGAACCTTTCTTTTTACAGAGCAGCTTTGAAACACGCTTTTTGTGGAATCTGCAATTGGAAATTTCGATAGTTCTGAGGATTTTGTTGGAAACGGGATTACAAATAGAAAGTAGACAGCAGCATTCTCAGAAACTTATTTGTGATGTGTGTCCTCAACTAACAGAGTTGAACCTTTCTTTTGACACAGCAGTTTGGAAACACTCTTTTTGTAGAATCTACAAGTGGATATTTTGAGAGCATTGAAAATTTCGTTGGAAACGGGAAAACCTTCATATAAAATCTAGACAGAAGCATTCTCAGAAACTTCTTTGTAATGTTTGCATTCAACGCATAGAGTTGAACATTCCCTTTCATACAGCAGGTTTGAAACACTCTATTTGTGCAATTTCCAAGTGTAGATTTCAAGCGCTTTAAGGTCAACGGCAGAAAAGGAAATATCTTCGTTTCAAAACTAGACAGAAGCAATCTCAGAAACTTGTTTGTGACGTGTGTATTCAACTAACAGAGTTGAACCTTTCTTTTTACAGAGCAGCTTTGAAACCCTGTTTCTGTGGAATCTGCAATTGGAAATTTCGATAGTTCTGAGGATTTCGTTGGAAACGGGATTACAAATAGAAAGTAGACAGCAGCATTCTCAGAAACTGCTTTGTGATGTTTGCATTCAAGTCACCTAGTTGAACATTCCCTTTCATAGAGCAGGTTTGAATCACAGTTTCTGTCGTATCTGGAAGTGGATATTTCGAGCGTTTTCAGGCCTAAGGTGAGAAAGGAAATGTCTTCAAATAAGAACTAGACAGAAGCATTCTCAGAAACTTATTTGTGATGTGTGTCCTCAACTAACAGAGATGAACCTTTGTTTTGATACAGCAGTTTGGAAACACTCTTTTTGTAGAATCTACAAGAGGATATTTTGAGAGCATTGAAAATTTCGTTGGAAGCGGGAAAACCTTCATATAAAATCTAGACAGCAGCATTCTCAGAAACTTCTTTGTGATGTTTGCATTCAACTCATAGAGTTGAACATTCCCATTCATACAGCAGGTTTGAGACACTCTTTGTATAGCATGTGGAAATGGATATTTGGAGCGCTTTGAGGCCTATGGTGAAGAAGGAAATATCTTCCCAAAAAAACTAGACGAAAGCATTCTCGGAATCTTGTTTGCCATGTGTGTACTCAACTAACAGAGTTGAACCTATCTTTTGACAGAGCAGTTTTGAAACACTCGTTTTGTGGAATCTGCAAGTGGATATTTGGATAGCTTCGAGGATTTCGTTGGAAACGGGAATATCCTCATTTAAAATCTAGACGGAAGCATTCTCAGAACCTGCTTTGTGATGTTTGCATTCAACTCACAGAGCTGAACATTCCCGTTCATAGAGCAGGTTTGAAACACTCTTTCTGTACTATCTGGAAGTGGACATTTCGAGCGCTTTCAGGCCTATGGTGAAAAAGGAAACATCTTCAAATAAAAACTAGACAGAAGCATTCTCAGAAACTTATTTGTGATGTGTGTCCTCAACTCACAGAGTTCAACCTTTGTTTTGATACAGCAGTTTGGAAACACTCTTTTTGTAGAATCTACAAATGGATATTTGGAGACCTTTGAAAATTTCGTTGGACACGGGAATATCTTCATATAAAATCTAGACAAAAGCATTCTCAGAATCTTCTTTGTGATGTTTGCATTCAACTCATAGAGTTGAACATTCCCTTTCATACAGCACGTTTGAAACACACTTTGTGGAGTATGTGGAAATGGACATTTCGAGCACTCTTAGGCCTAAGGTGAAAAGGGAAATATCTTCAAATAAAAACTAGTCAGCAGCATTCTCAGAAACCTCTTTGTGATGTGTGTACTCAACTAACAGAGTTGAACCTTCCTTTTCACAGAGCAGTTTGGAAACACTCTTTTTGTGGCATTTGCAAGTGGATATTTGGATAGCTTTGAGGATTTCGTTGGAAACGGGAATATTTTCATATAAAATCTAGACAGAAGCATTCTCAGAATCTTCTTTGTGATGTATGCCCTCAATTCACAGAGTTGAACCTTTGTTTGGATACAGCATTTTGGAAACATTCCTTTTGTAGAATCTGCAAGTTGATATTTGGATAGCTTTGAGGATTTCGTTGGAAATGGGAATATCTACATATAAAATCTAGACAGAAGCATTCTCAGAAACCTCTTTGTAATGCTTGCATTCAACTCATAGGTTTCAACATTCCCTATCATAGAGCAGGTTTGAAACACTCTTTTTGTAGTATGTGGAAGTGGACATTTGGAGCGCTTTGAGGCCTACCGTGAAAAAGGAAATATCTTCCCATAAAAACTAGACAGAAGCATTCTCAGAAACTTGTTTGTGACGTGTGTATTCAACTAACAGAGTTGAACCTTTCTTTTTACAGAGCAGCTTTTAAACCCTGTTTCTGTGGAATCTGCAATTGGAAATTTCGATGGTTCTGAGGATTTCGTTGGAAACGGGATTACAAATAGAAAGTAGACAGCAGCATTCTCAGAAACTGCTTTGTGATGTTTGCATTCAAGTCACCTAGTTGAACATTCCCTTTCATAGAGCAGGTTTGAATCACTGTTTCTGTCGTATCTGGAAGTGGATATTTCGAGCGTTTTCAGGCCTAAGGTGAGAAAGGAAATGTCTTCAAATAAGAACTAGACAGAAGCATTCTCAGAAACTTATTTGTGATGTGTGTCCTCAACTAACAGAGTTGAACCTTTCTTTTGACACAGCAGTTTGGAAACACTCTTTTTGTAGAATCTACAAGTGGATATTTTGAGAGCATTGAAAATTTCGTTGGAAACGGGAAAACCTTCATATAAAATCTAGACAGAAGCATTCTCAGAAACTTCTTTGTAATGTTTGCATTCAACTCATAGAGTTGAACATTCCCTTTCATACAGCAGGTTTGAAACACTCTTTTTGTAGTATGTGGAAGTGGACATTTGGAGCGCTTTGAGGCCTACGGTGAAAAAGGAAATATCTTCCCATAAAAACTAGACAGAAGCATTCTCAGAAACTTGTTTGTGACGTGTGTATTCAACTAACAGAGTTGAACCTTTCTTTCTACAGAGCAGCTTTGAAACACGCTTTTTGTGGAATCTGCAATTGGAAATTTCGATAGTTCTGAGGATTTCGTTGGAAACGGGATTACAAATAGAAAGTAGACAGCAGCATTCTCAGAAACTGCTTTGTGATGTTTGCATTCAAGTCACCTAGTTGAACATTCCCTTTCATAGAGCAGGTTTGAATCACAGTTTCTGTCGTATCTGGAAGTGGATATTTCGAGCGTTTTCAGGCCTAAGGTGAGAAAGGAAATGTCTTCAAATAAGAACTAGACAGAAGCATTCTCAGAAACTTATTTGTGATGTGTGTCCTCAACTAACAGAGATGAACCTTTGTTTTGATACAGCAGTTTGGAAACACTCTTTTTGTAGAATCTACAAGAGGATATTTTGAGAACATTGAAAATTTCGTTGGAAGCGGGAAAACCTTCATATAAAATCTAGACAGCAGCATTCTCAGAAACTTCTTTGTGATGTTTGCATTCAACTCATAGAGTTGAACATTCCCATTCATACAGCAGGTTTGAGACACTCTTTGTATAGCATGTGGAAATGGATATTTGGAGCGCTTTGAGGCCTATGGTGAAGAAGGAAATATCTTCCCAAAAAAACTAGACGAAAGCATTCTCGCAATCTTGTTTGCCATGTGTGTACTCAACTAACAGAGTTGAACCTATCTTTTGACAGAGCAGTTTTGAAACACTCTTTTTGTGGAATCTGCAAGTGGATATTTGGATAGCTTCGAGGATTTCGTTGGAAACGGGAATATCCTCATTTAAAATCTAGACGGAAGCATTCTCAGAACCTGCTTTGTGATGTTTGCATTCAACTCACAGAGCTGAACATTCCCGTTCATAGAGCAGGTTTGAAACACTCTTTCTGTACTATCTGGAAGTGGACATTTCGAGCGCTTTCAGGCCTATGGTGAAAAAGGAAACATCTTCAAATAAAAACTAGACAGAAGCATTCTCAGAAACTTATTTGTGATGTGTGTCCTCAACTCACAGAGTTCAACCTTTGTTTTGATACAGCAGTTTGGAAACACTCTTTTTGTAGAATCTACAAATGGATATTTGGAGACCTTTGAAAATTTCGTTGGACACGGGAATATCTTCATATAAAATCTAGACAAAAGCATTCTCAGAATCTTCTTTGTGATGTTTGCATTCAACTCATAGAGTTGAACATTCCCTTTCATACAGCACGTTTGAAACACACTTTGTGGAGTATGTGGAAATGGACATTTCGAGCACTCTTAGGCCTAAGGTGAAAAGGGAAATATCTTCAAATAAAAACTAGTCAGCAGCATTCTCAGAAACCTCTTTGTGATGTGTGTACTCAACTAACAGAGTTGAACCTTCCTTTTCACAGAGCAGTTTGGAAACACACTTTTTGTGGCATTTGCAAGTGGATATTTGGATAGCTTTGAGGATTTCGTTGGAAACGGGAATATTTTCATATAAAATCTAGACAGAAGCATTCTCAGAATCTTCTTTGTGATGTATGCCCTCAATTCACAGAGTTGAACCTTTGTTTGGATACAGCATTTTGGAAACATTCCTTTTGTAGAATCTGCAAGTTGATATTTGGATAGTTTGAGGATTTCGTTGGAAACGGGAATATCTACATATAAAATCTAGACAGAAGCATTCTCAGAAACCTCTTTGTAATGCTTGCATTCAACTCATAGGTTTCAACATTCCCTATCATAGAGCAGGTTTGAAACACTCTTTTTGTAGTATGTGGAAGTGGACATTTGGAGCGCTTTGAGGCCTACCGTGAAAAAGGAAATATCTTCCCATAAAAACTAGACAGAAGCATTCTCAGAAACTTGTTTGTGACGTGTGTATTCAACTAACAGAGTTGAACCTTTCTTTTTACAGAGCAGCTTTGAAACCCTGTTTCTGTGGAATCTGCAATTGGAAATTTCGATAGTTCTGAGGATTTCGTTGCAAACGGGATTACAAATAGAAAGTAGACAGCAGCATTCTCAGAAACTGCTTTGTGATGTTTGCATTCAAGTCACCTAGTTGAACATTCCCTTTCATAGAGCAGGTTTGAATCACTGTTTCTGTCGTATCTGGAAGTGGATATTTCGAGCGTTTTCAGGCCTAAGGTGAGAAAGGAAATGTCTTCAAATAAGAACTAGACAGAAGCATTCTCAGAAACTTATTTGTGATGTGTGTCCTCAACTAACAGAGTTGAACCTTTCTTTTGACACAGCAGTTTGGAAACACTCTTTTTGTAGAATCTACAAGTGGATATTTTGAGAGCATTGAAAATTTCGTTGGAAACGGGAAAACCTTCATATAAAATCTAGACAGAAGCATTCTCAGAAACTTCTTTGTAATGTTTGCATTCGACTCATAGAGTTGAACATTCCCTTTCATACAGCAGGTTTGAAACACTCTTTTTGTAGTATGTGGAAGTGGACATTTGGAGCGCTTTGAGGCCTACGGTGAAAAAGGAAATATCTTCCCATAAAAACTAGACAGAAGCATTCTCAGAAACTTGTTTGTGACGTGTGTATTCAACTAACAGAGTTGAACCTTTCTTTTTACAGAGCAGCTTTGAAACCCTGTTTCTGTGGAATCTGCAATTGGAAATTTCGATAGTTCTGAGGATTTCGTTGGAAACGGGATTACAAATAGAAAGTAGACAGCCAGCATTCTCAGTAAACTGCTTTGTGATGTTTGCATTCAAGTCACATAGTTGAACATTCCCTTTCATAGAGCAGGTTTGAATCACTGTTTCTGTCGTATCTGGAAGTGGGTATTTCGAGCGCTTTCAGGCCTAAGGTGAGAAAGGAAATGTCTTCAAATAAGAACTAGACAGAGCATTCTCAGAAACTTATTTGTGATGTGTGTCCTCAACTAACAGAGATGAACCTTTGTTTTGATACAGCAGTTTGGAAACACTCTTTTTGTAGAATCTACAAGAGGATATTTTGAGAGCATTGAAAATTTCGTTGGAAGCGGGAAAACCTTCATATAAAATCTAGACAGCAGCATTCTCAGAAACTTCTTTGTGATGTTTGCATTCAACTCATAGAGTTGAACATTCCCATTCATACAGCAGGTTTGAGACACTCTTTGTATAGCATGTGGAAATGGATATTTGGAGCGCTTTGAGGCCTATGGTGAAGAAGGAAATATCTTCCCAAAAAAACTAGACGAAAGCATTCTCGGAATCTTGTTTGCCATGTGTGTACTCAACTAACAGAGTTGAACCTATCTTTTGACAGAGCAGTTTTGAAACACTCTTTTTGTGGAATCTGCAAGTGGATATTTGGATAGCTTCGAGGATTTCGTTGGAAACGGGAATATCCTCATTTAAAATCTAGACGGAAGCATTCTCAGAACCTGCTTTGTGATGTTTGCATTCAACTCACAGAGCTGAACATTCCCGTTCATAGAGCAGGTTTGAAACACTCTTTCTGTACTATCTGGAAGTGGACATTTCGAGCGCTTTCAGGCCTATGGTGAAAAAGGAAACATCTTCAAATAAAAACTAGACAGAAGCATTCTCAGAAACTTATTTGTGATGTGTGTCCTCAACTCACAGAGTTCAACCTTTGTTTTGATACAGCAGTTTGGAAACACTCTTTTTGTAGAATCTACAAATGGATATTTGGAGACCTTTGAAAATTTCGTTGGACACGGGAATATCTTCATATAAAATCTAGACAAAAGCATTCTCAGAATCTTCTTTGTGATGTTTGCATTCAACTCATAGAGTTGAACATTCCCTTTCATACAGCACGTTTGAAACACACTTTGTGGAGTATGTGGAAATGGACATTTCGAGCACTCTTAGGCCTAAGGTGAAAAGGGAAATATCTTCAAATAAAAACTAGTCAGCAGCATTCTCAGAAACCTCTTTGTGATGTGTGTACTCAACTAACAGAGTTGAACCTTCCTTTTCACAGAGCAGTTTGGAAACACTCTTTTTGTGGCATTTGCAAGTGGATATTTGGATAGCTTTGAGGATTTCGTTGGAAACGGGAATATTTTCATATAAAATCTAGACAGAAGCATTCTCAGAATCTTCTTTGTGATGTATGCCCTCAATTCACAGAGTTGAACCTTTGTTTGGATACAGCATTTTGGAAACATTCCTTTTGCAGAATCTGCAAGTTGATATTTGGATAGCTTTGAGGATTTCGTTGGAAACGGGAATATCTACATATAAAATCTAGACAGAAGCATTCTCAGAAACCTCTTTGTAATGCTTGCATTCAACTCATAGGTTTCAACATTCCCTATCATAGAGCAGGTTTGAAACACTCTTTTTGTAGTATGTGGAAGTGGACATTTGGAGCGCTTTGAGGCCTACCGTGAAAAAGGAAATATCTTCCCATAAAAACTAGACAGAAGCATTCTCAGAAACTTGTTTGTGACGTGTGTATTCAACTAACAGAGTTGAACCTTTCTTTTTACAGAGCAGCTTTGAAACCCTGTTTCTGTGGAATCTGCAATTGGAAATTTCGATAGTTCTGAGGATTTCGTTGCAAACGGGATTACAAATAGAAAGTAGACAGCAGCATTCTCAGAAACTGCTTTGTGATGTTTGCATTCAAGTCACATAGTTGAACATTCCCTTTCATAGAGCAGGTTTGAATCACTGTTTCTGTAGTATCTGGAAGTGGGTATTTCGAGCGCTTTCAGGCCTAAGGTGAGAAAGGAAATGTCTTCAAATAAGAACTAGACAGAAGCATTCTCAGAAACTTATTTGTGATGTGTGTCCTCAACTAACAGAGATGAACCTTTGTTTTGATACAGCAGTTTGGAAACACTCTTTTTGTAGAATCTACAAGAGGATATTTTGAGAGCATTCAAAATTTCGTTGGAAGCGGGAAAACCTTCATATAAAATCTAGACAGCAGCATTCTCAGAAACTTCTTTGTGATGTTTGCATTCAACTCATAGAGTTGAACATTCCCATTCATACAGCAGGTTTGAGACACTCTTTGTATAGCATGTGGAAATGGATATTTGGAGCGCTTTGAGGCCTATGGTGAAGAAGGAAATATCTTCCCAAAAAAACTAGACGAAAGCATTCTCGGAATCTTGTTTGCCATGTGTGTACTCAACTAACAGAGTTGAACCTATCTTTTGACAGAGCAGTTTTGAAACACTCTTTTTGTGGAATCTGCAAGTGGATATTTGGATAGCTTCGAGGATTTCGTTGGAAACGGGAATATCCTCATTTAAAATCTAGACGGGAAGCATTCTCAGAACCTGCTTTGTGATGTTTGCATTCAACTCACAGAGCTGAACATTCCCGTTCATAGAGCAGGTTTGAAACACTCTTTCTGTACTATCTGGAAGTGGACATTTCGAGCGCTTTCAGGCCTATGGTGAAAAAGGAAACATCTTCAAATAAAAACTAGACAGAAGCATTCTCAGAAACTTATTTGTGATGTGTGTCCTCAACTCACAGAGTTCAACCTTTGTTTTGATACAGCAGTTTGGAAACACTCTTTTTGTAGAATCTACAAATGGATATTTGGAGACCTTTGAAAATTTCGTTGGACACGGGAATATCTTCATATAAAATCTAGACAAAAGCATTCTCAGAATCTTCTTTGTGATGTTTGCATTCAACACATAGAGTTGAACATTCTCTTTCATACAGCACGTTTGAAACACACTTTGTGGAGTATGTGGAAATGGACATTTCGAGCACTCTAGGCCTAAGGTGAAAAGGGAAATATCTTCAAATAAAAACTAGTCAGCAGCATTCTCAGAAACCTCTTTGTGATGTGTGTACTCAACTAACAGAGTTGAACCTTCCTTTTCACAGAGCAGTTTGGAAACACTCTTTTTGTGGCATTTGCAAGTGGATATTTGGATAGCTTTGAGGATTTCGTTGGAAACGGGAATATTTTCATATAAAATCTAGACAGAAGCATTCTCAGAATCTTCTTTGTGATGTATGCCCTCAATTCACAGAGTTGAACCTTTGTTTGGATACAGCATTTTGGAAACATTCCTTTTGTAGAATCTGCAAGTTGATATTTGGATAGCTTTGAGGATTTCGTTGGAAACGGGAATATCTACATATAAAATCTAGACAGAAGCATTCTCAGAAACCTCTTTGTAATGCTTGCATTCAACTCATAGGTTTCAACATTCCCTATCATAGAGCAGGTTTGAAACACTCTTTTTGTAGTATGTGGAAGTGGACATTTGGAGCGCTTTGAGGCCTACGGTGAAAAAGGAAATATCTTCCCATAAAAACTAGACAGAAGCATTCTCAGAAACTTGTTTGTGACGTGTGTATTCAACTAACAGAGTTGAACCTTTCTTTTTACAGAGCAGCTTTGAAACACGCTTTTTGTGGAATCTGCAATTGGAAATTTCGATAGTTCTGAGGATTTCGTTGGAAACGGGATTACAAATAGAAAGTAGACAGCAGCATTCTCAGAAACTGCTTTGTGATGTTTGCATTCAAGTCACCTAGTTGAACATTCCCTTTCATAGAGCAGGTTTGAATCACTGTTTCTGTCGTATCTGGAAGTGGATATTTCGAGCGTTTTCAGGCCTAAGGTGAGAAAGGAAATGTCTTCAAATAAGAACTAGACAGAAGCATTCTCAGAAACTTATTTGTGATGTGTGTCCTCAACTAACAGAGTTGAACCTTTGTTTTGATACAGCAGTTTGGAAACACTCTTTTTGTAGAATCTACAAGTGGATATTTTGAGAGCATTTTAAATTTCGTTGGAAGCGGGAAAACCTTCATATAAAATCTAGACAGCAGCATTCTCAGAAACTTCTTTGTAATGTTTGCATTCAACTCATAGAGTTGAACATTCCCTTTCATACAGCAGGTTTGAAACACTCTTTTTGTAGTATGTGGAAGTGGACATTTGGAGCGCTTTGAGGCCTACGGTGAAAAAGGAAATATCTTCCCATAAAAACTAGACAGAAGCATTCTCAGAAACTTGTTTGTGACGTGTGTATTCAACTAACAGAGTTGAACCTTTCTTTTTACAGAGCAGCTTTGAAACCCTGTTTCTGTGGAATCTGCAATTGGAAATTTCGATAGTTCTGAGGATTTCGTTGGAAACGGGATTACAAATAGAAAGTAGACAGCAGCATTCTCAGAAACTGCTTTGTGATGTTTGCATTCAAGTCACATAGTTGAACATTCCCTTTCATAGAGCAGGTTTGAATCACTGTTTCTGTAGTATCTGGAAGTGGGTATTTCGAGCGCTTTCAGGCCTAAGGTGAGAAAGGAAATGTCTTCAAATAAGAACTAGACAGAAGCATTCTCAGAAACTTATTTGTGATGTGTGTCCTCAACTAACAGAGATGAACCTTTGTTTTGATACAGCAGTTTGGAAACACTCTTTTTGTAGAATCTACAAGAGGATATTTTGAGAGCATTGAAAATTTCGTTGGAAGCGGGAAAACCTTCATATAAAATCTAGACAGCAGCATTCTCAGAAACTTCTTTGTGATGTTTGCATTCAACTCATAGAGTTGAACATTCCCATTCATACAGCAGGTTTGAGACACTCTTTGTATAGCATATGGAAATGGATATTTGGAGCGCTTTGAGGCCTATGGTGAAGAAGGAAATATCTTCCCAAAAAAACTAGACGAAAGCATTCTCGCAATCTTGTTTGCCATGTGTGTACTCAACTAACAGAGTTGAACCTATCTTTTGACAGAGCAGTTTTGAAACACTCTTTTTGTGGAATCTGCAAGTGGATATTTGGATAGCTTCGAGGATTTCGTTGGAAACGGGAATATCCTCATTTAAAATACTAGACGGAGCATTCTCAGAACCTGCTTTGTGATGTTTGCATTCAACTCACAGAGCTGAACATTCCCGTTCATAGAGCAGGTTTGAAACACTCTTTCTGTACTATCTGGAAGTGGACATTTCGAGCGCTTTCAGGCCTATGGTGAAAAAGGAAACATCTTCAAATAAAAACTAGACAGAAGCATTCTCAGAAACTTATTTGTGATGTGTGTTCTCAACTCACAGAGTTCAACCTTTGTTTTGATACAGCAGTTTGGAAACACTCTTTTTGTAGAATCTACAAATGGATATTTGGAGAACTTTGAAAATTTCGTTGGACACGGGAATATCTTCATATAAAATCTAGACAAAAGCATTCTCAGAATCTTCTTTGTGATGTTTGCATTCAACTCATAGAGTTGAACATTCCCTTTCATACAGCACGTTTGAAACACACTTTGTGGAGTATGTGGAAATGGACATTTCGAGCACTCTTAGGCCTAAGGTGAAAAGGGAAATATCTTCAAATAAAAACTAGTCAGCAGCATTCTCAGAAACCTCTTTGTGATGTGTGTACTCAACTAACAGAGTTGAACCTTCCTTTTCACAGAGCAGTTTGGAAACACTCTTTTTGTGGCATTTGCAAGTGGATATTTGGATAGCTTTGAGGATTTCGTTGGAAACGGGAATATTTTCATATAAAATCTAGACAGAAGCATTCTCAGAATCTTCTTTGTGATGTATGCCCTCAATTCACAGAGTTGAACCTTTGTTTGGATACAGCATTTTGGAAACATTCCTTTTGTAGAATCTGCAAGTTGATATTTGGATAGCTTTGAGGATTTCGTTGGAAACGGGAATATCTACATATAAAATCTAGACAGAAGCATTCTCAGAAACCTCTTTGTAATGTTTGCATTCAACTCATAGGTTTCAACATTCCCTATCATAGAGCAGGTTTGAAACACTCTTTTTGTAGTATGTGGAAGTGGACATTTGGAGCGCTTTGAGGCCTACGGTGAAAAAGGAAATATCTTCCCATAAAAACTAGACAGAAGCATTCTCAGAAACTTGTTTGTGACGTGTGTATTCAACTAACAGAGTTGAACCTTTCTTTTTACAGAGCAGCTTTGAAACACGCTTTTTGTGGAATCTGCAATTGGAAATTTCGATAGTTCTGAGGATTTCGTTGGAAACGGGATTACAAATAGAAAGTAGACAGCAGCATTCTCAGAAACTGCTTTATGATGTTTGCATTCAAGTCACCTAGTTGAACATTCCCTTTCATAGAGCAGGTTTGAATCACTGTTTCTGTCGTATCTGGAAGTGGATATTTCGAGCGCTTTCAGGCCTAAGGTGAGAAAGGAAATGTCTTCAAATAAGAACTAGACAGAAGCATTCTCAGAAACTTATTTGTGATGTGTGTCCTCAACTAACAGAGATGAACCTTTGTTTTGATACAGCAGTTTGGAAACACTCTTTTTGTAGAATCTACAAGAGGATATTTTGAGAGCATTGAAAATTTCGTTGGAAGCGGGAAAACCTTCATATAAAATCTAGACAGCAGCATTCTCAGAAACTTCTTTGTGATGTTTGCATTCAACTCATAGAGTTGAACATTCCCATTCATACAGCAGGTTTGAGACACTCTTTGTATAGCATGTGGAAATGGATATTTGGAGCGCTTTGAGGCCTATGGTGAAGAAGGAAATATCTTCCCAAAAAAACTAGACGAAAGCATTCTCGCAATCTTGTTTGCCATGTGTGTACTCAACTAACAGAGTTGAACCTATCTTTTGACAGAGCAGTTTTGAAACACTCTTTTTGTGGAATCTGCAAGTGGATATTTGGATAGCTTCGAGGATTTCGTTGGAAACGGGAATATCCTCATTTAAAATCTAGACGGAAGCATTCTCAGAACCTGCTTTGTGATGTTTGCATTCAACTCACAGAGCTGAACATTCCCGTTCATAGAGCAGGTTTGAAACACTCTTTCTGTACTATCTGGAAGTGGACATTTCGAGCGCTTTCAGGCCTATGGTGAAAAAGGAAACATCTTCAAATAAAAACTAGACAGAAGCATTCTCAGAAACTTATTTGTGATGTGTGTCCTCAACTCACAGAGTTCAACCTTTGTTTTGATACAGCAGTTTGGAAACACTCTTTTTGTAGAATCTACAAATGGATATTTGGAGACCTTTGAAAATTTCGTTGGACACGGGAATATCTTCATATAAAATCTAGACAAAAGCATTCTCAGAATCTTCTTTATGATGTTTGCATTCAACTCATAGAGTTGAACATTCCCTTTCATACAGCACGTTTGAAACACACTTTGTGGAGTATGTGGAAATGGACATTTCGAGCACTCTTAGGCCTAAGGTGAAAAGGGAAATATCTTCAAATAAAAACTAGTCAGCAGCATTCTCAGAAACCTCTTTGTGATGTGTGTACTCAACTAACAGAGTTGAACCTTCCTTTTCACAGAGCAGTTTGGAAACACTCTTTTTGTGGCATTTGCAAGTGGATATTTGGATAGCTTTGAGGATTTCGTTGGAAACGGGAATATTTTCATATAAAATCTAGACAGAAGCATTCTCAGAATCTTCTTTGTGATGTATGCCCTCAATTCACAGAGTTGAACCTTTGTTTGGATACAGCATTTTGGAAACATTCCTTTTGTAGAATCTGCAAGTTGATATTTGGATAGCTTTGAGGATTTCGTTGGAAACGGGAATATCTACATATAAAATCTAGACAGAAGCATTCTCAGAAACCTCTTTGTAATGCTTGCATTCAACTCATAGGTTTCAACATTCCCTATCATAGAGCAGGTTTGAAACACTCTTTTTGTAGTATGTGGAAGTGGACATTTGGAGCGCTTTGAGGCCTACGGTGAAAAAGGAAATATCTTCCCATAAAAACTAGACAGAAGCATTCTCAGAAACTTGTTTGTGACGTGTGTATTCAACTAACAGAGTTGAACCTTTCTTTTTACAGAGCAGCTTTGAAACACGCTTTTTGTGGAATCTGCAATTGGAAATTTCGATAGTTCTGAGGATTTCGTTGGAAACGGGATTACAAATAGAAAGTAGACAGCAGCATTCTCAGAAACTGCTTTGTGATGTTTGCATTCAAGTCACCTAGTTGAACATTCCCTTTCATAGAGCAGGTTTGAATCACTGTTTCTGTCGTATCTGGAAGTGGATATTTCGAGCGTTTTCAGGCCTAAGGTGAGAAAGGAAATGTCTTCAAATAAGAACTAGACAGAAGCATTCTCAGAAACTTATTTGTGATGTGTGTCCTCAACTAACAGAGTTGAACCTTTCTTTTGACACAGCAGTTTGGAAACACTCTTTTTGTAGAATCTACAAGTGGATATTTCGAGAGCATTGAAAATTTCATTGGAAACGGGAAAACCTTCATATAAAATCTAGACAGAAGCATTCTCAGAAACTTCTTTGTAATGTTTGCATTCAACTCATAGAGTTGAACATTCCCTTTCATACAGCAGGTTTGAAACACTCTTTTTGTAGTATGTGGACGTGGACATTTGGAGCGCTTTGAGGCCTACGGTGAAAAAGGAAATATCTTCCCATAAAAACTAGACAGAAGCATTCTCAGAAACTTGTTTGTGACGTGTGTATTCAACTAACAGAGTTGAACCTTTCTTTTTACAGAGCAGCTTTGAAACCCTGTTTCTGTGGAATCTGCAATTGGAAATTTCGATAGTTCTGAGGATTTCGTTGGAAACGGGATTACAAATAGAAAGTAGACAGCAGCATTCTCAGTAAACTGCTTTGTGATGTTTGCATTCAAGTCACTTAGTTGAACATTCCCTTTCATAGAGCAGGTTTGAATCACTGTTTCTGTAGTATCTGGAAGTGGGTATTTCGAGCGCTTTCAGGCCTAAGGTGAGAAAGGAAATGTCTTCAAATAAGAACTAGACAGAAGCATTCTCAGAAACTTATTTGTGATGTGTGTCCTCAACTAACAGAGATGAACCTTTGTTTTGATACAGCAGTTTGGAAACACTCTTTTTGTAGAATCTACAAGAGGATATTTTGAGAGCATTGAAAATTTCGTTGGAAGCGGGAAAACCTTCATATAAAATCTAGACAGCAGCATTCTCAGAAACTTCTTTGTGATGTTTGCATTCAACTCATAGAGTTGAACATTCCCATTCATACAGCAGGTTTGAGACACTCTTTGTATAGCATGTGGAAATGGATATTTGGAGCGCTTTGAGGCCTATGGTGAAGAAGGAAATATCTTCCCAAAAAAACTAGACGAAAGCATTCTCGGAATCTTGTTTGCCATGTGTGTACTCAACTAACAGAGTTGAACCTATCTTTTGACAGAGCAGTTTTGAAACACTCTTTTTGTGGAATCTGCAAGTGGATATTTGGATAGCTTCGAGGATTTCGTTGGAAACGGGAATATCCTCATTTAAAATCTAGACGGAAGCATTCTCAGAACCTGCTTTGTGATGTTTGCATTCAACTCACAGAGCTGACCATTCCCGTTCATAGAGCAGGTTTGAAACACTCTTTCTGTACTATCTGGAAGTGGACATTTCGAGCGCTTTCAGGCCTATGGTGAAAAAGGAAACATCTTCAAATAAAAACTAGACAGAAGCATTCTCAGAAACTTATTTGTGATGTGTGTCCTCAACTCACAGAGTTCAACCTTTGTTTTGATACAGCAGTTTGGAAACACTCTTTTTGTAGAATCTACAAATGGATATTTGGAGACCTTTGAAAATTTCGTTGGACACGGGAATATCTTCATATAAAATCTAGACAAAAGCATTCTCAGAATCTTCTTTGTGATGTTTGCATTCAACTCATAGAGTTGAACATTCCCTTTCATACAGCACGTTTGAAACACACTTTGTGGAGTATGTGGAAATGGACATTTCGAGCACTCTTAGGCCTAAGGTGAAAAGGGAAATATCTTCAAATAAAAACTAGTCAGCAGCATTCTCAGAAACCTCTTTGTGATGTGTGTACTCAACTAACAGAGTTGAACCTTCCTTTTCACAGAGCAGTTTGGAAACACTCTTTTTGTGGCATTTGCAAGTGGATATTTGGATAGCTTTGAGGATTTCGTTGGAAACGGGAATATTTTCATATAAAATCTAGACAGAAGCATTCTCAGAATCTTCTTTGTGATGTATGCCCTCAATTCACAGAGTTGAACCTTTGTTTGGATACAGCATTTTGGAAACATTCCTTTTGTAGAATCTGCAAGTTGATATTTGGATAGCTTTGAGGATTTCGTTGGAAACGGGAACATCTACATATAAAATCTAGACAGAAGCATTCTCAGAAACCTCTTTGTAATGCTTGCATTCAACTCATAGGTTTCAACATTCCCTATCATAGAGCAGGTTTGAAACACTCTTTTTGTAGTATGTGGAAGTGGACATTTGGAGCGCTTTGAGGCCTACGGTGAAAAAGGAAATATCTTCCCATAAAAACTAGACAGAAGCATTCTCAGAAACTTGTTTGTGACGTGTGTATTCAACTAACAGAGTTGAACCTTTCTTTTTACAGAGCAGCTTTGAAACACGCTTTTTGTGGAATCTGCAATTGGAAATTTCGATAGTTCTGAGGATTTCGTTGGAAACGGGATTACAAATAGAAAGTAGACAGCAGCATTCTCAGAAACTGCTTTGTGATGTTTGCATTCAAGTCACCTAGTTGAACATTCCCTTTCATAGAGCAGGTTTGAATCACTGTTTCTGTCGTATCTGGAAGTGGATATTTCGAGCGTTTTCAGGCCTAAGGTGAGAAAGGAAATGTCTTCAAATAAGAACTAGACAGAAGCATTCTCAGAAACTTATTTGTGATGTGTGTCCTCAACTAACAGAGTTGAACCTTTCTTTTGACACAGCAGTTTGGAAACACTCTTTTTGTAGAATCTACAAGTGGATATTTTGAGAGCATTGAAAATTTCGTTGGAAACGGGAAAACCTTCATATAAAATCTAGACAGAAGCATTCTCAGAAACTTCTTTGTAATGTTTGCATTCAACTCATAGAGTTGAACATTCCCTTTCATACAGCAGGTTTGAAACACTCTTTTTGTAGTATGTGGACGTGGACATTTGGAGCGCTTTGAGGCCTACGGTGAAAAAGGAAATATCTTCCCATAAAAACTAGACAGAAGCATTCTCAGAAACTTGTTTGTGACGTGTGTATTCAACTAACAGAGTTGAACCTTTCTTTTTACAGAGCAGCTTTGAAACCCTGTTTCTGTGGAATCTGCAATTGGAAATTTCGATAGTTCTGAGGATTTCGTTGGAAACGGGATTACAAATAGAAAGTAGACAGCAGCATTCTCAGAAACTGCTTTGTGATGTTTGCATTCAAGTCACCTAGTTGAACATTCCCTTTCATAGAGCAGGTTTGAATCACTGTTTCTGTAGTATCTGGAAGTGGGTATTTCGAGCGCTTTCAGGCCTAAGGTGAGAAAGGAAATGTCTTCAAATAAGAACTAGACAGAAGCATTCTCAGAAACTTATTTGTGATGTGTGTCCTCAACTAACAGAGATGAACCTTTGTTTTGATACAGCAGTTTGGAAACACTCTTTTTGTAGAATCTACAAGAGGATATTTTGAGAGCATTGAAAATTTCGTTGGAAGCGGGAAAACCTTCATATAAAATCTAGACAGCAGCATTCTCAGAAACTTCTTTGTGATGTTTGCATTCAACTCATAGAGTTGAACATTCCCATTCATACAGCAGGTTTGAGACACTCTTTGTATAGCATGTGGAAATGGATATTTGGAGCGCTTTGAGGCCTATGGTGAAGAAGGAAATATCTTCCCAAAAAAACTAGACGAAAGCATTCTCGGAATCTTGTTTGCCATGTGTGTACTCAACTAACAGAGTTGAACCTATCTTTTGACAGAGCAGTTTTGAAACACTCTTTTTGTGGAATCTGCAAGTGGATATTTGGATAGCTTCGAGGATTTCGTTGGAAACGGGAATATCCTCATTTAAAATCTAGACGGAAGCATTCTCAGAACCTGCTTTGTGATGTTTGCATTCAACTCACAGAGCTGAACATTCCCGTTCATAGAGCAGGTTTGAAACACTCTTTCTGTACTATCTGGAAGTGGACATTTCGAGCGCTTTCAGGCCTATGGTGAAAAAGGAAACATCTTCAAATAAAAACTAGACAGAAGTATTCTCAGAAACTTATTTGTGATGTGTGTCCTCAACTCACAGAGTTCAACCTTTGTTTTGATACAGCAGTTTGGAAACACTCTTTTTGTAGAATCTACAAATGGATATTTGGAGACCTTTGAAAATTTCGTTGGACACGGGAATATCTTCATATAAAATCTAGACAAAAGCATTCTCAGAATCTTCTTTGTGATGTTTGCATTCAACTCATAGAGTTGAACATTCCCTTTCATACAGCACGTTTGAAACACACTTTGTGGAGTATGTGGAAATGGACATTTCGAGCACTCTTAGGCCTAAGGTGAAAAGGGAAATATCTTCAAATAAAAACTAGTCAGCAGCATTCTCAGAAACCTCTTTATGATGTGTGTACTCAACTAACAGAGTTGAACCTTCCTTTTCACAGAGCAGTTTGGAAACACTCTTTTTGTGGCATTTGCAAGTGGATATTTGGATAGCTTTGAGGATTTCGTTGGAAACGGGAATATTTTCATATAAAATCTAGACAGAAGCATTCTCAGAATCTTCTTTGTGATGTATGCCCTCAATTCACAGAGTTGAACCTTTGTTTGGATACAGCATTTTGGAAACATTCCTTTTGTAGAATCTGCAAGTTGATATTTGGATAGTTTGAGGATTTCGTTGGAAACGGGAATATCTACATATAAAATCTAGACAGAAGCATTCTCAGAAACCTCTTTGTAATGCTTGCATTCAACTCATAGGTTTCAACATTCCCTATCATAGAGCAGGTTTGAAACACTCTTTTTGTAGTATGTGGAAGTGCACATTTGGAGCGCTTTGAGGCCTACGGTGAAAAAGGAAATATCTTCCCATAAAAACTAGACAGAAGCATTCTCAGAAACTTGTTTGTGACGTGTGTATTCAACTAACAGAGTTGAACCTTTCTTTTTACAGAGCAGCTTTGAAACACGCTTTTTGTGGAATCTGCAATTGGAAATTTCGATAGTTCTGAGGATTTCGTTGGAAACGGGATTACAAATAGAAAGTAGACAGCAGCATTCTCAGAAACTGCTTTGTGATGTTTGCATTCAAGTCACCTAGTTGAACATTCCCTTTCATAGAGCAGGTTTGAATCACTGTTTCTGTCGTATCTGGAAGTGGATATTTCGAGCGTTTTCAGGCCTAAGGTGAGAAAGGAAATGTCTTCAAATAAGAACTAGACAGAAGCATTCTCAGAAACTTATTTGTGATGTGTGTCCTCAACTAACAGAGTTGAACCTTTCTTTTGACACAGCAGTTTGGAAACACTCTTTTTGTAGAATCTACAAGTGGATATTTTGAGAGCATTGAAAATTTCGTTGGAAACGGGAAAACCTTCATATAAAATCTAGACAGAAGCATTCTCAGAAACTTCTTTGTAATGTTTGCATTCAACTCATAGAGTTGAACATTCCCTTTCATACAGCAGGTTTGAAACACTCTTTTTGTAGTATGTGGAAGTGGACATTTGGAGCGCTTTGAGGCCTACGGTGAAAAAGGAAATATCTTCCCATAAAAACTAGACAGAAGCATTCTCAGAAACTTGTTTGTGACGTGTGTATTCAACTAACAGAGTTGAACCTTTCTTTTTACAGAGCAGCTTTGAAAACCTGTTTCTGTGGAATCTGCAATTGGAAATTTCGATAGTTCTGAGGATTTCTTTGGAAACAGGATTACAAATAGAAAGTAGACAGCAGCATTCTCAGAAACTGCTTTGTGATGTTTGCATTCAAGTCACATAGTTGAACATTCCCTTTCATAGAGCAGGTTTGAATCACTGTTTCTGTAGTATCTGGAAGTGGGTATTTCGAGCGCTTTCAGGCCTAAGGTGAGAAAGGAAATGTCTTCAAATAAGAACTAGACAGAAGCATTCTCAGAAACTTATTTGTGATGTGTGTCCTCAACTAACAGAGATGAACCTTTGTTTTGATACAGCAGTTTGGAAACACTCTTTTTGTAGAATCTACAAGAGGATATTTTGAGAGCATTGAAAATTTCGTTGGAAGCGGGAAAACCTTCATATAAAATCTAGACAGCAGCATTCTCAGAAACTTCTTTGTGATGTTTGCATTCAACTCATAGAGTTGAACATTCCCATTCATACAGCAGGTTTGAGACACTCTTTGTATAGCATGTGGAAATGGATATTTGGAGCGCTTTGAGGCCTATGGTGAAGAAGGAAATATCTTCCCAAAAAAACTAGACGAAAGCATTCTCGCAATCTTGTTTGCCATGTGTGTACTCAACTAACAGAGTTGAACCTATCTTTTGACAGAGCAGTTTTGAAACACTCTTTTTGTGGAATCTGCAAGTGGATATTTGGATAGCTTCGAGGATTTCGTTGGAAACGGGAATATCCTCATTTAAAATCTAGACGGAAGCATTCTCAGAACCTGCTTTGTGATGTTTGCATTCAACTCACAGAGCTGAACATTCCCGTTCATAGAGCAGGTTTGAAACACTCTTTCTGTACTATCTGGAAGTGGACATTTCGAGCGCTTTCAGGCCTATGGTGAAAAAGGAAACATCTTCAAATAAAAACTAGACAGAAGCATTCTCAGAAACTTATTTGTGATGTGTGTCCTCAACTCACAGAGTTCAACCTTTGTTTTGATACAGCAGTTTGGAAACACTCTTTTTGTAGAATCTACAAATGGATATTTGGAGACCTTTGAAAATTTCATTGGACACGGGAATATCTTCATATAAAATCTAGACAAAAGCATTCTCAGAGTCTTCTTTGTGATGTTTGCATTCAACTCATAGAGTTGAACATTCCCTTTCATACAGCACGTTTGAAACACACTTTGTGGAGTATGTGGAAATGGACATTTCGAGCACTCTTAGGCCTAAGGTGAAAAGGGAAATATCTTCAAATAAAAACTAGTCAGCAGCATTCTCAGAAACCTCTTTGTGATGTGTGTACTCAACTAACAGAGTTGAACCTTCCTTTTCACAGAGCAGTTTGGAAACACTCTTTTTGTGGCATTTGCAAGTGGATATTTGGATAGCTTTGAGGATTTCGTTGGAAACGGGAATATTTTCATATAAAATCTAGACAGAAGCATTCTCAGAATCTTCTTTGTGATGTATTCCCTCAATTCACAGAGTTGAACCTTTGTTTGGATACAGCATTTTGGAAACATTCCTTTTGTAGAATCTGCAAGTTGATATTTGGATAGCTTTGAGGATTTCGTTGGAAACGGGAATATCTACATATAAAATCTAGACAGAAGCATTCTCAGAAACCTCTTTGTAATGTTTGCATTCAACTCATAGGTTTCAACATTCCCTATCATAGAGCAGGTTTGAAACACTCTTTTTGTAGTATGTGGAAGTGGACATTTGGAGCGCTTTGAGGCCTACGGTGAAAAAGGAAATATCTTCCCATAAAAACTAGACAGAAGCATTCTCAGAAACTTGTTTGTGACGTGTGTATTCAACTAACAGAGTTGAACCTTTCTTTTTACAGAGCAGCTTTGAAACCCTGTTTCTGTGGAATCTGCAATTGGAAATTTCGATAGTTCTGAGGATTTCGTTGGAAACGGGATTACAAATAGAAAGTAGACAGCAGCATTCTCAGAAACTGCTTTGTGATGTTTGCATTCAAGTCACATAGTTGAACATTCCCTTTCATAGAGCAGGTTTGAATCACTGTTTCTGTAGTATCTGGAAGTGGGTATTTCGAGCGCTTTCAGGCCTAAGGTGAGAAAGGAAATGTCTTCAAATAAGAACTAGACAGAAGCATTCTCAGAAACTTATTTGTGATGTGTGTCCTCAACTAACAGAGATGAACCTTTGTTTTGATACAGCAGTTTGGAAACACTCTTTTTGTCGAATCAACAAGAGGATATTTTGAGAGCATTGAAAATTTCGTTGGAAGCGGGAAAACCTTCATATAAAATCTAGACAGCAGCATTCTCAGAAACTTCTTTGTGATGTTTGCATTCAACTCATAGAGTTGAACATTCCCATTCATACAGCAGGTTTGAGACACTCTTTGTATAGCATGTGGAAATGGATATTTGGAGCGCTTTGAGGCCTATGGTGAAGAAGGAAATATCTTCCCAAAAAAACTAGACGAAAGCATTCTCGCAATCTTGTTTGCCATGTGTGTACTCAACTAACAGAGTTGAACCTATCTTTTGACAGAGCAGTTTTGAAACACTCGTTTTGTGGAATCTGCAAGTGGATATTTGGATAGCTTCGAGGATTTCGTTGGAAACGGGAATATCCTCATTTAAAATCTAGACGGAAGCATTCTCAGAACCTGCTTTGTGATGTTTGCATTCAACTCACAGAGCTGAACATTCCCGTTCATAGAGCAGGTTTGAAACACTCTTTCTGTACTATCTGGAAGTGGACATTTCGAGCGCTTTCAGGCCTATGGTGAAAAAGGAAACATCTTCAAATAAAAACTAGACAGAAGCATTCTCAGAAACTTATTTGTGATGTGTGTCCTCAACTCACAGAGTTCAACCTTTGTTTTGATACAGCAGTTTGGAAACACTCTTTTTGTAGAATCTACAAATGGATATTTGGAGACCTTTGAAAATTTCGTTGGACACGGGAATATCTTCATATAAAATCTAGACAAAAGCATTCTCAGAATCTTCTTTGTGATGTTTGCATTCAACTCATAGAGTTGAACATTCCCTTTCATACAGCACGTTTGAAACACACTTTGTGGAGTATGTGGAAATGGACATTTCGAGCACTCTTAGGCCTAAGGTGAAAAGGGAAATATCTTCAAATAAAAACTAGTCAGCAGCATTCTCAGAAACCTCTTTGTGATGTGTGTACTCAACTAACAGAGTTGAACCTTCCTTTTCACAGAGCAGTTTGGAAACACTCTTTTTGTGGCATTTGCAAGTGGATATTTGGATAGCTTTGAGGATTTCGTTGGAAACGGGAATATTTTCATATAAAATGCTAGACAGAAGCATTCTCAGGAATCTTCTTTGTGATGTATGCCCTCAATTCACAGAGTTGAACCTTTGTTTGGATACAGCATTTTGGAAACATTCCTTTTGTAGAATCTGCAAGTTGATATTTGGATAGCTTTGAGGATTTCGTTGGAAACGGGAATATCTACATATAAAATCTAGACAGAAGCATTCTCAGAAACCTCTTTGTAATGCTTGCATTCAACTCATAGGTTTCAACATTCCCTATCATAGAGCAGGTTTGAAACACTCTTTTTGTAGTATGTGGAAGTGGACATTTGGAGCGCTTTGAGGCCTACGGTGAAAAAGGAAATATCTTCCCATAAAAACTAGACAGAAGCATTCTCAGAAACTTGTTTGTGACGTGTGTATTCAACTAACAGAGTTGAACCTTTCTTTTTACAGAGCAGCTTTGAAACACGCTTTTTGTGGAATCTGCAATTGGAAATTTCGATAGTTCTGAGGATTTCGTTGGAAACGGGATTACAAATAGAAAGTAGACAGCAGCATTCTCAGAAACTGCTTTGTGATGTTTGCATTCAAGTCACATAGTTGAACATTCCCTTTCATAGAGCAGGTTTGAATCACTGTTTCTGTAGTATCTGGAAGTGGGTATTTCGAGCGCTTTCAGGCCTAAGGTGAGAAAGGAAATGTCTTCAAATAAGAACTAGACAGAAGCATTCTCAGAAACTTATTTGTGATGTGTGTCCTCAACTAACAGAGATGAACCTTTGTTTTGATACAGCAGTTTGGAAACACTCTTTTTGTAGAATCTACAAGAGGATATTTTGAGAGCATTGAAAATTTCGTTGGAAGCGGGAAAACCTTCATATAAAATCTAGACAGCAGCATTCTCAGAAACTTCTTTGTGATGTTTGCATTCAACTCATAGAGTTGAACATTTCTTTTCATACAGCAGGTTTGAGACACTCTTTGTATAGTATGTGGAAATGGATATTTGGAGCACTTTGAGGCCTATGGTGAAGAAGGAAATATCTTCCCAAAAAAACTAGACGAAAGCATTCTCGGAATCTTGTTTGCCATGTGTGTACTCAACTAACAGAGTTGAACCTATCTTTTGACAGAGCAGTTTTGAAACACTCTTTTTGTGGAATCTGCAAGTGGATATTTGGATAGCTTCGAGGATTTCGTTGGAAACGGGAATATCCTCATTTAAAATCCAGACGGAAGCATTCTCAGAACCTGCTTTGTGATGTTTGCATTCAACTCACAGAGCTGAACATTCCCGTTCATAGAGCAGGTTTGAAACACTCTTTCTGTACTATCTGGAAGTGGACATTTCGAGCGCTTTCAGGCCTATGGTGAAAAAGGAAACATCTTCAAATAAAAACTAGACAGAAGCATTCTCAGAAACTTATTTGTGATGTGTGTCCTCAACTCACAGAGTTCAACCTTTGTTTTGATACAGCAGTTTGGAAACACTCTTTTTGTAGAATCTACAAATGGATATTTGGAGACCTTTGAAAATTTCGTTGGACACGGGAATATCTTCATATAAAATCTAGACAAAAGCATTCTCAGAATCTTCTTTGTGATGTTTGCATTCAACTCATAGAGTTGAACATTCCCTTTCATACAGCACGTTTGAAACACACTTTGTGGAGTATGTGGAAATGGACATTTCGAGCACTCTTAGGCCTAAGGTGAAAAGGGAAATATCTTCAAATAAAAACTAGTCAGCAGCATTCTCAGAAACCTCTTTGTGATGTGTGTACTCAACTAACAGAGTTGAACCTTCCTTTTCACAGAGCAGTTTGGAAACACTCTTTTTGTGGCATTTGCAAGTGGATATTTGGATAGCTTTGAGGATTTCGTTGGAAACGGGAATATTTTCATATAAAATCTAGACAGAAGCATTCTCAGAATCTTCTTTGTGATGTATGCCCTCAATTCACAGAGTTGAACCTTTGTTTGGATACAGCATTTTGGAAACATTCCTTTTGTAGAATCTGCAAGTTGATATTTGGATAGCTTTGAGGATTTCGTTGGAAACGGGAATATCTACATATAAAATCTAGACAGAAGCATTCTCAGAAACCTCTTTGTAATGCTTGCATTCAACTCATAGGTTTCAACATTCCCTATCATAGAGCAGGTTTGAAACACTCTTTTTGTAGTATGTGGAAGTGGACATTTGGAGCGCTTTGAGGCCTACGGTGAAAAAGGAAATATCTTCCCATAAAAACTAGACAGAAGCATTCTCAGAAACTTGTTTGTGACGTGTGTATTCAACTAACAGAGTTGAACCTTTCTTTTTACAGAGCAGCTTTGAAACCCTGTTTCTGTGGAATCTGCAATTGGAAATTTCGATAGTTCTGAGGATTTCGTTGGAAACGGGATTACAAATAGAAAGTAGACAGCAGCATTCTCAGAAACTGCTTTGTGATGTTTGCATTCAAGTCACATAGTTGAACATTCCCTTTCATAGAGCAGGTTTGAATCACTGTTTCTGTAGTATCTGGAAGTGGGTATTTCGAGCGCTTTCAGGCCTAAGGTGAGAAAGGAAATGTCTTCAAATAAGAACTAGACAGAAGCATTCTCAGAAACTTATTTGTGATGTGTGTCCTCAACTAACAGAGATGAACCTTTGTTTTGATACAGCAGTTTGGAAACACTCTTTTTGTAGAATCTACAAGAGGATATTTTGAGAGCATTGAAAATTTCGTTGGAAGCGGGAAAATCTTCATATAAAATCTAGACAGCAGCATTCTCAGAAACTTCTTTGTGATGTTTGCATTCAACTCATAGAGTTGAACATTCCCATTCATACAGCAGGTTTGAGACACTCTTTGTATAGCATTTGGAAATGGATATTTGGAGCGCTTTGAGGCCTATGGTGAAGAAGGAAATATCTTCCCAAAAAAACTAGACGAAAGCATTCTCGGAATCTTGTTTGCCATGTGTGTACTCAACTAACAGAGTTGAACCTATCTTTTGACAGAGCAGTTTTGAAACACTCTTTTTGTGGAATCTGCAAGTGGATATTTGGATAGCTTCGAGGATTTCGTTGGAAACGGGAATATCCTCATTTAAAATCTAGACGGAAGCATTCTCAGAACCTGCTTTGTGATGTTTGCATTCAACTCACAGAGCTGAACATTCCCGTTCATAGAGCAGGTTTGAAACACTCTTTCTGTACTATCTGGAAGTGGACATTTCGAGCGCTTTCAGGCCTATGGTGAAAAAGGAAACATCTTCAAATAAAAACTAGACAGAAGCATTCTCAGAAACTTATTTGTGATGTGTGTCCTCAACTCACAGAGTTCAACCTTTGTTTTGATACAGCAGTTTGGAAACACTCTTTTTGTAGAATCTACAAATGGATATTTGGAGACCTTTGAAAATTTCGTTGGACACGGGAATATCTTCATATAAAATCTAGACAAAAGCATTCTCAGAATCTTCTTTGTGATGTTTGCATTCAACTCATAGAGTTGAACATTCCCTTTCATACAGCACGTTTGAAACACACTTTGTGGAGTATGTGGAAATGGACATTTCGAGCACTCTTAGGCCTAAGGTGAAAAGGGAAATATCTTCAAATAAAAACTAGTCAGCAGCATTCTCAGAAACCTCTTTGTGATGTGTGTACTCAACTAACAGAGTTGAACCTTCCTTTTCACAGAGCAGTTTGGAAACACTCTTTTTGTGGCATTTGCAAGTGGATATTTGGATAGCTTTGAGGATTTCGTTGGAAACGGGAATATTTTCATATAAAATCTAGACAGAAGCATTCTCAGAATCTTCTTTGTGATGTATGCCCTCAATTCACAGAGTTGAACCTTTGTTTGGATACAGCATTTTGGAAACATTCCTTTTGCAGAATCTGCAAGCTGATATTTGGATAGCTTTGAGGATTTCGTTGGAAACGGGAATATCTACATATAAAATCTAGACAGAAGCATTCTCAGAAACCTCTTTGTAATGCTTGCATTCAACTCATAGGTTTCAACATTCCCTATCATAGAGCAGGTTTGAAACACTCTTTTTGTAGTATGTGGAAGTGGACATTTGGAGCGCTTTGAGGCCTACGGTGAAAAAGGAAATATCTTCCCATAAAAACTAGACAGAAGCATTCTCAGAAACTTGTTTGTGACGTGTGTATTCAACTAACAGAGTTGAACCTTTCTTTTTACAGAGCAGCTTTGAAACACGCTTTTTGTGGAATCTGCAATTGGAAATTTCGATAGTTCTGAGGATTTCGTTGGAAACGGGATTACAAATAGAAAGTAGACAGCAGCATTCTCAGAAACTGCTTTCTGATGTTTGCATTCAAGTCACCTAGTTGAACATTCCCTTTCATAGAGCAGGTTTGAATCACTGTTTCTGTCGTATCTGGAAGTGGATATTTCGAGCGTTTTCAGGCCTAAGGTGAGAAAGGAAATGTCTTCAAATAAGAACTAGACAGAAGCATTCTCAGAAACTTATTTGTGATGTGTGTCCTCAACTAACAGAGATGAACCTTTGTTTTGATACAGCAGTTTGGAAACACTCTTTTTGTAGAATCTACAAGAGGATATTTTGAGAGCATTGAAAATTTCGTTGGAAGCGGGAAAACCTTCATATAAAATCTAGACAGCAGCATTCTCAGAAACTTCTTTGTGATGTTTGCATTCAACTCATAGAGTTGAACATTCCCTTTCATACAGCAGGTTTGAAACACTCTTTTTGTAGTATGTGGAAGTGGACATTTGGAGCGCTTTGAGGCCTACGGTGAAAAAGGAAATATCTTCCCATAAAAACTAGACAGAAGCATTCTCAGAAACTTGTTTGTGACGTGTGTATTCAACTAACAGAGTTGAACCTTTCTTTTTACAGAGCAGCTTTGAAACCCTGTTTCTGTGGAATCTGCAATTGGAAATTTCGATAGTTCTGAGGATTTCGTTGGAAACGGGATTACAAATAGAAAGTAGACAGCAGCATTCTCAGAAACTGCTTTGTGATGTTTGCATTCAAGTCACATAGTTGAACATTCCCTTTCATAGAGCAGGTTTGAATCACTGTTTCTGTAGTATCTGGAAGTGGGTATTTCGAGCGCTTTCAGGCCTAAGGTGAGAAAGGAAATGTCTTCAAATAAGAACTAGACAGAAGCATTCTCAGAAACTTATTTGTGATGTGTGTCCTCAACTAACAGAGATGAACCTTTGTTTTGATACAGCAGTTTGGAAACACTCTTTTTGTAGAATCTACAAGAGGATATTTTGAGAGCATTGAAAATTTCGTTGGAAGCGGGAAAGCCTTCATATAAAATCTAGACAGCAGCATTCTCTGAAACTTCTTTGTGATGTTTGCATTCAACTCATAGAGTTGAACATTCCCATTCATACAGCAGGTTTGAGACACTCTTTGTATAGCATGTGGAAATGGATATTTGGAGCGCTTTGAGGCCTATGGTGAAGAAGGAAATATCTTCCCAAAAAAACTAGACGAAAGCATTCTCGGAATCTTGTTTGCCATGTGTGTACTCAACTAACAGAGTTGAACCTATCCTTTGACAAAGCAGTTTTGAAACACTCTTTTTGTGGAATCTGCAAGTGGATATTTGGATAGCTTCGAGGATTTCGTTGGAAACGGGAATATCCTCATTTAAAATCTAGACGGAAGCATTCTCAGAACCTGCTTTGTGATGTTTGCATTCAACTCACAGAGCTGAACATTCCCGTTCATAGAGCAGGTTTGAAACACTCTTTCTGTACTATCTGGAAGTGGACATTTCGAGCGCTTTCAGGCCTATGGTGAAAAAGGAAACATCTTCAAATAAAAACTAGACAGAAAGCATTCTCAGAAACTTATTTGTGATGTGTGTCCTCAACTCACAGAGTTCAACCTTTGTTTTGATACAGCAGTTTGGAAACACTCTTTTTGTAGAATCTACAAATGGATATTTGGAGACCTTTGAAAATTTCGTTGGACACGGGAATATCTTCATATAAAATCTAGACAAAGCATTCTCAGAATCTTCTTTGTGATGTTTGCATTCAACTCATAGAGTTGAACATTCCCTTTCATACAGCACGTTTGAAACACACTTTGTGGAGTATGTGGAAATGGACATTTCGAGCACTCTTAGGCCTAAGGTGAAAAGGGAAATATCTTCAAATAAAAACTAGTCAGCAGCATTCTCAGAAACCTCTTTGTGATGTGTGTACTCAACTAACAGAGTTGAACCTTCCTTTTCACAGAGCAGTTTGGAAACACTCTTTTTGTGGCATTTGCAAGTGGATATTTGGATAGCTTTGAGGATTTCGTTGGAAACGGGAATATTTTCATATAAAATCTAGACAGAAGCATTCTCAGAATCTTCTTTGTGATGTATGCCCTCAATTCACAGAGTTGAACCTTTGTTTGGATACAGCATTTTGGAAACATTCCTTTTGTAGAATCTGCAAGTTGATATTTGGATAGCTTTGAGGATTTCGTTGGAAACGGGAATATCTACATATAAAATCTAGACAGAAGCATTCTCAGAAACCTCTTTGTAATGCTTGCATTCAACTCATAGGTTTCAACATTCCCTATCATAGAGCAGGTTTGAAACACTCTTTTTGTAGTATGTGGAAGTGGACATTTGGAGCGCTTTGAGGCCTACGGTGAAAAAGGAAATATCTTCCCATAAAAACTAGACAGAAGCATTCTCAGAAACTTGTTTGTGACGTGTGTATTCAACTAACAGAGTTGAACCTTTCTTTTTACAGAGCAGCTTTGAAACACGCTTTTTGTGGAATCTGCAATTGGAAATTTCGATAGTTCTGAGGATTTCGTTGGAAACGGGATTACAAATAGAAAGTAGACAGCAGCATTCTCAGAAACTGCTTTGTGATGTTTGCATTCAAGTCACCTAGTTGAACATTCCCTTTCATAGAGCAGGTTTGAATCACTGTTTCTGTCGTATCTGGAAGTGGATATTTCGAGCGTTTTCAGGCCTAAGGTGAGAAAGGAAATGTCTTCAAATAAGAACTAGACAGAAGCATTCTCAGAAACTTATTTGTGATGTGTGTCCTCAACTAACAGAGTTGAACCTTTCTTTTGACACAGCAGTTTGGAAACACTCTTTTTGTAGAATCTACAAGTGGATATTTTGAGAGCATTGAAAATTTCGTTGGAAACGGGAAAACCTTCATATAAAATGCTAGACAGAAGCATTCTCAGAAACTTCTTTGTAATGTTTGCATTCAACTCATAGAGTTGAACATTCCCTTTCATACAGCAGGTTTGAAACACTCTTTTTGTAGTATGTGGACGTGGACATTTGGAGCGCTTTGAGGCCTACGGTGAAAAAGGAAATATCTTCCCATAAAAACTAGACAGAAGCATTCTCAGAAACTTGTTTGTGACGTGTGTATTCAACTAACAGAGTTGAACCTTTCTTTTTACAGAGCAGCTTTGAAACCCTGTTTCTGTGGAATCTGCAATTGGAAATTTCGATAGTTCTGAGGATTTCGTTGGAAACGGGATTACAAATAGAAAGTAGACAGCAGCATTCTCAGAAACTGCTTTGTGATGTTTGCATTCAAGTCACTTAGTTGAACATTCCCTTTCATAGAGCAGGTTTGAATCACTGTTTCTGTAGTATCTGGAAGTGGGTATTTCGAGCGCTTTCAGGCCTAAGGTGAGAAAGGAAATGTCTTCAAATAAGAACTAGACAGAAGCATTCTCAGAAACTTATTTGTGATGTGTGTCCTCAACTAACAGAGATGAACCTTTGTTTTGATACAGCAGTTTGGAAACACTCTTTTTGTAGAATCTACAAGAGGATATTTTGAGAGCATTGAAAATTTCGTTGGAAGCGGGAAAACCTTCATATAAAATCTAGACAGCAGCATTCTCAGAAACTTCTTTGTGATGTTTGCATTCAACTCATAGAGTTGAACATTCCCATTCATACAGCAGGTTTGAGACACTCTTTGTATAGCATGTGGAAATGGATATTTGGAGCGCTTTGAGGCCTATGGTGAAGAAGGAAATATCTTCCCAAAAAAACTAGACGAAAGCATTCTCGGAATCTTGTTTGCCATGTGTGTACTCAACTAACAGAGTTGAACCTATCTTTTGACAGAGCAGTTTTGAAACACTCGTTTTGTGGAATCTGCAAGTGGATATTTGGATAGCTTCGAGGATTTCGTTGGAAACGGGAATATCCTCATTTAAAATCTAGACGGAAGCATTCTCAGAACCTGCTTTGTGATGTTTGCATTCAACTCACAGAGCTGAACATTCCCGTTCATAGAGCAGGTTTGAAACACTCTTTCTGTACTATCTGGAAGTGGACATTTCGAGCGCTTTCAGGCCTATGGTGAAAAAGGAAACATCTTCAAATAAAAACTAGACAGAAGCATTCTCAGAAACTTATTTGTGATGTGTGTCCTCAACTCACAGAGTTCAACCTTTGTTTTGATACAGCAGTTTGGAAACACTCTTTTTGTAGAATCTACAAATGGATATTTGGAGACCTTTGAAAATTTCGTTGGACACGGGAATATCTTCATATAAAATCTAGACAAAAGCATTCTCAGAATCTTCTTTGTGATGTTTGCATTCAACTCATAGAGTTGAACATTCCCTTTCATACAGCACGTTTGAAACACACTTTGTGGAGTATGTGGAAATGGACATTTCGAGCACTCTTAGGCCTAAGGTGAAAAGGGAAATATCTTCAAATAAAAACTAGTCAGCAGCATTCTCAGAAACCTCTTTGTGATGTGTGTACTCAACTAACAGAGTTGAACCTTCCTTTTCACAGAGCAGTTTGGAAACACTCTTTTTGTGGCATTTGCAAGTGGATATTTGGATAGCTTTGAGGATTTCGTTGGAAACGGGAATATTTTCATATAAAATCTAGACAGAAGCATTCTCAGAATCTTCTTTGTGATGTATGCCCTCAATTCACAGAGTTGAACCTTTGTTTGGATACAGCATTTTGGAAACATTCCTTTTGTAGAATCTGCAAGTTGATATTTGGATAGTTTGAGGATTTCGTTGGAAACGGGAATATCTACATATAAAATCTAGACAGAAGCATTCTCAGAAACCTCTTTGGAATGCTTGCATTCAACTCATAGGTTTCAACATTCCCTATCATAGAGCAGGTTTGAAACACTCTTTTTGTAGTATGTGGAAGTGGACATTTGGAGCGCTTTGAGGCCTACGGTGAAAAAGGAAATATCTTCCCATAAAAACTAGACAGAAGCATTCTCAGAAACTTGTTTGTGACGTGTGTATTCAACTAACAGAGTTGAACCTTTCTTTTTACAGAGCAGCTTTGAAACACGCTTTTTGTGGAATCTGCAATTGGAAATTTCGATAGTTCTGAGGATTTCGTTGGAAACGGGATTACAAATAGAAAGTAGACAGCAGCATTCTCAGCAAACTGCTTTGTGATGTTTGCATTCAAGTCACCTAGTTGAACATTCCCTTTCATAGAGCAGGTTTGAATCACAGTTTCTGTCGTATCTGGAAGTGGATATTTCGAGCGCTTTCAGGCCTAAGGTGAGAAAGGAAATGTCTTCAAATAAGAACTAGACAGAAGCATTCTCAGAAACTTATTTGTGATGTGTGTCCTCAACTAACAGAGATGAACCTTTGTTTTGATACAGCAGTTTGGAAACACTCTTTTTGTAGAAGCTACAAGAGGATATTTTGAGAGCATTGAAAATTTCGTTGGAAGCGGGAAAACCTTCATATAAAATCTAGACAGCAGCATTCTCAGAAACTTCTTTGTGATGTTTGCATTCAACTCATAGAGTTGAACATTCCCATTCATACAGCAGGTTTGAGACACTCTTTGTATAGCATGTGGAAATGGATATTTGGAGCGCTTTGAGGCCTATGGTGAAGAAGGAAATATCTTCCCAAAAAAACTAGACGAAAGCATTCTCGCAATCTTGTTTGCCATGTGTGTACTCAACTAACAGAGTTGAACCTATCTTTTGACAGAGCAGTTTTGAAACACTCTTTTTGTGGAATCTGCAAGTGGATATTTGGATAGCTTCGAGGATTTCGTTGGAAACGGGAATATCCTCATTTAAAATCTAGACGGAAGCATTCTCGGAACCTGCTTTGTGATGTTTGCATTCAACTCACAGAGCTGAACATTCCCGTTCATAGAGCAGGTTTGAAACACTCTTTCTGTACTATCTGGAAGTGGACATTTCGAGCGCTTTCAGGCCTATGGTGAAAAAGGAAACATCTTCAAATAAAAACTAGACAGAAGCATTCTCAGAAACTTATTTGTGATGTGTGTCCTCAACTCACAGAGTTCAACCTTTGTTTTGATACAGCAGTTTGGAAACACTCTTTTTGTAGAATCTACAAATGGATATTTGGAGACCTTTGAAAATTTCATTGGACACGGGAATATCTTCATATAAAATCTAGACAAAAGCATTCTCAGAGTCTTCTTTGTGATGTTTGCATTCAACTCATAGAGTTGAACATTCCCTTTCATACAGCACGTTTGAAACACACTTTGTGGAGTATGTGGAAATGGACATTTCGAGCACTCTTAGGCCTAAGGTGAAAAGGGAAATATCTTCAAATAAAAACTAGTCAGCAGCATTCTCAGAAACCTCTTTGTGATGTGTGTACTCAACTAACAGAGTTGAACCTTCCTTTTCACAGAGCAGTTTCGAAACACTCTTTTTGTGGCATTTGCAAGTGGATATTTGGATAGCTTTGAGGATTTCGTTGGAAACGGGAATATTTTCATATAAAATCTAGACAGAAGCATTCTCAGAATCTTCTTTGTGATGTATGCCCTCAATTCACAGAGTTGAACCTTTGTTTGGATACAGCATTTTGGAAACATTCCTTTTGTAGAATCTGCAAGTTGATATTTGGATAGCTTTGAGGATTTCGTTGGAAACGGGAATATCTACATATAAAATCTAGACAGAAGCATTCTCAGAAACCCCTTTGTAATGCTTGCATTCAACTCATAGGTTTCAACATTCCCTATCATAGAGCAGGTTTGAAACACTCTTTTTGTAGTATGTGGAAGTGGACATTTGGAGCGCTTTGAGGCCTACCGTGAAAAAGGAAATATCTTCCCATAAAAACTAGACAGAAGCATTCTCAGAAACTTGTTTCTGACGTGTGTATTCAACTAACAGAGTTGAACTTTTCTTTTTACAGAGCAGCTTGGAAACACGCTTTTTGTGGAATCTGCAATTGGAAATTTTGATAGTTCTGAGGATTTCGTTGGAAACCGGATTACAAATAGAAAGTAGACAGCAGCATTCTCAGAAACTGCTTTGTGATGTTTGCATTCAAGTCACCTAGTTGAACATTCCCTTTCATAGAGCAGGTTTGAATCACTCTTTCTGTCGTATCTGGAAGTGGATATTTCGAGCGTTTTCAGGCCTAAGGTGAGAAAGGAAATGTCTTCAAATAAGAACTAGACAGAAGCATTCTCAGAAACTTATTTGTGATGTGTGTCCTCAACTAACAGAGTTGAACCTTTCTTTTGACACAGCAGTTTGGAAACACTCTTTTTGTAGAATCTACAAGTGGATATTTTGAGAGCATTGAAAATTTCGTTGGAAACGGGAAAACCTTCATATAAAATCTAGACAGAAGCATTCTCAGAAACTTCTTTGTAATGTTTGCATTCGACTCATAGAGTTGAACATTCCCTTTCATACAGCAGGTTTGAAACACTCTTTTTGTAGTATGTGGAAGTGGACATTTGGAGCGCTTTGAGGCCTACGGTGAAAAAGGAAATATCTTCCCATAAAAACTAGACAGAAGCATTCTCAGAAACTTGTTTGTGACGTGTGTATTCAACTAACAGAGTTGAACCTTTCTTTTTACAGAGCAGCTTTGAAACCCTGTTTCTGTGGAATCTGCAATTGGAAATTTCGATAGTTCTGAGGATTTCGTTGCAAACGGGATTACAAATAGAAAGTAGACAGCAGCATTCTCAGAAACTGCTTTGTGATGTTTGCATTCAAGTCACATAGTTGAACATTCCCTTTCATAGAGCAGGTTTGAATCACTGTTTCTGTAGTATCTGGAAGTGGGTATTTCGAGCGCTTTCAGGCCTAAGGTGAGAAAGGAAATGTCTTCAAATAAGAACTAGACAGAAGCATTCTCAGAAACTTATTTGTGATGTGTGTCCTCAACTAACAGAGATGAACCTTTGTTTTGATACAGCAGTTTGGAAACACTCTTTTTGTAGAATCTACAAGAGGATATTTTGAGAGCATTGAAAATTTCGTTGGAAGCGGGAAAACCTTCATATAAAATCTAGACAGCAGCATTCTCAGAAACTTCTTTGTGATGTTTGCATTCAACTCATAGAGTTGAACATTCCCATTCATACAGCAGGTTTGAGACACTCTTTGTATAGCATGTGGAAATGGATATTTGGAGCGCTTTGAGGCCTATGGTGAAGAAGGAAATATCTTCCCAAAAAAACTAGACGAAAGCATTCTCGGAATCTTGTTTGCCATGTGTGTACTCAACTAACAGAGTTGAACCTATCTTTTGACAGAGCAGTTTTGAAACACTCTTTTTGTGGAATCTGCAAGTGGATATTTGGATAGCTTCGAGGATTTCGTTGGAAACGGGAATATCCTCATTTAAAATCTAGACGGAAGCATTCTCAGAACCTGCTTTGTGATGTTTGCATTCAACTCACAGAGCTGAACATTCCCGTTCATAGAGCAGGTTTGAAACACTCTTTCTGTACTATCTGGAAGTGGACATTTCGAGCGCTTTCAGGCCTATGGTGAAAAAGGAAACA
Source organism: Homo sapiens (assembly GCF_000001405.40). Classification (NCBI taxonomy): domain Eukaryota; kingdom Metazoa; phylum Chordata; class Mammalia; order Primates; family Hominidae; genus Homo; species Homo sapiens. The sequence continues at coordinate 19,165,729 of NC_000015.10, forward strand.
TCTTCAAATAAAAACTAGACAGAAGCATTCTCAGAAACTTATTTGTGATGTGTGTCCTCAACTCACAGAGTTCAACCTTTGTTTTGATACAGCAGTTTGGAAACACTCTTTTTGTAGAATCTACAAATGGATATTTGGAGACCTTTGAAAATTTCGTTGGACACGGGAATATCTTCATATAAAATCTAGACAGAAGCATTCTCAGAATCTTCTTTGTGATGTTTGCATTCAACTCATAGATTTGAACATTCCCTTTCATACAGCACGTTTGAAACACACTTTGTGGAGTATGTGGAAATGGACATTTCGAGCACTCTTAGGCCTAAGGTGAAAAGGGAAATATCTTCAAATAAAAACTAGTCAGCAGCATTCTCAGAAACCTCTTTGTGATGTGTGTACTCAACTAACAGAGTTGAACCTTCCTTTTCACAGAGCAGTTTGGAAACACTCTTTTTGTGGCATTTGCAAGTGGATATTTGGATAGCTTTGAGGATTTCGTTGGAAACGGGAATATTTTCATATAAAATCTAGACAGAAGCATTCTCAGAATCTTCTTTGTGATGTATGCCCTCAATTCACAGAGTTGAACCTTTGTTTGGATACAGCATTTTGGAAACATTCCTTTTGTAGAATCTGCAAGTTGATATTTGGATAGCTTTGAGGATTTCCTTGGAAACGGAAATATCTACATATAAAATCTAGACAGAAGCATTCTCAGAAACCTCTTTGTAATGCTTGCATTCAACTCATAGGTTTCAACATTCCCTATCATAGAGCAGGTTTGAAACACTCTTTTTGTAGTATGTGGAAGTGGACATTTGGAGCGCTTTGAGGCCTACCGTGAAAAAGGAAATATCTTCCCATAAAAACTAGACAGAAGCATTCTCAGAAACTTGTTTGTGACGTGTGTATTCAACTAACAGAGTTGAACCTTTCTTTTTACAGAGCAGCTTTGAAACACGCTTTTTGTGGAATCTGCAATTGGAAATTTCGATAGTTCTGAGGATTTCGTTGGAAACGGGATTACAAATAGAAAGTAGACAGCAGCATTCTCAGAAACTGCTTTGTGATGTTTGCATTCAAGTCACCTAGTTGAACATTCCCTTTCATAGAGCAGGTTTGAATCACTGTTTCTGTCGTATCTGGAAGTGGATATTTCGAGCGTTTTCAGGCCTAAGGTGAGAAAGGAAATGTCTTCAAATAAGAACTAGACAGAAGCATTCTCAGAAACTTATTTGTGATGTGTGTCCTCAACTAACAGAGTTGAACCTTTCTTTTGACACAGCAGTTTGGAAACACTCTTTTTGTAGAATCAACAAGTGGATATTTTGAGAGCATTGAAAATTTCGTTGGAAACGGGAAAATCTTCATATAAAATCTAGACAGAAGCATTCTCAGAAACTTCTTTGTAATGTTTGCATTCAACTCATAGAGTTGAACATTCCCTTTCATACAGCAGGTTTGAAACACTCTTTTTGTAGTATGTGGAAGTGGACATTTGGAGCGCTTTGTGGCCTACGGTGAAAAAGGAAATATCTTCCCATAAAAACTAGACAGAAGCATTCTCAGAAACTTGTTTGTGACGTGTGTATTCAACTAACAGAGTTGAACCTTTCTTTTTACAGAGCAGCTTTGAAACACGCTTTTTGTGGAATCTGCAATTGGAAATTTCGATAGTTCTGAGGATTTCGTTGGAAACGGGATTACAAATAGAAAGTAGACAGCAGCATTCTCAGAAACTACTTTGTGATGTTTGCATTCAAGTCACCTAGTTGAACATTCCCTTTCATAGAGCAGGTTTGAATCACTGTTTCTGTCGTATCTGGAAGTGGATATTTCGAGCGTTTTCAGGCCTAAGGTGAGAAAGGAAATGTCTTCAAATAAGAACTAGACAGAAGCATTCTCAGAAACTTATTTGTGATGTGTGTCCTCAACTAACAGAGATGAACCTTTGTTTTGATACAGCAGTTTGGAAACACTCTTTTTGTAGAATCTACAAGAGGATATTTTGAGAGCATTGAAAATTTCGTTGGAAGCGGGAAAACCTTCATATAAAATCTAGACAGCAGCATTCTCAGAAACTTCTTTGTGATGTTTGCATTCAACTCATAGAGTTGAACATTCCCATTCATACAGCAGGTTTGAGACACTCTTTGTATAGCATGTGGAAATGGATATTTGGAGCGCTTTGAGGCCTATGGTGAAGAAGGAAATATCTTCCCAAAAAAACTAGACGAAAGCATTCTCGGAATCTTGTTTGCCATGTGTGTACTCAACTAACAGAGTTGAACCTATCTTTTGACAGAGCAGTTTTGAAACACTCTTTTTGTGGAATCTGCAAGTGGATATTTGGATAGCTTCGAGGATTTCGTTGGAAACGGGAATATCCTCATTTAAAATCTAGACGGAAGCATTCTCAGAACCTGCTTTGTGATGTTTGCATTCAACTCACAGAGCTGAACATTCCCGTTCATAGAGCAGGTTTGAAACACTCTTTCTGTACTATCTGGAAGTGGACATTTCGAGCGCTTTCAGGCCTATGGTGAAAAAGGAAACATCTTCAAATAAAAACTAGACAGAAGCATTCTCAGAAACTTATTTGTGATGTGTGTCCTCAACTCACAGAGTTCAACCTTTGTTTTGATACAGCAGTTTGGAAACACTCTTTTTGTAGAATCTACAAATGGATATTTGGAGACCTTTGAAAATTTCGTTGGACACCGGGAATATCTTCATATAAAATCTAGACAAAAGCATTCTCAGAGTCTTCTTTGTGATGTTTGCATTCAACTCATAGAGTTGAACATTCCCTTTCATACAGCACGTTTGAAACACACTTTGTGGAGTATGTGGAAATGGACATTTCGAGCACTCTTAGGCCTAAGGAGAAAAGGGAAATATCTTCAAATAAAAACTAGTCAGCAGCATTCTCAGAAACCTCTTTGTGATGTGTGTACTCAACTAACAGAGTTGAACCTTCCTTTTCACAGAGCAGTTTGGAAACACTCTTTTTGTGGCATTTGCAAGTGGATATTTGGATAGCTTTGAGGATTTCGTTGGAAACGGGAATATTTTCATATAAAATCTAGACAGAAGCATTCTCAGAATCTTCTTTGTGATGTATGCCCTCAATTCACAGAGTTGAACCTTTGTTTGGATACAGCATTTTGGAAACATTCCTTTTGTAGAATCTGCAAGTTGATATTTGGATAGCTTTGAGGATTTCGTTGGAAACGGGAATATCTACATATAAAATCTAGACAGAAGCATTCTCAGAAACCTCTTTGTAATGCTTGCATTCAACTCATAGGTTTCAACATTCCCTATCATAGAGCAGGTTTGAAACACTCTTTTTGTAGTATGTGGAAGTGGACATTTGGAGCGCTTTGAGGCCTACGGTGAAAAAGGAAATATCTTCCCATAAAAACTAGACAGAAGCATTCTCAGAAACTTGTTTGTGACGTGTGTATTCAACTAACAGAGTTGAACCTTTCTTTTTACAGAGCAGCTTTGAAACACGCTTTTTGTGGAATCTGCAATTGGAAATTTCGATAGTTCTGAGGATTTCGTTGGAAACGGGATTACAAATAGAAAGTAGACAGCAGCATTCTCAGAAACTGCTTTGTGATGTTTGCATTCAAGTCACCTAGTTGAACATTCCCTTTCATAGAGCAGGTTTGAATCACTGTTTCTGTCGTATCTGGAAGTGGATATTTCGAGCGTTTTCAGGCCTAAGGTGAGAAAGGAAATGTCTTCAAATAAGAACTAGACAGAAGCATTCTCAGAAACTTATTTGTGATGTGTGTCCTCAACTAACAGAGTTGAACCTTTCTTTTGACACAGCAGTTTGGAAACACTCGTTTTGTAGAATCTACAAGTGGATATTTTGAGAGCATTGAAAATTTCGTTGGAAACGGGAAAACCTTCATATAAAATCTAGACAGAAGCATTCTCAGAAACTTCTTTGTAATGTTTGCATTCAACTCATAGAGTTGAACATTCCCTTTCATACAGCAGGTTTGAAACACTCTTTTTGTAGTATGTGGAAGTGGACATTTGGAGCGCTTTGAGGCCTACGGTGAAAAAGGAAATATCTTCCCATAAAAACTAGACAGAAGCATTCTCAGAAACCTGTTTGTGACGTGTGTATTCAACTAACAGAGTTGAACCTTTCTTTTTACAGAGCAGCTTTGAAACCCTGTTTGTGTGGAATCTGCAATTGGAAATTTCGGTAGTTCTGAGTATTTCGTTGGAAACGGTATTACAAATAGAAAGTAGACAGCAGCATTCTCAGAAACTGCTTTGTGATGTTTGCATTCAAGTCACATAGTTGAACATTCCCTTTCATAGAGCAGGTTTGAATCACTGTTTCTGTAGTATCTGGAAGTGGGTATTTCGAGCGCTTTCAGGCCTAAGGTGAGAAAGGAAATGTCTTCAAATAAGAACTAGACAGAAGCATTCTCAGAAACTTATTTGTGATGTGTGTCCTCAACTAACAGAGATGAACCTTTGTTTTGATACAGCAGTTTGGAAACACTCTTTTTGTAGAATCTACAAGAGGATATTTTGAGAGCATTGAAAATTTCGTTGGAAGCGGGAAATCCTTCATATAAAAATCTAGACAGCAGCATTCTCAGAAACTTCTTTGTGATGTTTGCATTCAACTCATAGAGTTGAACATTCCCATTCATACAGCAGGTTTGAGACACTCTTTGTATAGCATGTGGAAATGGATATTTGGAGCGCTTTGAGGCCTATGGTGAAGAAGGAAATATCTTCCCAAAAAAACTAGACGAAAGCATTCTCGGAATCTTGTTTGCCATGTGTGTACTCAACTAACAGAGTTGAACCTATCTTTTGACAGAGCAGTTTTGAAACACTCTTTTTGTGGAATCTGCAAGTGGATATTTGGATAGCTTCGAGGATTTCGTTGGAAACGGGAATATCCTCATTTAAAATCTAGACGGAAGCATTCTCAGAACCTGCTTTGTGATGTTTGCATTCAACTCACAGAGCTGAACATTCCCGTTCATAGAGCAGGTTTGAAACACTCTTTCTGCACTATCTGGAAGTGGACATTTCGAGCGCTTTCAGGCCTATGGTGAAAAAGGAAACATCTTCAAATAAAAACTAGACAGAAGCATTCTCAGAAACTTATTTGTGATGTGTGTCCTCAACTCACAGAGTTCAACCTTTGTTTTGATACAGCAGTTTGGAAACACTCTTTTTGTAGAATCTACAAATGGATATTTGGAGACCTTTGAAAATTTCGTTGGACACGGGAATATCTTCATATAAAATCTAGACAAAAGCATTCTCAGAATCTTCTTTGTGATGTTTGCATTCAACTCATAGAGTTGAACATTCCCTTTCATACAGCACGTTTGAAACACACTTTGTGGAGTATGTGGAAATGGACATTTCGAGCACTCTTAGGCCTAAGGTGAAAAGGGAAATATCTTCAAATAAAAACTAGTCAGCAGCATTCTCAGAAACCTCTTTGTGATGTGTGTACTCAACTAACAGAGTTGAACCTTCCTTTTCACAGAGCAGTTTGGAAACACTCTTTTTGTGGCATTTGCAAGTGGATATTTGGATAGCTTTGAGGATTTCGTTGGAAACGGGAATATTTTCATATAAAATCTAGACAGAAGCATTCTCAGAATCTTCTTTGTGATGTATGCCCTCAATTCACAGAGTTGAACCTTTGTTTGGATACAGCATTTTGGAAACATTCCTTTTGTAGAATCTGCAAGTTGATATTTGGATAGCTTTGAGGATTTCGTTGGAAACGGGAATATCTACATATAAAATCTAGACAGAAGCATTCTCAGAAACCTCTTTGTAATGCTTGCATTCAACTCATAGGTTTCAACATTCCCTATCATAGAACAGGTTTGAAACACTCTTTTTGTAGTATGTGGAAGTGGACATTTGGAGCGCTCTGAGGCCTACGGTGAAAAAGGAAATATCTTCCCATAAAAACTAGACAGAAGCATTCTCAGAAACTTGTTTGTGACGTGTGTATTCAACTAACAGAGTTGAACCTTTCTTTTTACAGAGCAGCTTTGAAACACGCTTTTTGTGGAATCTGCAATTGGAAATTTCGATAGTTCTGAGGATTTCGTTGGAAACGGGATTACAAATAGAAAGTAGACAGCAGCATTCTCAGAAACTGCTTTGTGATGTTTGCATTCAAGTCACCTAGTTGAACATTCCCTTTCATAGAGCAGGTTTGAATCACTGTTTCTGTAGTATCTGGAAGTGGGTATTTCGAGCGCTTTCAGGCCTAAGGTGAGAAAGGAAATGTCTTCAAATAAGAACTAGACAGAAGCATTCTCAGAAACTTATTTGTGATGTGTGTCCTCAACTAACAGAGATGAACCTTTGTTTTGATACAGCAGTTTGGAAACACTCTTTTTGTAGAATCTACAAGAGGATATTTTGAGAGCATTGAAAATTTCGTTGGAAGCGGGAAAACCTTCATATAAAATCTAGACAGCAGCATTCTCAGAAACTTCTTTGTGATGTTTGCATTCAACTCATAGAGTTGAACATTCCCATTCATACAGCAGGTTTGAGACACTCTTTGTATAGCATGTGGAAATGGATATTTGGAGCGCTTTGAGGCCTATGGTGAAGAAGGAAATATCTTCCCCAAAAAACTAGACGAAAGCATTCTCGGAATCTTGTTTGCCATGTGTGTACTCAACTAACAGAGTTGAACCTATCTTTTGACAGAGCAGTTTTGAAACACTCTTTTTGTGGAATCTGCAAGTGGATATTTGGATAGCTTCGAGGATTTCGTTGGAAACGGGAATATCCTCATTTAAAATCTAGACGGAAGCATTCTCAGAACCTGCTTTGTGATGTTTGCATTCAACTCACAGAGCTGAACATTCCCGTTCATAGAGCAGGTTTGAAACACTCTTTCTGTACTATCTGGAAGTGGACATTTCGAGTGCTTTCAGGCCTATGGTGAAAAAGGAAACATCTTCAAATAAAAACTAGACAGAAGCATTCTCAGAAACTTATTTGTGATGTGTGTCCTCAACTCACAGAGTTCAACCTTTGTTTTGATACAGCAGTTTGGAAACACTCTTTTTGTAGAATCTACAAATGGATATTTGGAGACCTTTGAAAATTTCGTTGGACACGGGAATATCTTCATATAAAATCTAGACAAAAGCATTCTCAGAATCTTCTTTGTGATGTTTGCATTCAACTCATAGAGTTGAACATTCCCTTTCATACAGCACGTTTGAAACACACTTTGTGGAGTATGTGGAAATGGACATTTCGAGCACTCTTAGGCCTAAGGTGAAAAGGGAAATATCTTCAAATAAAAACTAGTCAGCAGCATTCTCAGAAACCTCTTTGTGATGTGTGTACTCAACTAACAGAGTTGAACCTTCCTTTTCACAGAGCAGTTTGGAAACACTCTTTTTGTGGCATTTGCAAGTGGATATTTGGATAGCTTTGAGGATTTCGTTGGAAACGGGAATATTTTCATATAAAATCTAGACAGAAGCATTCTCAGAATCTTCTTTGTGATGTATGCCCTCAATTCACAGAGTTGAACCTTTGTTTGGATACAGCATTTTGGAAACATTCCTTTTGTAGAATCTGCAAGTTGATATTTGGATAGCTTTGAGGATTTCGTTGGAAACGGGAATATCTACATATAAAATCTAGACAGAAGCATTCTCAGAAACCTCTTTGTAATGCTTGCATTCAACTCATAGGTTTCAACATTCCCTATCATAGAGCAGGTTTGAAACACTCTTTTTGTAGTATGTGGAAGTGGACATTTGGAGCGCTTTGAGGCCTACAGTGAAAAAGGAAATATCTTCCCATAAAAACTAGACAGAAGCATTCTCAGAAACTTGTTTGTGACGTGTGTATTCAACTAACAGAGTTGAACCTTTCTTTTTACAGAGCAGCTTTGAAACCCTGTTTCTGTGGAATCTGCAATTGGAAATTTCGATAGTTCTGAGGATTTCGTTGGAAACGGGATTACAAATAGAAAGTAGACAGCAGCATTCTCAGAAACTGCTTTGTGATGTTTGCATTCAAGTCACCTAGTTGAACATTCCCTTTCATAGAGCAGGTTTGAATCACTGTTTCTGTAGTATCTGGAAGTGGGTATTTCGAGCGCTTTCAGGCCTAAGGTGAGAAAGGAAATGTCTTCAAATAAGAACTAGAAACAAGCATTCTCAGAAACTTATTTGTGATGTGTGTCCTCAACTGACAGAGTTGAACCTTTCTTTTGACACAGCAGTTTGGAAACACTCTTTTTGTAGAATCTACAAGTGGATATTTTGAGAGCATTGAAAATTTCGTTGGAAACGGGAAAACCTTCATAGAAAATCTAGACAGAAGCATTCTCAGAAACTTCTTTGTAATGTTTGCATTCAACTCATAGAGTTGAACATTCCCTTTCATACAGCAGGTTTGAAACACTCTTTTTGTAGTATGTGGAAGTGGACATTTGGAGCGCTTTGAGGCCTACGGTGAAAAAGGAAATATCTTCCCATAAAAACTAGACAGAAGCATTCTCAGAAACTTGTTTGTGACGTGTGTATTCAACTAACAGAGTTGAACCTTTCTTTTTACAGAGCAGCTTTGAAACACGCTTTTTGTGGAATCTGCAATTGGAAATTTCGATAGTTCTGAGGATTTCGTTGGAAACGGGATTACAAATAGAAAGTAGACAGCAGCATTCTCAGAAACTGCTTTGTGATGTTTGCATTCAAGTCACCTAGTTGAACATTCCCTTTCGTAGAGCAGGTTTGAATCACAGTTTCTGTCGTATCTGGAAGTGGATATTTCGAGCGTTTTCAGGCCTAAGGTGAGAAAGGAAATGTCTTCAAATAAGAACTAGACAGAAGCATTCTCAGAAACTTATTTGTGATGTGTGTCCTCAACTAACAGAGATGAACCTTTGTTTTGATACAGCAGTTTGGAAACACTCTTTTTGTAGAATCTACAAGAGGATATTTTGAGAGCATTGAAAATTTCGTTGGAAGCGGGACAACCTTCATATAAAATCTAGACAGCAGCATTCTCAGAAACTTCTTTGTGATGTTTGCATTCAACTCATAGAGTTGAACATTCCCATTCATACAGCAGGTTTGAGACACTCTTTGTATAGCATGTGGAAATGGATATTTGGAGCGCTTTGAGGCCTATGGTGAAGAAGGAAATATCTTCCCAAAAAAACTAGACGAAAGCATTCTCGCAATCTTGTTTGCCATGTGTGTACTCAACTAACAGAGTTGAACCTATCTTTTGACAGAGCAGTTTTGAAACACTCTTTTTGTGGAATCTGCAAGTGGATATTTGGATAGCTTCGAGGATTTCGTTGGAAACGGGAATATCCTCATTTAAAATCTAGACGGAAGCATTCTCAGAACCTGCTTTGTGATGTTTGCATTCAACTCACAGAGCTGAACATTCCCGTTCATAGAGCAGGTTTGAAACACTCTTTCTGTACTATCTGGAAGTGGACATTTCGAGCGCTTTCAGGCCTATGGTGAAAAAGGAAACATCTTCAAATAAAAACTAGACAGAAGCATTCTCAGAAACTTATTTGTGATGTGTGTCCTCAACTCACAGAGTTCAACCTTTGTTTTGATACAGCAGTTTGGAAACACTCTTTTTGTAGAATCTACAAATGGATATTTGGAGACCTTTGAAAATTTCGTTGGACACGGGAATATCTTCATATAAAATCTAGACAAAAGCATTCTCAGAATCTTCTTTGTGATGTTTGCATTCAACTCATAGAGTTGAACATTCCCTTTCATACAGCACGTTTGGAACACACTTTGTGGAGTATGTGGAAATGGACATTTCGAGCACTCTTAGGCCTAAGGTGAAAAGGGAAATATCTTCAAATAAAAACTAGCCAGCAGCATTCTCAGAAACCTCTTTGTGATGTGTGTACTCAACTAACAGAGTTGAACCTTCCTTTTCACAGAGCAGTTTGGAAACACTCTTTTTGTGGCATTTGCAAGTGGATATTTGGATAGCTTTGAGGATTTTGTTGGAAACGGGAATATTTTCATATAAAATCTAGACAGAAGCATTCTCAGAATCTTCTTTGTGATGTATGCCCTCAATTCACAGAGTTGAACCTTTGTTTGGATACAGCATTTTGGAAACATTCCTTTTGTAGAATCTGCAAGTTGATATTTGGATAGTTTGAGGATTTCGTTGGAAACGGGAATATCTACATATAAAATCTAGACAGAAGCATTCTCAGAAACCTCTTTGTAATGCTTGCATTCAACTCATAGGTTTCAACATTCCCTATCATAGAGCAGGTTTGAAACACTCTTTTTGTAGTATGTGGAAGTGGACATTTGGAGCGCTTTGAGGCCTACCGTGAAAAAGGAAATATCTTCCCATAAAAACTAGACAGAAGCATTCTCAGAAACTTGTTTGTGACGTGTGTATTCAACTAACAGAGTTGAACCTTTCTTTTTACAGAGCAGCTTTGAAACACGCTTTTTGTGGAATCTGCAATTGGAAATTTCGATAGTTCTGAGGATTTCGTTGGAAACGGGATTACAAATAGAAAGTAGACAGCAGCATTCTCAGAAACTGCTTTGTGATGTTTGCATTCAAGTCACCTAGTTGAACATTCCCTTTCATAGAGCAGGTTTGAATCACTGTTTCTGTCGTATCTGGAAGTGGATATTTCGAGCGTTTTCAGGCCTAAGGTGAGAAAGGAAATGTCTTCAAATAAGAACTAGACAGAAGCATTCTCAGAAACTTATTTGTGATGTGTGTCCTCAACTAACAGAGTTGAACCTTTTTTTTGACACAGCAGTTTGGAAACACTCTTTTTGTAGAATCTACAAGTGGATATTTTGAGAGCATTGAAAATTTCGTTGGAAACGGGAAAACCTTCATATAAAATCTAGACAGAAGCATTCTCAGAAACTTCTTTGTAATGTTTGCATTCAACTCATAGAGTTGAACATTCCCTTTCATACAGCAGGTTTGAAACACTCTTTTTGTAGTATGTGGAAGTGGACATTTGGAGCGCTTTGAGGCCTACGGTGAAAAAGGAAATATCTTCCCATAAAAACTAGACAGAAGCATTCTCAGAAACTTGTTTGTGACGTGTGTATTCAACTAACAGAGTTGAACCTTTCTTTTTACAGAGCAGCTTTGAAACCCTGTTTCTGTGGAATCTGCAATTGGAAATTTCGATAGTTCTGAGGATTTCGTTGGAAACGGGATTACAAATAGAAAGTAGACAGCAGCATTCTCAGAAACTGCTTTGTGATGTTTGCATTCAAGTCACCTAGTTGAACATTCCCTTTCATAGAGCAGGTTTGAATCACTGTTTCTGTCGTATCTGGAAGTGGATATTTCGAGCGTTTTCAGGCCTAAGGTGAGAAAGGAAATGTCTTCAAATAAGAACTAGACAGAAGCATTCTCAGAAACTTATTTGTGATGTGTGTCCTCAACTAACAGAGTTGAACCTTTCTTTTGACACAGCAGTTTGGAAACACTCTTTTTGTAGAATCTACAAGTGGATATTTTGAGAGCATTGAAAATTTCGTTGGAAACGGGAAAATCTTCATATAAAATCTAGACAGAAGCATTCTCAGAAACTTCTTTGTAATGTTTGCATTCAACTCATAGAGTTGAACATTCCCTTTCATACAGCAGGTTTGAAACACTCTTTTTGTAGTATGTGGAAGTGGACATTTGGAGCGCTTTGAGGCCTACGGTGAAAAAGGAAATATCTTCCCATAAAAACTAGAGAGAAGCATTCTCAGAAACTTGTTTGTGACGTGTGTATTCAACTAACAGAGTTGAACCTTTCTTTTTACAGAGCAGCTTTGAAACCCTGTTTCTGTGGAATCTGCAATTGGAAATTTCGATAGTTCTGAGGATTTCGTTGGAAACGGGATTACAAATAGAAAGTAGACAGCAGCGTTCTCAGAAACTGCTTTGTGATGTTTGCATTCAAGTCACATAGTTGAACATTCCCTTTCATAGAGCAGGTTTGAATCACTGTTTCTGTAGTATCTGGAAGTGGGTATTTCGAGCGCTTTCAGGCCTAAGGTGAGAAAGGAAATGTCTTCAAATAAGAACTAGACAGAAGCATTCTCAGAAACTTATTTGTGATGTGTGTCCTCAACTAACAGAGATGAACCTTTGTTTTGATACAGCAGTTTGGAAACACTCTTTTTGTAGAATCTACAAGAGGATATTTTGAGAGCATTGAAAATTTCGTTGGAAGCGGGAAAACCTTCATATAAAATCTAGACAGCAGCATTCTCAGAAACTTCTTTGTGATGTTTGCATTCAACTCATAGAGTTGAACATTCCCATTCATACAGCAGGTTTGAGACACTCTTTGTATAGCATGTGGAAATGGATATTTGGAGCGCTTTGAGGCCTATGGTGAAGAAGGAAATATCTTCCCAAAAAAACTAGACGAAAGCATTCTCGCAATCTTGTTTGCCATGTCTGTACTCAACTAACAGAGTTGAACCTATCTTTTGACAGAGCAGTTTTGAAACACTCTTTTTGTGGAATCTGCAAGTGGATATTTGGATAGCTTCGAGGATTTCGTTGGAAACGGGAATATCCTCATTTAAAATCTAGACGGAAGCATTCTCAGAACCTGCTTTGTGATGTTTGCATTCAACTCACAGAGCTGAACATTCCCGTTCATAGAGCAGGTTTGAAACACTCTTTCTGTACTATCTGGAAGTGGGCATTTCGAGCGCTTTCAGGCCTATGGTGAAAAAGGAAACATCTTCAAATAAAAACTAGACAGAAGCATTCTCAGAAACTTATTTGTGATGTGTGTCCTCAACTCACAGAGTTCAACCTTTGTTTTGATACAGCAGTTTGGAAACACTCTTTTTGTAGAATCTACAAATGGATATTTGGAGACCTTTGAAAATTTCGTTGGACACGGGAATATCTTCATATAAAATCTAGACAAAAGCATTCTCAGAGTCTTCTTTGTGATGTTTGCATTCAACTCATAGAGTTGAACATTCCCTTTCATACAGCACGTTTGAAACACACTTTGTGGAGTATGTGGAAATGGACATTTCGAGCACTCTTAGGCCTAAGGTGAAAAGGGAAATATCTTCAAATAAAAACTAGTCAGCAGCATTCTCAGAAACCTCTTTGTGATGTGTGTACTCAACTAACAGAGTTGAACCTTCCTTTTCACAGAGCAGTTTGGAAACACTCTTTTTGTGGCATTTGCAAGTGGATATTTGGATAGCTTTGAGGATTTCGTTGGAAACGGGAATATTTTCATATAAAATCTAGACAGGAAGCATTCTCAGAATCTTCTTTGTGATGTATGCCCTCAATTCACAGAGTTGAACCTTTGTTTGGATACAGCATTTTGGAAACATTCCTTTTGCAGAATCTGCAAGTTGATATTTGGATAGCTTTGAGGATTTCGTTGGAAACGGGAATATCTACATATAAAATCTAGACAGAAGCATTCTCAGAAACCTCTTTGTAATGCTTGCATTCAACTCATAGGTTTCAACATTCCCTATCATAGAGCAGGTTTGAAACACTCTTTTTGTAGTATGTGGAAGTGGACATTTGGAGCGCTTTGAGGCCTACGGTGAATAAAGGAAATATCTTCCCATAAAAACTAGACAGAAGCATTCTCAGAAACTTGTTTGTGACGTGTGTATTCAACTAACAGAGTTGAACCTTTCTTTTTACAGAGCAGCTTTGAAACCCTGTTTCTGTGGAATCTGCAATTGGAAATTTCGATAGTTCTGAGGATTTCGTTGGAAACGGGATTACAAATAGGAAAGTAGACAGCAGCATTCTCAGAAACTGCTTTGTGATGTTTGCATTCAAGTCACATAGTTGAACATTCCCTTTCATAGAGCAGGTTTGAATCACTGTTTCTGTAGTATCTGGAAGTGGGTATTTCGAGCGCTTTCAGGCCTAAGGTGAGAAAGGAAATGTCTTCAAATAAGAACTAGACAGAAGCATTCTCAGAAACTTATTTGTGATGTGTGTCCTCAACTAACAGAGATGAACCTTTGTTTTGATACAGCAGTTTGGAAACACTCTTTTTGTAGAATCTACAAGAGGATATTTTGAGAGCATTGAAAATTTCGTTGGAAGCGGGAAAACCTTCATATAAAATCTAGACAGCAGCATTCTCAGAAACTTCTTTGTGATGTTTGCATTCAACTCATAGAGTTGAACATTCCCATTCATACAGCAGGTTTGAGACACTCTTTGTATAGCATGTGGAAATGGATATTTGGAGCGCTTTGAGGCCTATGGTGAAGAAGGAAATATCTTCCCAAAAAAACTAGACGAAAGCATTCTCGCAATCTTGTTTGCCATGTGTGTACTCAACTAACAGAGTTGAACCTATCTTTTGACAGAGCAGTTTTGAAACACTCTTTTTGTGGAATCTGCAAGTGGATATTTGGATAGCTTCGAGGATTTCGTTGGAAACGGGAATATCCTCATTTAAAATCTAGACGGAAGCATTCTCAGAACCTGCTTTGTGATGTTTGCATTCAACTCACAGAACTGAACATTCCCGTTCATAGAGCAGGTTTGAAACACTCTTTCTGTACTATCTGGAAGTGGACATTTCGAGCGCTTTCAGGCCTATGGTGAAAAAGGAAACATCTTCAAATAAAAACTAGACAGAAGCATTCTCAGAAACTTATTTGTGATGTGTGTCCTCAACTCACAGAGTTCAACCTTTGTTTTGATACAGCAGTTTGGAAACACTCTTTTTGTAGAATCTACAAATGGATATTTGGAGACCTTTGAAAATTTCGTTGGACACGGGAATATCTTCATATAAAATCTAGACAAAAGCATTCTCAGAATCTTCTTTGTGATGTTTGCATTCAACTCATAGAGTTGAACATTCCCTTTCATACAGCACGTTTGAAACACACTTTGTGGAGTATGTGGAAATGGACATTTCGAGCACTCTTAGGCCTAAGGTGAAAAGGGAAATATCTTCAAATAAAAACTAGTCAGCAGCATTCTCAGAAACCTCTTTGTGATGTGTGTACTCAACTAACAGAGTTGAACCTTCCTTTTCACAGAGCAGTTTGGAAACACTCTTTTTGTGGCATTTGCAAGTGGATATTTGGATAGCTTTGAGGATTTCGTTGGAAACGGGAATATTTTCATATAAAATCTAGACAGAAGCATTCTCAGAATCTTCTTTGTGATGTATGCCCTCAATTCACAGAGTTGAACCTTTGTTTGGATACAGCATTTTGGAAACATTCCTTTTGCAGAATCTGCAAGTTGATATTTGGATAGCTTTGAGGATTTCGTTGGAAACGGGAATATCTACATATAAAATCTAGACAGAAGCATTCTCAGAAACCTCTTTGTAATGCTTGCATTCAACTCATAGGTTTCAACATTCCCTATCATAGAGCAGGTTTGAAACACTCTTTTTGTAGTATGTGGAAGTGGACATTTGGAGCGCTTTGAGGCCTACCGTGATAAAGGAAATATCTTCCCATAAAAACTAGACAGAAGCATTCTCAGAAACTTGTTTGGACGTGTGTATTCAACTAACAGAGTTGAACCTTTCTTTTTACAGAGCAGCTTTGAAACCCTGTTTCTGTGGAATCTGCAATTGGAAATTTCGATGGTTCTGAGGATTTCGTTGGAAACGGGATTACAAATAGAAAGTAGACAGCAGCATTCTCAGAAACTGCTTTGTGATGTTTGCATTCAAGTCACCTAGTTGAACATTCCCTTTCATAGAGCAGGTTTGAATCACTGTTTCTGTCGTATCTGGAAGTGGATATTTCGAGCGTTTTCAGGCCTAAGGTGAGAAAGGAAATGTCTTCAAATAAGAACTAGACAGAAGCATTCTCAGAAACTTATTTGTGATGTGTGTCTTCAACTAACAGAGTTGAACCTTTCTTTTGACACAGCAGTTTGGAAACACTCTTTTTGTAGAATCTACAAGTGGATATCTTGAGAGCATTGAAAATTTCGTTGGAAACGGGAAAACCTTCATATAAAATCTAGACAGAAGCATTCTCAGAAACTTCTTTGTAATGTTTGCATTCAACTCATAGAGTTGAACATTCCCTTTCATACAGCAGGTTTGAAACACTCTTTTTGTAGTATGTGGAAGTGGACATTTGGAGCGCTTTGAGGCCTACGGTGAAAAAGGAAATATCTTCCCATAAAAACTAGACAGAAGCATTCTCAGAAACTTGTTTGTGACGTGTGTATTCAACTGACAGAGTTGAACCTTTCTTTTTACAGAGCAGCTTTGAAACCCTGTTTCTGTGGAATCTGCAATTGGAAATTTCGATAGTTCTGAGGATTTCGTTGGAAACGGGATTACAAATAGAAAGTAGACAGCAGCATTCTCAGAAACTGCTTTGTGATGTTTGCATTCAAGTCACATAGTTGAACATTCCCTTTCATAGAGCAGGTTTGAATCACTGTTTCTGTAGTATCTGGAAGTGGGTATTTCGAGCGCTTTCAGGCCTAAGGTGAGAAAGGAAATGTCTTCAAATAAGAACTAGACAGAAGCATTCTCAGAAACTTATTTGTGATGTGTGTCCTCAACTAACAGAGATGAACCTTTGTTTTGATACAGCAGTTTGGAAACACTCTTTTTGTAGAATCTACAAGAGGATATTTTGAGAGCATTGAAAATTTCGTTGGAAGCGGGAAAACCTTCATATAAAATCTAGACAGCAGCATTCTCAGAAACTTCTTTGTGATGTTTGCATTCAACTCATAGAGTTGAACATTCCCATTCATACAGCAGGTTTGAGACACTCTTTGTATAGCATGTGGAAATGGATATTTGGAGCGCTTTGAGGCCTATGGTGAAGAAGGAAATATCTTCCCAAAAAAACTAGACGAAAGCATTCTCGGAATCTTGTTTGCCATGTGTGTACTCAACTAACCGAGTTGAACCTATCTTTTGAGAGAGCAGTTTTGAAACACTCTTTCTGTGGAATCTGCAAGTGGATATTTGGATAGCTTCGAGGATTTCCTTGGAAACGGGAATATCCTCATTTAAAATCTAGACGGAAGCATTCTCAGAACCTGCTTTGTGATGTTTGCATTCAACTCACAGGAGGCTGAACATTCCCGTTCATAGAGCAGGTTTGAAACACTCTTTCTGTACTATCTGGAAGTGGACATTTCGAGCGCTTTCAGGCCTATGGTGGAAAAGGAAACATCTTCAAATAAAAACTAGACAGAAGCATTCTCAGAAACTTATTTGTGATGTGTGTCCTCAACTCACAGAGTTCAACCTTTGTTTTGATACAGCAGTTTGGAAACACTCTTTTTGTAGAATCTACAAATGGATATTTGGAGACCTTTGAAAATTTCGTTGGACACGGGAATATCTTCATATAAAATCTAGACAAAAGCATTCTCAGAATCTTCTTTGTGATGTTTGCATTCAACTCATAGAGTTGAACATTCCCTTTCATACAGCACGTTTGAAACACACTTTGTGGAGTATGTGGAAATGGACATTTCGAGCACTCTTAGGCCTAAGGTGAAAAGGGAAATATCTTCAAATAAAAACTAGTCAGCAGCATTCTCAGAAACCTCTTTGTGATGTGTGTACTCAACTAACAGAGTTGAACCTTCCTTTTCACAGAGCAGTTTGGAAACACTCTTTTTGTGGCATTTGCAAGTGGATATTTGGATAGCTTTGAGGATTTCGTTGGAAACGGGAATATTTTCATATAAAATCTAGACAGAAGCATTCTCAGAATCTTCTTTGTGATGTATGCCCTCAATTCACAGAGTTGAACCTTTGTTTGGATACAGCATTTTGGAAACATTCCTTTTGCAGAATCTGCAAGTTGATATTTGGATAGCTTTGAGGATTTCGTTGGAAACGGGAATATCTACATATAAAATCTAGACAGAAGCATTCTCAGAAACCTCTTTGTAATGCTTGCATTCAACTCATAGGTTTCAACATTCCCTATCATAGAGCAGGTTTGAAACACTCTTTTTGTAGTATGTGGAAGTGGACATTTGGAGCGCTTTGAGGCCTACCGTGAAAAAGGAAATATCTTCCCATAAAAACTAGACAGAAGCATTCTCAGAAACTTGTTTGTGACGTGTGTATTCAACTAACAGAGTTGAACCTTTCTTTTTACAGAGCAGCTTTGAAACCCTGTTTCTGTGGAATCTGCAATTGGAAATTTCGATAGTTCTGAGGATTTCGTTGGAAACGGGATTACAAATAGAAAGTAGACAGCAGCATTCTCAGAAACTGCTTTGTGATGTTTGCATTCAAGTCACATAGTTGAACATTCCCTTTCATAGAGCAGGTTTGAATCACTGTTTCTGTAGTATCTGGAAGTGGGTATTTCGAGCGCTTTCAGGCCTAAGGTGAGAAAGGAAATGTCTTCAAATAAGAACTAGACAGAAGCATTCTCAGAAACTTATTTGTGATGTGTGTCCTCAACTAACAGAGTTGAACCTTTCTTTTGACACAGCAGTTTGGAAACACTCTTTTTGTAGAATCTACAAGTGGATATTTTGAGAGCATTGAAAATTTCGTTGGAAACGGGAAAACCTTCATATAAAATCTAGACAGAAGCATTCTCAGAAACTTCTTTGTAATGTTTGCATTCAACTCATAGAGTTGAACATTCCCTTTCATACAGCAGGTTTGAAACACTCTTTTTGTAGTATGTGGACGTGGACATTTGGAGCGCTTTGAGGCCTACGGTGAAAAAGGAAATATCTTCCCATAAAAACTAGACAGAAGCATTCTCAGAAACTTGTTTGTGACGTGTGTATTCAACTAACAGAGTTGAACCTTTCTTTTTACAGAGCAGCTTTGAAACCCTGTTTCTGTGGAATCTGCAATTGGAAATTTCGATAGTTCTGAGGATTTCGTTGGAAACGGGATTACAAATAGAAAGTAGACAGCAGCATTCTCAGAAACTGCTTTGTGATGTTTGCATTCAAGTCACCTAGTTGAACATTCCCTTTCATAGAGCAGGTTTGAATCACTGTTTCTGTAGTATCTGGAAGTGGGTATTTCGAGCGCTTTCAGGCCTAAGGTGAGAAAGGAAATGTCTTCAAATAAGAACTAGACAGAAGCATTCTCAGAAACTTATTTGTGATGTGTGTCCTCAACTAACAGAGATGAACCTTTGTTTTGATACAGCAGTTTGGAAACACTCTTTTTGTAGAATCTACAAGAGGATATTTTGAGAGCATTGAAAATTTCGTTGGAAGCGGGAAAACCTTCATATAAAATCTAGACAGCAGCATTCTCAGAAACTTCTTTGTGATGTTTGCATTCAACTCATAGAGTTGAACATTCCCATTCATACAGCAGGTTTGAGACACTCTTTGTATAGCATGTGGAAATGGATATTTGGAGCGCTTTGAGGCCTATGGTGAAGAAGGAAATATCTTCCCAAAAAAACTAGACGAAAGCATTCTCGGAATCTTGTTTGCCATGTGTGTACTCAACTAACAGAGTTGAACCTATCTTTTGACAGAGCAGTTTTGAAACACTCTTTTTGTGGAATCTGCAAGTGGATATTTGGATAGCTTCGAGGATTTCTTTGGAAACGGGAATATCCTCATTTAAAATCTAGACGGAAGCATTCTCAGAACCTGCTTTGTGATGTTTGCATTCAACTCACAGAGCTGAACATTCCCGTTCATAGAGCAGGTTTGAAACACTCTTTCTGTACTATCTGGAAGTGGACATTTCGAGCGCTTTCAGGCCTATGGTGAAAAAGGAAACATCTTCAAATAAAAACTAGACAGAAGCATTCTCAGAAACTTATTTGTGATGTGTGTCCTCAACTCACAGAGTTCAACCTTTGTTTTGATACAGCAGTTTGGAAACAATCTTTATTTGGAGACCTTTGAAAATTTCGTTGGACACGGGAATATCTTCATATAAAATCTAGACAAAAGCATTCTCAGAATCTTCTTTGTGATGTTTGCATTCAACTCATAGAGTTGAACATTCCCTTTCATACAGCACGTTTGAAACACACTTTGTGGAGTATGTGGAAATGGACATTTCGAGCACTCTTAGGCCTAAGGTGAAAAGGGAAATATCTTCAAATAAAAACTAGTCAGCAGCATTCTCAGAAACCTCTTTGTGATGTGTGTACTCAATTAACAGAGTTGAACCTTCCTTTTCACAGAGCAGTTTGGAAACACTCTTTTTGTGGCATTTGCAAGTGGATATTTGGATAGCTTTGAGGATTTCGTTGGAAACGGGAATATTTTCATATAAAATCTAGACAGAAGCATTCTCAGAATCTTCTTTGTGATGTATGCCCTCAATTCACAGAGTTGAACCTTTGTTTGGATACAGCATTTTGGAAACATTCCTTTTGTAGAATCTGCAAGTTGATATTTGGATAGCTTTGAGGATTTCGTTGGAAACGGGAATATCTACATATAAAATCTAGACAGAAGCATTCTCAGAAACCTCTTTGTAATGCTTGCATTCAACTCATAGGTTTCAACATTCCCTATCATAGAGCAGGTTTGAAACACTCTTTTTGTAGTATGTGGAAGTGGACATTTGGAGCGCTTTGAGGCCTACGGTGAAAAAGGAAATATCTTCCCATAAAAACTAGACAGAAGCATTCTCAGAAACTTGTTTGTGACGTGTGTATTCAACTAACAGAGTTGAACCTTTCTTTTTACAGAGCAGCTTTGAAACACGCTTTTTGTGGAATCTGCAATTGGAAATTTCGATAGTTCTGAGGATTTCGTTGGAAACGGGATTACAAATACAAAGTAGACAGCAAGCATTCTCAGAAACTGCTTTATGATGTTTGCATTCAAGTCACCTAGTTGAACATTCCCTTTCATAGAGCAGGTTTGAATCACTGTTTCTGTCGTATCTGGAAGTGGATATTTCGAGCGTTTTCAGGCCTAAGGTGAGAAAGGAAATGTCTTCAAATAAGAACTAGACAGAAGCATTCTCAGAAACTTATTTGTGATGTGTGTCCTCAACTAACAGAGTTGAACCTTTCTTTTGACACAGCAGTTTGGAAACACTCTTTTTGTAGAATCTACAAGTGGATATTTTGAGAGCATTGAAAATTTCGTTGGAAACGGGAAAACCTTCATATAAAATCTAGACAGAAGCATTCTCAGAAACTTCTTTGTAATGTTTGCATTCAACTCATAGAGTTGAACATTCCCTTTCATACAGCAGGTTTGAAACACTCTTTTTGTAGTATGTGGACGTGGACATTTGGAGCGCTTTGAGGCCTACGGTGAAAAAGGAAATATCTTCCCATAAAAACTAGACAGAAGCATTCTCAGAAACTTGTTTGTGACGTGTGTATTCAACTAACAGAGTTGAACCTTTCTTTTTACAGAGCAGCTTTGAAACCCTGTTTCTGTGGAATCTGCAATTGGAAATTTCGATAGTTCTGAGGATTTCGTTGCAAACGGGATTACAAATAGAAAGTAGACAGCAGCATTCTCAGAAACTGCTTTGTGATGTTTGCATTCAAGTCACATTGTTGAACATTCCCTTTCATAGAGCAGGTTTGAATCACTGTTTCTGTAGTATCTGGAAGTGGGTATTTCGAGCGCTTTCAGGCCTAAGGTGAGAAAGGAAATGTCTTCAAATAAGAACTAGACAGAAGCATTCTCAGAAACTTATTTGTGATGTGTGTCCTCAACTAACAGAGATGAACCTTTGTTTTGATACAGCAGTTTGGAAACACTCTTTTTGTAGAATCTACAAGAGGATATTTTGAGAGCATTGAAAATTTCGTTGGAAGCGGGAAAACCTTCATATAAAATCTAGACAGCAGCATTCTCAGAAACTTCTTTGTGATGTTTGCATTCAACTCATAGAGTTGAACATTCCCATTCATACAGCAGGTTTGAGACACTCTTTGTATAGCATGTGGAAATGGATATTTGGAGCGCTTTGAGGCCTATGGTGAAGAAGGAAATATCTTCCCAAAAAAACTAGACGAAAGCATTCTCGCAATCTTGTTTGCCATGTGTGTACTCAACTAACAGAGTTGAACCTATCTTTTGACAGAGCAGTTTTGAAACACTCTTTTTGTGGAATCTGCAAGTGGATATTTGGATAGCTTCGAGGATTTCGTTGGAAACGGGAATATCCTCATTTAAAATATAGACGGAAGCATTCTCAGAACCTGCTTTGTGATGTTTGCATTCAACTCACAGAGCTGAACATTCCCGTTCATAGAGCAGGTTTGAAACACTCTTTCTGTACTATCTGGAAGTGGACATTTCGAGCGCTTTCAGGCCTATGGTGAAAAAGGAAACATCTTCAAATAAAAACTAGACAGAAGCATTCTCAGAAACTTATTTGTGATGTGTGTCCTCAACTCACAGAGTTCAACCTTTGTTTTGATACAGCAGTTTGGAAACACTCTTTTTGTAGAATCTACAAATGGATATTTGGAGACCTTTGAAAATTTCGTTGGACACAGGAATATCTTCATATAAAATCTAGACAAAAGCATTCTCAGAATCTTCTTTGTGATGTTTGCATTCAACTCATAGAGTTGAACATTCCCTTTCATACAGCACCTTTGAAACACACTTTATGGAGTATGTGGAAATGGACATTTCGAGCAATCTTAGGCCTAAGGTGAAAAGGGAAATATCTTCAAATAAAAACTAGTCAGCAGCATTCTCAGAAACCTCTTTGTGATGTGTGTCCTCAACTAACAGAGTTGAACCTTTCTTTTGACACAGCAGATTGGAAACACTCTTTTTGTAGAATCTACAAGTGGATATTTTGAGAGCATTGAAAATTTCCTTGGAAACGGGAAAACCTTCATATAAAATCTAGACAGAGGCATTCTCAGAAACTTCTTTGTAATGTTTGCATTCAACTCATAGAGTTGAACATTCCCTTTCATACAGCAGGTTTGAAACACTCTTTTTGTAGTATGTGGAAGTGGACATTTGGAGCGCTTTGAGGCCTACGGTGAAAAAGGAAATATCTTCCCATAAAAACTAGACAGAAGCATTCTCAGAAACTTGTTTGTGACGTGTGTATTCAACTAACAGAGTTGAACCTTTCTTTTTACAGAGCAGCTTTGAAACCCTGTTTCTGTGGAATCTGCAATTGGAAATTTCGATAGTTCTGAGGATTTCGTTGCAAACGGGATTACAAATAGAAAGTAGACAGCAGCATTCTCAGAAACTGCTTTGTGATGTTTGCATTCAAGTCACCTAGTTGAACATTCCCTTTCATAGAGCAGGTTTGAATCACTGTTTCTGTCGTATCTGGAAGTGGATATTTCGAGCGTTTTCAGGCCTAAGGTGAGAAAGGAAATGTCTTCAAATAAGAACTAGACAGAAGCATTCTCAGAAACTTATTTGTGATGTGTGTCCTCAACTAACAGAGTTGAACCTTTCTTTTGACACAGCAGTTTGGAAACACTCTTTTTGTAGAATCTACAAGTGGATATTTTGAGAGCATTGAAAATTTCGTTGGAAACGGGAAAACCTTCATATAAAATCTAGACAGAAGCATTCTCAGAAACTTCTTTGTAATGTTTGCATTCAACTCATAGAGTTGAACATTCCCTTTCATACAGCAGGTTTGAAACACTCTTTTTGTAGTATGTGGAAGTGGACATTTGGAGCGCTTTGAGGCCTACGGTGAAAAAGGAAGTATCTTCCCATAAAAACTAGACAGAAGCATTCTCAGAAACTTGTTTGTGACGTGTGTATTCAACTAACAGAGTTGAACCTTTCTTTTTACAGAGCAGCTTTGAAACCCTGTTTCTGTGGAATCTGCAATTGGAAATTTCGATAGTTCTGAGGATTTCGTTGGAAACGGGATTACAAATAGAAAGTAGACAGCAGCATTCTCAGAAACTGCTTTGTGATGTTTGCATTCAAGTCACCTAGTTGAACATTCCCTTTCATAGAGCAGGTTTGAATCACTGTTTCTGTAGTATCTGGAAGTGGGTATTTCGAGCGCTTTCAGGCCTAAGGTGAGAAAGGAAATGTCTTCAAATAAGAACTAGACAGAAGCATTCTCAGAAACTTATTTGTGATGTGTGTCCTCAACTAACAGAGATGAACCTTTGTTTTGATACAGCAGTTTGGAAACACTCTTTTTGTAGAATCTACAAGAGGATATTTTGAGAGCATTGAAAATTTCGTTGGAAGCGGGAAAACCTTCATATAAAATCTAGACAGCAGCATTCTCAGAAACTTCTTTGTGATGTTTGCATTCAACTCATAGAGTTGAACATTCCCATTCATACAGCAGGTTTGAGACACTCTTTGTATAGCATGTGGAAATGGATATTTGGAGCGCTTTGAGGCCTATGGTGAAGAAGGAAATATCTTCCCAAAAAAACTAGACGAAAGCATTCTCGCAATCTTGTTTGCCATGTGTGTACTCAACTAACAGAGTTGAACCTATCTTTTGACAGAGCAGTTTTGAAACACTCTTTTTGTGGGATCTGCAAGTGGATATTTGGATAGCTTCGAGGATTTCGTTGGAAACGGGAATATCCTCATTTAAAATCTAGACGGAAGCATTCTCAGAACCTGCTTTGTGATGTTTGCATTCAACTCACAGAGCTGAACATTCCCGTTCATAGAGCAGGTTTGAAACACTCTTTCTGTACTATCTGGAAGTGGACATTTCGAGCGCTTTCAGGCCTATGGTGAAAAAGGAAACATCTTCAAATAAAAACTAGACAGAAGCATTCTCAGAAACTTATTTGTGATGTGTGTCCTCAACTCACAGAGTTCAACCTTTGTTTTGATACAGCAGTTTGGAAACACTCTTTTTGTAGAATCTACAAATGGATATTTGGAGACCTTTGAAAATTTCGTTGGACACGGGAATATCTTCATATAAAATCTAGACAAAAGCATTCTCAGAATCTTCTTTGTGATGTTTGCATTCAACTCATAGAGTTGAACATTCCCTTTCATACAGCACGTTTGAAACACACTTTGTGGAGTATGTGGAAATGGACATTTCGAGCACTCTTAGGCCTAAGGTGAAAAGGGAAATATCTTCAAATAAAAACTAGTCAGCAGCATTCTCAGAAACCTCTTTGTGATGTGTGTACTCAACTAACAGAGTTGAACCTTCCTTTTCACAGAGCAGTTTGGAAACACTCTTTTTGTGGCATTTGCAAGTGGATATTTGGATAGCTTTGAGGATTTCGTTGGAAACGGGAATATTTTCATATAAAATCTAGACAGAAGCATTCTCAGAATCTTCTTTGTGATGTATGCCCTCAATTCACAGAGTTGAACCTTTGTTTGGATACAGCATTTTGGAAACATTCCTTTTGTAGAATCTGCAAGTTGATATTTGGATAGCTTTGAGGATTTCGTTGGAAACGGGAATATCTACATATAAAATCTAGACAGAAGCATTCTCAGAAACCTCTTTGTAATGCTTGCATTCAACTCATAGGTTTCAACATTCCCTATCATAGAGCAGGTTTGAAACACTCTTTTTGTAGTATGTGGAAGTGGACATTTGGAGCGCTTTGAGGCCTACCGTGAAAAAGGAAATATCTTCCCATAAAAACTAGACAGAAGCATTCTCAGAAACTTGTTTGTGACGTGTGTATTCAACTAACAGAGTTGAACCTTTCTTTTTACAGAGCAGCTTTGAAACCCTGTTTCTGTGGAATCTGCAATTGGAAATTTCGATGGTTCTGAGGATTTCGTTGGAAACGGGATTACAAATAGAAAGTAGACAGCAGCATTCTCAGAAACTGCTTTGTGATGTTTGCATTCAAGTCACCTAGTTGAACATTCCCTTTCATAGAGCAGGTTTGAATC
The DNA here is from genome assembly GCF_000001405.40 of Homo sapiens. Classification (NCBI taxonomy): domain Eukaryota; kingdom Metazoa; phylum Chordata; class Mammalia; order Primates; family Hominidae; genus Homo; species Homo sapiens. The sequence goes on from NC_000015.10 coordinate 19,191,559, forward strand.
ACTGTTTCTGTCGTATCTGGAAGTGGATATTTCGAGCGTTTTCAGGCCTAAGGTGAGAAAGGAAATGTCTTCAAATAAGAACTAGACAGAAGCATTCTCAGAAACTTATTTGTGATGTGTGTCCTCAACTCACAGAGTTCAACCTTTGTTTTGATACAGCAGTTTGGAAACACTCTTTTTGTAGAATCTACAAATGGATATTTGGAGACCTTTGAAAATTTCGTTGGACACGGGAATATCTTCATATAAAATCTAGACAAAAGCATTCTCAGAGTCTTCTTTGTGATGTTTGCATTCAACTCATAGAGTTGAACATTCCCTTTCATACAGCACGTTTGAAACACACTTTGTGGAGTATGTGGAAATGGACATTTCGAGCACTCTTAGGCCTAAGGTGAAAAGGGAAATATCTTCAAATAAAAACTAGTCAGCAGCATTCTCAGAAACCTCTTTGTGATGTGTGTACTCAACTAACAGAGTTGAACCTTCCTTTTCACAGAGCAGTTTGGAAACACTCTTTTTGTGGCATTTGCAAGTGGATATTTGGATAGCTTGAGGATTTCGTTGGAAACGGGAATATTTTCATATAAAATCTAGACAGAAGCATTCTCAGAATCTTCTTTGTGATGTATGCCCTCAATTCACAGAGTTGAACCTTTGTTTGGATACAGCATTTTGGAAACATTCCTTTTGTAGAATCTGCAAGTTGATATTTGGATAGCTTTGAGGATTTCGTTGGAAACGGGAATATCTACATATAAAATCTAGACAGAAGCATTCTCAGAAACCTCTTTGTAATGCTTGCATTCAACTCATAGGTTTCAACATTCCCTATCATAGAGCAGGTTTGAAACACTCTTTTTGTAGTATGTGGAAGTGGACATTTGGAGCGCTTTGAGGCCTACGGTGAAAAAGGAAATATCTTCCCATAAAAACTAGACAGAAGCATTCTCAGAAACTTGTTTGTGACGTGTGTATTCAACTAACAGAGTTGAACCTTTCTTTTTACAGAGCAGCTTTGAAACACGCTTTTTGTGGAATCTGCAATTGGAAATTTCGATAGTTCTGAGGATTTCGTTGGAAACGGGATTACAAATAGAAAGTAGACAGCAGCATTCTCAGAAACTGCTTTGTGATGTTTGCATTCAAGTCACCTAGTTGAACATTCCCTTTCATAGAGCAGGTTTGAATCACTGTTTCTGTCGTATCTGGAAGTGGATATTTCGAGCGTTTTCAGGCCTAAGGTGAGAAAGGAAATGTCTTCAAATAAGAACTAGACAGAAGCATTCTCAGAAACTTATTTGTGATGTGTGTCCTCAACTAACAGAGATGAACCTTTGTTTTGATACAGCAGTTTGGAAACACTCTTTTTGTAGAATCTACAAGAGGATATTTTGAGAGCATTGAAAATTTCGTTGGAAGCGGGAAAACCTTCATATAAAATCTAGACAGCAGCATTCTCAGAAACTTCTTTGTGATGTTTGCATTCAACTCATAGAGTTGAACATTCCCATTCATACAGCAGGTTTGAGACACTCTTTGTATAGCATGTGGAAATGGATATTTGGAGCGCTTTGAGGCCTATGGTGAAGAAGGAAATATCTTCCCAAAAAAACTAGACGAAAGCATTCTCAGAATCTTGTTTGCCATGTGTGTACTCAACTAACAGAGTTGAACCTATCTTTTGACAGAGCAGTTTTGAAACACTCTTTTTGTGGAATCTGCAAGTGGATATTTGGATAGCTTCGAGGATTTCGTTGGAAACGGGAATATCCTCATTTAAAATCTAGACGGAAGCATTCTCAGAACCTGCTTTGTGATGTTTGCATTCAACTCACAGAGCTGAACATTCCCGTTCATAGAGCAGGTTTGAAACACTCTTTCTGCACTATCTGGAAGTGGACATTTCGAGCGCTTTCAGGCCTATGGTGAAAAAGGAAACATCTTCAAATAAAAACTAGACAGAAGCATTCTCAGAAACTTATTTGTGATGTGTGTCCTCAACTCACAGAGTTCAACCTTTGTTTTGATACAGCAGTTTGGAAACACTCTTTTTGTAGAATCTACAAATGGATATTTGGAGACCTTTGAAAATTTCGTTGGACACGGGAATATCTTCATATAAAATCTAGACAAAAGCATTCTCAGAATCTTCTTTGTGATGTTTGCATTCAACTCATAGAGTTGAACATTCCCTTTCATACAGCACGTTTGAAACACACTTTGTGGAGTATGTGGAAATGGACATTTCGAGCACTCTTAGGCCTAAGGTGAAAAGGGAAATATCTTCAAATAAAAACTAGTCAGCAGCATTCTCAGAAACCTCTTTGTGATGTGTGTACTCAACTAACAGAGTTGAACCTTCCTTTTCACAGAGCAGTTTGGAAACACTCTTTTTGTGGCATTTGCAAGTGGATATTTGGATAGCTTTGAGGATTTCGTTGGAAACGGGAATATTTTCATATAAAATCTAGACAGAAGCATTCTCAGAATCTTCTTTGTGATGTATGCCCTCAATTCACAGAGTTGAACCTTTGTTTGGATACAGCATTTTGGAAACATTCCTTTTGTAGAATCTGCAAGTTGATATTTGGATAGCTTTGAGGATTTCGTTGGAAACGGGAATATCTACATATAAAATCTAGACAGAAGCATTCTCAGAAACCTCTTTGTAATGCTTGCATTCAACTCATAGGTTTCAACATTCCCTATCATAGAGCAGGTTTGAAACACTCTTTTTGTAGTATGTGGAAGTGGACATTTGGAGCGCTTTGAGGCCTACGGTGAAAAAGGAAATATCTTCCCATAAAAACTAGACAGAAGCATTCTCAGAAACTTGTTTGTGACGTGTGTATTCAACTAACAGAGTTGAACATTTCTTTTTACAGAGCAGCTTTGAAACACGCTTTTTGTGGATTCTGCAATTGGAAATTTTGATAGTTCTGAGGATTTCCTTGGAAACGGGATTACAAATAGAAAGTAGACAGCAGCATTCTCAGAAACTGCTTTGTGATGTTTGCATTCAAGTCACCTAGTTGAACATTTCCTTTCATAGAGCAGGTTTGAATCACTGTTTCTGTCGTATCTGGAAGTGGATATTTCGAGCGTTTTCAGGCCTAAGGTGAGAAAGGAAATGTCTTCAAATAAGAACTAGACAGAAGCATTCTCAGAAACTTATTTGTGATGTGTGTCCTCAACTAACAGAGTTGAACCTTTCTTTTGACACAGCAGTTTGGAAACACTGTTTTTGTAGAATCTACAAGTGGATATTTTGAGAGCATTGAAAATTTCGTTGGAAACGGGAAAACCTTCATATAAAATCTAGACGGAAGCATTCTCAGAAACTTCTTTGTAATGTTTGCATTCAACTCATAGAGTTGAACATTCCCTTTCATACAGCAGGTTTGAAACACTCTTTTTGTAGTATGTGGAAGTGGACATTTGGAGCGCTTTGAGGCCTACGGTGAAAAAGGAAATATCTTCCCATAAAAACTAGACAGAAGCATTCTCAGAAACTTGTTTGTGACGTGTGTATTCAACTAACAGAGTTGAACCTTTGTTTTTACAGAGCAGCTTTGAAACACGCTTTTTGTGGAATCTGCAATTGGAAATTTCGATAGTTCTGAGGATTTCGTTGGAAACGGGATTACAAATAGAAAGTAGACAGCAGCATTCTCAGAAACTTATTTGTGATGTGTGTCCTCAACTAACAGAGTTGAATCTTTGTTTTGACACAGCAGTTTGGAAACACTCTTTTTGTAGAATCTACAAGTGGATATTTTGAGAGCATTGAAAATTTCGTTGGAAGCGGGAAAACCTTCATATAAAATCTAGACAGAAGCATTCTCAGAAACTTCTTTGTAATGTTTGCATTCAACTCATAGAGTTGAACATTCCCTTTCATACAGCAGGTTTGAAACACTCTTTTTGTAGTATGTGGACGTGGACATTTGGAGCGCTTTGAGGCCTACGGTGAAAAAGGAAATATCTTCCCATAAAAACTAGACAGAAGCATTCTCAGAAACTTGTTTGTGACGTGTGTATTCAACTAACAGAGTTGAACCTTTCTTTTTACAGAGCAGCTTTGAAACCCTGTTTCTGTGGAATCTGCAATTGGAAATTTCGATAGTTCTGAGGATTTCGTTGGAAACGGGATTACAAATAGAAAGTAGACAGCAGCATTCTCAGAAACTGCTTTGTGATGTTTGCATTCAAGTCACCTAGTTGAACATTCCCTTTCATAGAGCAGGTTTGAATCACTGTTTCTGTCGTATCTGGAAGTGGATATTTCGAGCGTTTTCAGGCCTAAGGTGAGAAAGGAAATGTCTTCAAATAAGAACTAGACAGAAGCATTCTCAGAAACTTATTTGTGATGTGTGTCCTCAACTAACAGAGTTGAACCTTTTTTTTGACACAGCAGTTTGGAAACACTCTTTTTGTAGAATCTACAAGTGGATATTTTGAGAGCATTGAAAATTTCGTTGGAAACGGGAAAACCTTCATATAAAATCTAGACAGAAGCATTCTCAGAAACTTCTTTTTAATGTTTGCATTCAACTCATAGAGTTGAACATTCCCTTTCATACAGCAGGTTTGAAACACTCTTTTTGTAGTATGTGGAAGTGGACATTTGGAGCGCTTTGAGGCCTACGGTGAAAAAGGAAATATCTTCCCATAAAAACTAGACAGAAGCATTCTCAGAAACTTGTTTGTGACGTGTGTATTCAACTAACAGAGTTGAACCTTTCTTTTTACAGAGCAGCTTTGAAACCCTGTTTCTGTGGAATCTGCAATTGGAAATTTCGATAGTTCTGAGGATTTCGTTGGAAACGGGATTACAAATAGAAAGTAGACAGCAGCATTCTCAGAAACTGCTTTGTGATGTTTGCATTCAAGTCACATAGTTGAACATTCCCTTTCATAGAGCAGGTTTGAATCACTGTTTCTGTCGTATCTGGAAGTGGGTATTTCGAGCGCTTTCAGGCCTAAGGTGAGAAAGGAAATGTCTTCAAATAAGAACTAGACAGAAGCATTCTCAGAAACTTATTTGTGATGTGTGTCCTCAACTAACAGAGATGAACCTTTGTTTTGATACAGCAGTTTGGAAACACTCTTTTTGTAGAATCTACAAGAGGATATTTTGAGAGCATTGAAAATTTCGTTGGAAGCGGGAAAACCTTCATATAAAATCTAGACAGCAGCATTCTCAGAAACTTCTTTGTGATGTTTGCATTCAACTCATAGAGTTGAACATTCCCATTCATACAGCAGGTTTGAGACACTCTTTGTATAGCATGTGGAAATGGATATTTGGAGCGCTTTGAGGCCTATGGTGAAGAAGGAAATATCTTCCCAAAAAAACTAGACGAAAGCATTCTCGCAATCTTGTTTGCCATGTGTGTACTCAACTAACAGAGTTGAACCTATCTATCTTTTGACAGAGCAGTTTTGAAACACTCTTTCTGTGGAATCTGCAAGTGGATATTTGGATAGCTTCGAGGATTTCGTTGGAAACGGGAATATCCTCATTTAAAATCTAGACGGAAGCATTCTCAGAACCTGCTTTGTGATGTTTGCATTCAACTCACAGAGCTGAACATTCCCGTTCATAGAGCAGGTTTGAAACACTCTTTCTGTACTATCTGGAAGTGGACATTTCGAGCGCTTTCAGGCCTATGGTGAAAAAGGAAACATCTTCAAATAAAAACTAGACAGAAGCATTCTCAGAAACTTATTTGTGATGTGTGTCCTCAACTCACAGAGTTCAACCTTTGTTTTGATACAGCAGTTTGGAAACACTCTTTTTGTAGAATCTACAAATGGATATTTGGAGACCTTTGAAAATTTCGTTGGACACGGGAATATCTTCATATAAAATCTAGACAAAAGCATTCTCAGAATCTTCTTTGTGATGTTTGCATTCAACTCATAGAGTTGAACATTCCCTTTCATACAGCACGTTTGAAACACACTTTGTGGAGTATGTGGAAATGGACATTTCGAGCACTCTTAGGCCTAAGGTGAAAAGGGAAATATCTTCAAATAAAAACTAGTCAGCAGCATTCTCAGAAACCTCTTTGTGATGTGTGTACTCAACTAACAGAGTTGAACCTTCCTTTTCACAGAGCAGTTTGGAAACACTCTTTTTGTGGCATTTGCAAGTGGATATTTGGATAGCTTTGAGGATTTCGTTGGAAACGGGAATATTTTCATATAAAATCTAGACAGAAGCATTCTCAGAATCTTCTTTGTGATGTATGCCCTCAATTCACAGAGTTGAACCTTTGTTTGGATACAGCATTTTGGAAACATTCCTTTTGTAGAATCTGCAAGTTGATATTTGGATAGTTTTGAGGATTTCGTTGGAAACGGGAATATCTACATATAAAATCTAGACAGAAGCATTCTCAGAAACCTCTTTGTAATGCTTGCATTCAACTCATAGGTTTCAACATTCCCTATCATAGAGCAGGTTTGAAACACTCTTTTTGTTGTATGTGGAAGTGGACATTTGGAGCGCTTTGAGGCCTACGGTGAAAAAGGAAATATCTTCCCATAAAAACTAGACAGAAGCATTCTCAGAAACTTGTTTGTGACGTGTGTATTCAACTAACAGAGTTGAACCTTTCTTTTTTACAGAGCAGCTTTGAAACCCTGTTTCTGTGGAATCTGCAATTGGAAATTTCGATGGTTCTGAGGATTTCGTTGGAAACGGGATTACAAATAGAAAGTAGACAGCAGCATTCTCAGAAACTGCTTTGTGATGTTTGCATTCAAGTCACCTAGTTGAACATTCCCTTTCATAGAGCAGGTTTGAATCACTGTTTCTGTCGTATCTGGAAGTGGATATTTCGAGCGTTTTCAGGCCTAAGGTGAGAAAGGAAATGTCTTCAAATAAGAACTAGACAGAAGCATTCTCAGAAACTTATTTGTGATGTGTGTCCTCAACTAACAGAGTTGAACCTTTCTTTTGACACAGCAGTTTGGAAACACTCTTTTTGTAGAATCTACAAGTGGATATTTTGAGAGCATTGAAAATTTCGTTGGAAACGGGAAAATCTTCATATAAAATCTAGACAGAAGCATTCTCAGAAACTTCTTTGTAATGTTTGCATTCAACTCATAGAGTTGAACATTCCCTTTCATACAGCAGGTTTGAAACACTCTTTTTGTAGTATGTGGAAGTGGACATTTGGAGCGCTTTGAGGCCTACGGTGAAAAAGGAAATATCTTCCCATAAAAACTAGACAGAAGCATTCTCAGAAACTTGTTTGTGACGTGTGTATTCAACTAACAGAGTTGAACCTTTCTTTTTACAGAGCAGCTTTGAAACACGCTTTTTGTGGAATCTGCAATTGGAAATTTCGATAGTTCTGAGGATTTCGTTGGAAACGGGATTACAAATAGAAAGTAGACAGCAGCATTCTCAGAAACTGCTTTGTGATGTTTGCATTCAAGTCACCTAGTTGAACATTCCCTTTCATAGAGCAGGTTTGAATCACTGTTTCTGTCGTATCTGGAAGTGGATATTTCGAGCGCTTTCAGGCCTAAGGTGAGAAAGGAAATGTCTTCAAATAAGAACTAGACAGAAGCATTCTCAGAAACTTATTTGTGATGTGTGTCCTCAAATAACAGAGATGAACCTTTGTTTTGATACAGCAGTTTGGAAACACTCTTTTTGTAGAATCTACAAGAGGATATTTTGAGAGCATTGAAAATTTCGTTGGAAGCGGGAAAACCTTCATATAAAATCTAGACAGCAGCATTCTCAGAAACTTCTTTGTGATGTTTGCATTCAACTCATAGAGTTGAACATTCCCATTCATACAGCAGGTTTGAGACACTCTTTGTATAGCATGTGGAAATGGATATTTGGAGCGCTTTGAGGCCTATGGTGAAGAAGGAAATATCTTCCCAAAAAAACTAGACGAAAGCATTCTCGGAATCTTGTTTGCCATGTGTGTACTCAACTAACAGAGTTGAACCTGTCTTTTGACAGAGCAGTTTTGAAACACTCTTTTTGTGGAATCTGCAAGTGGATATTTGGATAGCTTCGAGGATTTCGTTGGAAACGGGAATATCCTCATTTAAAATCTAGACGGAAGCATTCTCAGAACCTGCTGTGTGATGTTTGCATTCAACTCACAGAGCTGAACATTCCCGTTCATAGAGCAGGTTTGAAACACTCTTTCTGTACTATCTGGAAGTGGACATTTCGAGCGCTTTCAGGCCTATGGTGAAAAAGGAAACATCTTCAAATAAAAACTAGACAGAAGCATTCTCAGAAACTTATTTGTGATGTGTGTCCTCAACTCACAGAGTTCAACCTTTGTTTTGATACAGCAGTTTGGAAACACTCTTTTTGTAGAATCTACAAATGGATATTTGGAGACCTTTGAAAATTTCGTTGGACACGGGAATATCTTCATATAAAATCTAGACAAAAGCATTCTCAGAGTCTTCTTTGTGATGTTTGCATTCAACTCATAGAGTTGAACATTCCCTTTCATACAGCACGTTTGAAACACACTTTGTGGAGTATGTGGAAATGGACATTTCGAGCACTCTTAGGCCTAAGGTGAAAAGGGAAATATCTTCAAATAAAAACTAGTCAGCAGCATTCTCAGAAACCTCTTTGTGATGTGTGTACTCAACTAACAGAGTTGAACCTTCCTTTTCACAGAGCAGTTTGGAAACACTCTTTTTGTGGCATTTGCAAGTGGATATTTGGATAGCTTTGAGGATTTCGTTGGAAACGGGAATATTTTCATATAAAATCTAGACAGAAGCATTCTCAGAATCTTCTTTGTGATGTATGCCCTCAATTCACAGAGTTGAACCTTTGTTTGGATACAGCATTTTGGAAACATTCCTTTTGTAGAATCTGCAAGTTGATATTTGGATAGCTTTGAGGATTTCGTTGGAAACGGGAATATCTACATATAAAATCTAGACAGAAGCATTCTCAGAAACCTCTTTGTAATGCTTGCATTCAACTCATAGGTTTCAACATTCCCTATCATAGAGCAGGTTTGAAACACTCTTTTTGTAGTATGTGGAAGTGGACATTTGGAGCGCTTTGAGGCCTACGGTGAAAAAGGAAATATCTTCCCATAAAAACTAGACAGAAGCATTCTCAGAAACTTGTTTGTGACGTGTGTATTCAACTAACAGAGTTGAACCTTTCTTTTTACAGAGCAGCTTTGAAACACGCTTTTTGTGGAATCTGCAATTGGAAATTTCGATAGTTCTGAGGATTTCGTTGGAAACGGGATTACAAATAGAAAGTAGACAGCAGCATTCTCAGAAACTGCTTTGTGATGTTTGCATTCAAGTCACCTAGTTGAACATTCCCTTTCATAGAGCAGGTTTGAATCACTGTTTCTGTCGTGTCTGGAAGTGGATATTTCGAGCGTTTTCAGGCCTAAGGTGAGAAAGGAAATGTCTTCAAATAAGAACTAGACAGAAGCATTCTCAGAAACTTATTTGTGATGTGTGTCCTCAACTAACAGAGATGAACCTTTGTTTTGATACAGCAGTTTGGAAACACTCTTTTTGTAGAATCTACAAGAGGATATTTTGAGAGCATTGAAAATTTCGTTGGAAGCGGGAAAACCTTCATATAAAATCTAGACAGCAGCATTCTCAGAAACTTCTTTGTGATGTTTGCATTCAACTCATAGAGGTGAACATTCCCATTCATACAGCAGGTTTGAGACACTCTTTGTATAGCATGTGGAAATGGATATTTGGAGCGCTTTGAGGCCTATGGTGAAGAAGGAAATATCTTCCCAAAAAAACTAGACGAAAGCATTCTCGCAATCTTGTTTGCCATGTGTGTACTCAACTAACAGAGTTGAACCTATCTTTTGACAGAGCAGTTTTGAAACACTCTTTTTGTGGAATCTGCAAGTGGATATTTGGATAGCTTCGAGGATTTCGTTGGAAACGGGAATATCCTCATTTAAAATCTAGACGGAAGCATTCTCGGAACCTGCTTTGTGATGTTTGCATTCAACTCACAGAGCTGAACATTCCCGTTCATAGAGCAGGTTTGAAACACTCTTTCTGTACTATCTGGAAGTGGACATTTCGAGCGCTTTCAGGCCTATGGTGAAAAAGGAAACATCTTCAAATAAAAACTAGACAGAAGCATTCTCAGAAACTTATTTGTGATGTGTGTCCTCAACTCACAGAGTTCAACCTTTGTTTTGATACAGCAGTTTGGAAACACTCTTTTTGTAGAATCTACAAATGGATATTTGGAGACCTTTGAAAATTTCGTTGGACACGGGAATATCTTCATATAAAATCTAGACAAAAGCATTCTCAGAGTCTTCTTTGTGATGTTTGCATTCAACTCATAGAGTTGAACATTCCCTTTCATACAGCACGTTTGAAACACACTTTGTGGAGTATGTGGAAATGGACATTTCGAGCACTCTTAGGCCTAAGGTGAAAAGGGAAATATCTTCAAATAAAAACTAGTCAGCAGCATTCTCAGAAACCTCTTTGTGATGTGTGTACTCAACTAACAGAGTTGAACCTTCCTTTTCACAGAGCAGTTTGGAAACACTCTTTTTGTGGCATTTGCAAGTGGATATTTGGATAGCTTTGAGGATTTCGTTGGAAACGGGAATATTTTCATATAAAATCTAGACAGAAGCATTCTCAGAATCTTCTTTGTGATGTATGCCCTCAATTCACAGAGTTGAACCTTTGTTTGGATACAGCATTTTGGAAACATTCCTTTTGTAGAATCTGCAAGTTGATATTTGGATAGCTTTGAGGATTTCGTTGGAAACGGGAATATCTACATATAAAATCTAGACAGAAGCATTCTCAGAAACCTCTTTGTAATGCTTGCATTCAACTCATAGGTTTCAACATTCCCTATCATAGAGCAGGTTTGAAACACTCTTTTTGTAGTATGTGGAAGTGGACATTTGGAGCGCTTTGAGGCCTACGGTGAAAAAGGAAATATCTTCCCATAAAAACTAGACAGAAGCATTCTCAGAAACTTGTTTGTGACGTGTGTATTCAACTAACAGAGTTGAACCTTTCTTTTTACAGAGCAGCTTTGAAACACGCTTTTTGTGGAATCTGCAATTGGAAATTTCGATAGTTCTGAGGATTTCGTTGGAAACGGGATTACAAATAGAAAGTAGACAGCAGCATTCTCAGAAACTGCTTTGTGATGTTTGCATTCAAGTCACCTAGTTGAACATTCCCTTTCATAGAGCAGGTTTGAATCACTGTTTCTGTCGTATCTGGAAGTGGATATTTCGAGCGTTTTCAGGCCTAAGGTGAGAAAGGAAATGTCTTCAAATAAGAACTAGACAGAAGCATTCTCAGAAACTTATTTGTGATGTGTGTCCTCAACTAACAGAGTTGAACCTTTCTTTTGACACAGCAGTTTGGAAACACTCTTTTTGTAGAATCTACAAGTGGATATTTTGAGAGCATTGAAAATTTCGTTGGAAACGGGAAAACCTTCATATAAAATCTAGACAGAAGCATTCTCAGAAACTTCTTTGTAATGTTTGCATTCAACTCATAGAGTTGAACATTCCCTTTCATACAGCAGGTTTGAAACACTCTTTTTGTAGTATGTGGAAGTGGACATTTGGAGCGCTTTGAGGCCTACGGTGAAAAAGGAAATATCTTCCCATAAAAACTAGACAGAAGCAATCTCAGAAACTTGTTTGTGACGTGTGTATTCAACTACCAGAGTTGAACCTTTCTTTTTACAGAGCAGCTTTGAAACCCTGTTTCTGTGGAATCTGCAATTGGAAATTTCGATAGTTCTGAGGATTTCGTTGGAAACGGGATTACAAATAGAAAGTAGACAGCAGCATTCTCAGAAACTGCTTTGTGATGTTTGCATTCAAGTCACCTAGTTGAACATTCCCTTTCATAGAGCAGGTTTGAATCACAGTTTCTGTCGTATCTGAAAGTGGATATTTCGAGCATTTTCAGGCCTAAGGTGAGAAAGGAAATGTCTTCAAATAAGAACTAGACAGAAGCATTCTCAGAAACTTATTTGTGATGTATGTCCTCAACTAACAGAGATGAACCTTTGTTTTGATACAGCAGTTTGGAAACACTCTTTTTGTAGAATCTACAAGAGGATATTTTGAGAGCATTGAAAATTTCGTTGGAAGCGGGAAAACCTTCATATAAAATCTAGACAGCAGCATTCTCAGAAACTTCTTTGTGATGTTTGCATTCAACTCATAGAGTTGAACATTCCCATTCATACAGCAGGTTTGAGACACTCTTTGTATAGCATGTGGAAATGGATATTTGGAGCGCTTTGAGGCCTATGGTGAAGAAGGAAATATCTTCCCCAAAAAACTAGACGAAAGCATTCTCGGAATCTTGTTTGCCATGTGTGTACTCAACTAACAGAGTTGAACCTATCTTTTGACAGAGCAGTTTTGAAACACTCTTTTTGTGGAATCTGCAAGTGGATATTTGGATAGCTTCGAGGATTTCGTTGGAAACGGGAATATCCTCATTTAAAATCTAGACGGAAGCATTCTCAGAACCTGCTTTGTGATGTTTGCATTCAACTCACAGAGCTGAACATTCCCGTTCATAGAGCAGGTTTGAAACACTCTTTCTGTACTATCTGGAAGTGGACATTTCGAGCGCTTTCAGGCCTATGGTGAAAAAGGAAACATCTTCAAATAAAAACTAGACAGAAAGCATTCTCAGAAACTTATTTGTGATGTGTGTCCTCAACTCACAGAGTTCAACCTTTGTTTTGATACAGCAGTTTGGAAACACTCTTTTTGTAGAATCTACAAATGGATATTTGGAGACCTTTGAAAATTTCGTTGGACACGGGAATATCTTCATATAAAATCTAGACAAAGCATTCTCAGAATCTTCTTTGTGATGTTTGCATTCAACTCATAGAGTTGAACATTCCCTTTCATACAGCACGTTTGAAACACACTTTGTGGAGTATGTGGAAATGGACATTTCGAGCACTCTTAGGCCTAAGGTGAAAAGGGAAATATCTTCAAATAAAAACTAGTCAGCAGCATTCTCAGAAACCTCTTTGTGATGTGTGTACTCAACTAACAGAGTTGAACCTTCCTTTTCACAGAGCAGTTTGGAAACACTCTTTTTGTGGCATTTGCAAGTGGATATTTGGATAGCTTTGAGGATTTCGTTGGAAACGGGAATATTTTCATATAAAATCTAGACAGAAGCATTCTCAGAATCTTCTTTGTGATGTATGCCCTCAATTCACAGAGTTGAACCTTTGTTTGGATACAGCATTTTGGAAACATTCCTTTTGTAGAATCTGCAAGTTGATATTTGGATAGTTTGAGGATTTCGTTGGAAACGGGAATATCTACATATAAAATCTAGACAGAAGCATTCTCAGAAACCTCTTTGTAATGCTTGCATTCAACTCATAGGTTTCAACATTCCCTATCATAGAGCAGGTTTGAAACACTCTTTTTGTAGTATGTGGAAGTGGACATTTGGAGCGCTTTGAGGCCTACGGTGAAAAAGGAAATATCTTCCCATAAAAACTAGACAGAAGCATTCTCAGAAACTTGTTTGTGACGTGTGTATTCAACTAACAGAGTTGAACCTTTCTTTTTACAGAGCAGCTTTGAAACACGCTTTTTGTGGAATCTGCAATTGGAAATTTCGATAGTTCTGAGGATTTCGTTGGAAACGGGATTACAAATAGAAAGTAGACAGCAGCATTCTCAGAAACTGCTTTGTGGATGTTTGCATTCAAGTCACCTAGTTGAACATTCCCTTTCATAGAGCAGGTTTGAATCACTGTTTCTGTCGTATCTGGAAGTGGATATTTCGAGCGTTTTCAGGCCTAAGGTGAGAAAGGAAATGTCTTCAAATAAGAACTAGACAGAAGCATTCTCAGAAACTTATTTGTGATGTGTGTCCTCAACTAACAGAGTTGAACCTTTCTTTTGACACAGCAGTTTGGAAACACTCTTTTTGTAGAATCTACAAGTGGATATTTTGAGAGCATTGAAAATTTCGTTGGAAACGGGAAAACCTTCATATAAAATCTAGACAGAAGCATTCTCAGAAACTTCTTTGTAATGTTTGCATTCAACTCATAGAGTTGAACATTCCCTTTCATACAGCAGGTTTGAAACACTCTTTTTGTAGTATGTGGAAGTGGACATTTGGAGCGCTTTGAGGCCTACGGTGAAAAAGGAAATATCTTCCCATAAAAACTAGACAGAAGCATTCTCAGAAACTTGTTTGTGACGTGTGTATTCAACTAACAGAGTTGAACCTTTCTTTTTACAGAGCAGCTTTGAAACACGCTTTTTGTGGAATCTGCAATTGGAAATTTCGATAGTTCTGAGGATTTCGTTGGAAACGGGATTACAAATAGAAAGTAGACAGCAGCATTCTCAGAAACTGCTTTGTGATGTTTGCATTCAAGTCACCTAGTTGAACATGCCCTTTCATAGAGCAGGTTTGAATCACTGTTTCTGTCGTATCTGGAAGTGGATATTTCGAGCGTTTTCAGGCCTAAGGTGAGAAAGGAAATGTCTTCAAATAAGAACTAGACAGAAGCATTCTCAGAAACTTATTTGTGATGTGTGTCCTCAACTAACAGAGATGAACCTTTGTTTTGATACAGCAGTTTGGAAACACTCTTTTTGTAGAATCTACAAGAGGATATTTTGAGAGCATTGAAAATTTCGTTGGAAGCGGGAAAACCTTCATATAAAATCTAGACAGCAGCATTCTCAGAAACTTCTTTGTGATGTTTGCATTCAACTCATAGAGTTGAACATTCCCATTCATACAGCAGGTTTGAGACACTCTTTGTATAGCCTGTGGAAATGGATATTTGGAGCGCTTTGAGGCCTATGGTGAAGAAGGAAATATCTTCCCAAAAAAACTAGACGAAAGCATTCTCGGAATCTTGTTTGCCATGTGTGTACTCAACTAACAGAGTTGAACCTATCTTTTGACAGAGCAGTTTTGAAACACTCTTTTTGTGGAATCTGCAAGTGGATATTTGGATAGCTTCGAGGATTTCGTTGGAAACGGGAATATCCTCATTTAAAATCTAGACGGAAGCATTCTCAGAACCTGCTTTGTGATGTTTGCATTCAACTCACAGAGCTGAACATTCCCGTTCACAGTGCAGGTTTGAAACCCTCTTTCTGTACTATCTGGAAGTGGACATTTCGAGCGCTTTCAGGCCTATGGTGAAAAAGGAAACATCTTCAAATAAAAACTAGACAGAAGCATTCTCAGAAACTTATTTGTGATGTGTGTCCTCAACTCACAGAGTTCAACCTTTGTTTTGATACAGCAGTTTGGAAACACTCTTTTTGTAGAATCTACAAATGGATATTTGGAGACCTTTGAAAATTTCGTTGGACACGGGAATATCTTCATATAAAATCTAGACAAAAGCATTCTCAGAATCTTCTTTGTGATGTTTGCATTCAACTCATAGAGTTGAACATTCCCTTTCATACAGCAAGTTTGAAACACACTTTGTGGAGTATGTGGAAATGGACATTTCGAGCACTCTTAGGCCTAAGGTGAAAAGGGAAATATCTTCAAATAAAAACTAGTCAGCAGCATTCTCAGAAACCTCTTTGTGATGTGTGTACTCAACTAACAGAGTTGAACCTTCCTTTTCACAGAGCAGTTTGGAAACACTCTTTTTGTGGCATTTGCAAGTGGATATTTGGATAGCTTTGAGGATTTCGTTGGAAACGGGAATATTTTCATATAAAATCTAGACAGAAGCATTCTCAGAATCTTCTTTGTGATGTATTCCCTCAATTCACAGAGTTGAACCTTTGTTTGGATACAGCATTTTGGAAACATTCCTTTTGTAGAATCTGCAAGTTGATATTTGGATAGCTTTGAGGATTTCGTTGGAAACGGGAATATCTACATATAAAATCTAGACAGAAGCATTCTCAGAAACCTCTTTGTAATGCTTGCATTCAACTCATAGGTTTCAACATTCCCTATCATAGAGCAGGTTTGAAACACTCTTTTTGTAGTATGTGGAAGTGGACATTTGGAGCGCTTTGAGGCCTACCGTGAAAAAGGAAATATCTTCCCATAAAAACTAGACAGAAGCATTCTCAGAAACTTGTTTGTGACGTGTGTATTCAACTAACAGAGTTGAACCTTTCTTTTTACAGAGCAGCTTTGAAACACGCTTTTTGTGGAATCTGCAATTGGAAATTTCGATAGTTCTGAGGATTTCGTTGGAAACGGGATTACAAATAGAAAGTAGACAGCAGCATTCTCAGAAACTGCTTTGTGATGTTTGCATTCAAGTCACCTAGTTGAACATTCCCTTTCATAGAGCAGGTTTGAATCACTGTTTCTGTCGTATCTGGAAGTGGATATTTCGAGCGTTTTCAGGCCTAAGGTGAGAAAGGAAATGTCTTCAAATAAGAACTAGACAGAAGCATTCTCAGAAACTTATTTGTGATGTGTGTCCTCAACTAACAGAGTTGAACCTTTCTTTTGACACAGCAGTTTGGAAACACTCTTTTTGTAGAATCTACAAGTGGATATTTTGAGAGCATTGAAAATTTCGTTGGAAACGGGAAAACCTTCATATAAAATCTAGACAGAAGCATTCTCAGAAACTTCTTTGTAATGTTTGCATTCGACTCATAGAGTTGAACATTCCCTTTCATACAGCAGGTTTGAAACACCCTTTTTGTAGTATGTGGAAGTGGACATTTGGAGCGCTTTGAGGCCTACGGTGAAAAAGGAAATATCTTCCCATAAAAACTAGACAGAAGCATTCTCAGAAACTTGTTTGTGACGTGTGTATTCAACTAACAGAGTTGAACCTTTCTTTTTACAGAGCAGCTTTGAAACCCTGTTTCTGTGGAATCTGCAATTGGAAATTTCGATAGTTCTGAGGATTTCGTTGGAAACGGGATTACAAATAGAAAGTAGACAGCAGCATTCTCAGAAACTGCTTTGTGATGTTTGCATTCAAGTCACATAGTTGAACATTCCCTTTCATAGAGCAGGTTTGAATCACTGTTTCTGTAGTATCTGGAAGTGGGTATTTCGAGCGCTTTCAGGCCTAAGGTGAGAAAGGAAATGTCTTCAAATAAGAACTAGACAGAAGCATTCTCAGAAACTTATTTGTGATGTGTGTCCTCAACTAACAGAGATGAACCTTTGTTTTGATACAGCAGTTTGGAAACACTCTTTTTGTAGAATCTACAAGAGGATATTTTGAGAGCATTGAAAATTTCGTTGGAAGCGGGAAAACCTTCATATAAAATACTAGACAGCAAGCATTCTCAGAAACTTCTTTGTGATGTTTGCATTCAACTCATAGAGTTGAACTTTCCCATTCATACAGCAGGTTTGAGACACTCTTTGTATAGCATGCGGAAATGGATATTTGGAGCGCTTTGAGGACTATGGTGAAGAAGGAAATATCTTCCCAAAAAAACTAGACGAAAGCATTCTCGGAATCTTGTTTGCCATGTGTGTACTCAACTAACAGAGTTGAACCTATCTTTTGAGAGAGCAGTTTTGAAACACTCTTTCTGTGGAATCTGCAAGTGGATATTTGGATAGCTTCGAGGATTTCGTTGGAAACGGGAATATCCTCATTTAAAATCTAGACGGAAGCATTCTCAGAACCTGCTTTGTGATGTTTGCATTCAACTCACAGAACTGAACATTCCCGTTCATAGAGCAGGTTTGAAACACTCTTTCTGTACTATCTGGAAGTGGACATTTCGAGCGCTTTCAGGCCTATGGTGAAAAAGGAAACATCTTCAAATAAAAACTAGACAGAAGCATTCTCAGAAACTTATTTGTGATGTGTGTCCTCAACTCACAGAGTTCAACCTTTGTTTTGATACAGCAGTTTGGAAACACTCTTTTTGTAGAATCTACAAATGGATATTTGGAGACCTTTGAAAATTTCGTTGGACACGGGAATATCTTCATATAAAATCTAGACAAAAGCATTCTCAGAATCTTCTTTGTGATGTTTGCATTCAACTCATAGAGTTGAACATTCCCTTTCATACAGCACGTTTGAAACACACTTTGTGGAGTATGTGGAAATGGACATTTCGAGCACTCTTAGGCCTAAGGTGAAAAGGGAAATATCTTCAAATAAAAACTAGTCAGCAGCATTCTCAGAAACCTCTTTGTGATGTGTGTACTCAACTAACAGAGTTGAACCTTCCTTTTCACAGAGCAGTTTGGAAACACTCTTTTTGTGGCATTTGCAAGTGGATATTTGGATAGCTTTGAGGATTTCGTTGGAAACGGGAATATTTTCATATAAAATCTAGACAGAAGCATTCTCAGAATCTTCTTTGTGATGTATGCCCTCAATTCACAGAGTTGAACCTTTGTTTGGATACAGCATTTTGGAAACATTCCTTTTGTAGAATCTGCAAGTTGATATTTGGATAGCTTTGAGGATTTCGATGGAAACGGGAATATCTACATATAAAATCTAGACAGAAGCATTCTCAGAAACCTCTTTGTAATGCTTGCATTCAACTCATAGGTTTCAACATTCCCTATCATAGAGCAGGTTTGAAACACTCTTTTTGTAGTATGTGGAAGTGGACATTTGGAGCGCTTTGAGGCCTACCGTGAAAAAGGAAATATCTTCCCATAAAAACTAGACAGAAGCATTCTCAGAAACTTGTTTGTGACGTGTGTATTCAACTAACAGAGTTGAACCTTTCTTTTTACAGAGCAGCTTTGAAACACGCTTTTTGTGGAATCTGCAATTGGAAATTTTGATAGTTCTGAGGATTTCGTTGGAAACGGGATTACAAATAGAAAGTAGACAGCAGCATTCTCAGAAACTGCTTTGTGATGTTTGCATTCAAGTCACCTAGTTGAACATTCCCTTTCATAGAGCAGGTTTGAATCACTGCTTCTGTCGTATCTGGAAGTGGATATTTCGAGCGTTTTCAGGCCTAAGGTGAGAAAGGAAATGTCTTCAAATAAGAACTAGACAGAAGCATTCTCAGAAACTTATTTGTGATGTGTGTCCTCAACTAACAGAGTTGAACCTTTCTTTTGACACAGCAGTTTGGAAACACTCTTTTTGTAGAATCTACAAGTGGATATTTTGAGAGCATTGAAAATTTCGTTGGAAACGGGAAAACCTTCATATAAAATCTAGACAGAAGCATTCTCAGAAACTTCTTTGTAATGTTTGCATTCAACTCATAGAGTTGAACATTCCCTTTCATACAGCAGGTTTGAAACACTCTTTTTGTAGTATGTGGAAGTGGACATTTGGAGCGCTTTGAGGCCTACGGTGAAAAAGGAAATATCTTCCCATAAAAACTAGACAGAAGCATTCTCAGAAACTTGTTTGTGACGTGTGTATTCAACTAACAGAGTTGAACCTTTCTTTTTACAGAGCAGCTTTGAAACCCTGTTTCTGTGGAATCTGCAATTGGAAATTTCGATAGTTGCTGAGGATTTCGTTGGAAACGGGATTACAAATAGAAAGTAGACAGCAAGCATTCTCAGAAACTGCTTTGTGATGTTTGCATTCAAGTCACCTAGTTGAACATTCCCTTTCATAGAGCAGGTTTGAATCACTGTTTCTGTAGTATCTGGAAGTGGGTATTTCGAGCGCTTTCAGGCCTAAGGTGAGAAAGGAAATGTCTTCAAATAAGAACTAGACAGAAGCATTCTCAGAAACTTATTTGTGATGTGTGTCCTCAACTAACAGAGATGAACCTTTGTTTTGATACAGCAGTTTGGAAACACTCTTTTTGTAGAATCTACAGGAGGATATTTTGAGAGCATTGAAAATTTCGTTGGAAGCGGGAAAACCTTCATATAAAATCTAGACAGCAGCATTCTCAGAAACTTCTTTGTGATGTTTGCATTCAACTCATAGAGTTGAACATTCCCATTCATACAGCAGGTTTGAGACACTCTTTGTATAGCATGTGGAAATGGATATTTGGAGCGCTTTGAGGCCTATGGTGAAGAAGGAAATATCTTCCCAAAAAAACTAGACGAAAGCATTCTCGCAATCTTGTTTGCCATGTCTGTACTCAACTAACAGAGTTGAACCTATCTTTTGACAGAGCAGTTTTGAAACACTCTTTTTGTGGAATCTGCAAGTGGATATTTGGATAGCTTCGAGGATTTCGTTGGAAACGGGAATATCCTCATTTAAAATCTAGACGGAAGCATTCTCAGAACCTGCTTTGTGATGTTTGCATTCAACTCACAGAGCTGAACATTCCCGTTCATAGAGCAGGTTTGAAACACTCTTTCTGTACTATCTGGAAGTGGACATTTCGAGCGCTTTCAGGCCTATGGTGAAAAAGGAAACATCTTCAAATAAAAACTAGACAGAAGCATTCTCAGAAACTTATTTGTGATGTGTGTCCTCAACTCACAGAGTTCAACCTTTGTTTTGATACAGCAGTTTGGAAACACTCTTTTTGTAGAATCTACAAATGGATATTTGGAGACCTTTGAAAATTTCGTTGGACACGGGAATATCTTCATATAAAATCTAGACAAAAGCATTCTCAGAATCTTCTTTGTGATGTTTGCATTCAACTCATAGAGTTGAACATTCCCTTTCATACAGCACGTTTGAAACACACTTTGTGGAGTATGTGGAAATGGACATTTCGAGCACTCTTAGGCCTAAGGTGAAAAGGGAAATATCTTCAAATAAAAACTAGTCAGCAGCATTCTCAGAAACCTCTTTGTGATGTGTGTACTCAACTAACAGAGTTGAACCTTCCTTTTCACAGAGCAGTTTGGAAACACTCTTTTTGTGGCATTTGCAAGTGGATATTTGGATAGCTTTGAGGATTTCGTTGGAAACGGGAATATTTTCATATAAAATCTAGACAGAAGCATTCTCAGAATCTTCTTTGTGATGTATGCCCTCAATTCACAGAGTTGAACCTTTGTTTGTATACAGCATTTTGGAAACATTCCTTTTGTAGAATCTGCAAGTTGATATTTGGATAGCTTTGAGGATTTCGTTGGAAACGGGAATATCTACATATAAAATCTAGACAGAAGCATTCTCAGAAACCTCTTTGTAATGCTTGCATTCAACTCATAGGTTTCAACATTCCCTATCATAGAGCAGGTTTGAAACACTCTTTTTGTAGTATGTGGAAGTGGACATTTGGAGCGCTTTGAGGCCTACGGTGAAAAAGGAAATATCTTCCCATAAAAACTAGACAGAAGCATTCTCAGAAACTTGTTTGTGACGTGTGTATTCAACTAACAGTAGTTGAACCTTTCTTTTTACAGAGCAGCTTTGAAACCCTGTTTCTGTGGAATCTGCAATTGGAAATTTCGATAGTTCTGAGGATTTCGTTGGAAACGGGATTACAAATAGAAAGTAGACAGCAGCATTCTCAGAAACTGCTTTGTGATGTTTGCATTCAAGTCACCTAGTTGAACATTCCCTTTCATAGAGCAGGTTTGAATCACTGTTTCTGTCGTATCTGGAAGTGGATATTTCGAGCGTTTTCAGGCCTAAGGTGAGAAAGGAAATGTCTTCAAATAAGAACTAGACAGAAGCATTCTCAGAAACTTATTTGTGATGTGTGTCCTCAACTAACAGAGTTGAACCTTTCTTTTGACACAGCAGTTTGGAAACACTCTTTTTGTAGAATCTACAAGTGGATATTTTGAGAGCATTGAAAATTTCGTTGGAAACGGGAAAACCTTCATATAAAATCTAGACAGAAGCATTCTCAGAAACTTCTTTGTAATGTTTGCATTCAACTCATAGAGTTGAACATTCCCTTTCATACAGCAGGTTTGAAACACTCTTTTTGTAGTATGTGGAAGTGGACATTTGGAGCGCTTTGAGGCCTACGGTGAAAAAGGAAATATCTTCCCATAAAAACTAGACAGAAGCATTCTCAGAAACTTGTTTGTGACGTGTGTATTCAACTAACAGAGTTGAACCTTTCTTTTTACAGAGCAGCTTTGAAACCCTGTTTCTGTGGAATCTGCAATTGGAAATTTCGATAGTTCTGAGGATTTCGTTGGAAACGGGATTACAAATAGAAAGTAGACAGCAGCATTCTCAGAAACTGCTTTGTGATGTTTGCATTCAACTCATAGAGTTGAACATTCCCATTCATACAGCAGGTTTGAGACACTCTTTGTATAGCATGTGGAAATGGATATTTGGAGCGCTTTGAGGCCTATGGTGAAGAAGGAAATATCTTCCCAAAAAAACTAGACGAAAGCATTCTCGCAATCTTGTTTGCCATGTGTGTACTCAACTAACAGAGTTGAACCTATCTTTTGACAGAGCAGTTTTGAAACACTCTTTTTGTGGAATCTGCAAGTGGATATTTGGATAGCTTCGAGGATTTCGTTGGAAACGGGAATATCCTCATTTAAAATCTAGACGGAAGCATTCTCAGAACCTGCTTTGTGATGTTTGCATTCAACTCACAGAGCTGAACATTCCCGTTCATAGAGCAGGTTTGAAACACTCTTTCTGTACTATCTGGAAGTGGACATTTCGAGCGCTTTCAGGCCTATGGTGAAAAAGGAAACATCTTCAAATAAAAACTAGACAGAAGCATTCTCAGAAACTTATTTGTGATGTGTGTCCTCAACTCACAGAGTTCAACCTTTGTTTTGATACAGCAGTTTGGAAACACTCTTTTTGTAGAATCTACAAATGGATATTTGGAGACCTTTGAAAATTTCGTTGGACACGGGAATATCTTCATATAAAATCTAGACAAAAGCATTCTCAGAATCTTCTTTGTGATGTTTGCATTCAACTCATAGAGTTGAACATTCCCTTTCATACAGCACGTTTGAAACACACTTTGTGGAGTATGTGGAAATGGACATTTCGAGCACTCCTTAGGCCTAAGGTGAAAAGGGAAATATCTTCAAATAAAAACTAGTCAGCAGCATTCTCAGAAACCTCTTTGTGATGTGTGTACTCAACTAACAGAGTTGAACCTTCCTTTTCACAGAGCAGTTTGGAAACACTCTTTTTGTGGCATTTGCAAGTGGATATTTGGATAGCTTTGAGGATTTCGTTGGAAACGGGAATATTTTCATATAAAATCTAGACAGAAGCATTCTCAGAATCTTCTTTGTGATGTATGCCCTCAATTCACAGAGTTGAACCTTCGTTTGGATACAGCATTTTGGAAACATTCCTTTTGTAGAATCTGCAAGTTGATATTTGGATAGCTTTGAGGATTTCGTTGGAAACGGGAATATCTACATATAAAATCTAGACAGAAGCATTCTCAGAAACCTCTTTGTAATGCTTGCATTCAACTCATAGGTTTCAACATTCCCTATCATAGAGCAGGTTTGAAACACTCTTTTTGTAGTATGTGGAAGTGGACATTTGGAGCGCTTTGAGGCCTACGGTGAAAAAGGAAATATCTTCCCATAAAAACTAGACAGAAGCATTCTCAGAAACTTGTTTGTGACGTGTGTATTCAACTAACAGAGTTGAACCTTTCTTTTTACAGAGCAGCTTTGAAACACGCTTTTTGTGGAATCTGCAATTGGAAATTTGGATAGTTCTGAGGATTTCGTTGGAAACGGGATTACAAATAGAAAGTAGACAGCAGCATTCTCAGAAACTGCTTTGTGATGTTTGCATTCAAGTCACCTAGTTGAACATTCCCTTTCATAGAGCAGGTTTGAATCACTGTTTCTGTCGTATCTGGAAGTGGATATTTCGAGCGTTTTCAGGCCTAAGGTGAGAAAGGAAATGTCTTCAAATAAGAACTAGACAGAAGCATTCTCAGAAACTTATTTGTGATGTGTGTCCTCAACTAACAGAGTTGAACCTTTCTTTTGACACAGCAGTTTGGAAACACTCTTTTTGTAGAATCTACAAGTGGATATTTTGAGAGCATTGAAAATTTCGTTGGAAACGGGAAAACCTTCATATAAAATCTAGACCGAAGCATTCTCAGAAACTTCTTTGTAATGTTTGCATTCAACTCATAGAGTTGAACATTCCCTTTCATACAGCAGGTTTGAAACACTCTTTTTGTAGTATGTGGAAGTGGACATTTGGAGCGCTTTGAGGCCTACGGTGAAAAAGGAAATATCTTCCCATAAAAACTAGACAGAAGCATTCTCAGAAACTTGTTTGTGACGTGTGTATTCAACTAACAGAGTTGAACCTTTCTTTTTACAGAGCAGCTTTGAAACACGCTTTTTGTGGAATCTGCAATTGGAAATTTCGATAGTTCTGAGGATTTCGTTGGAAACGGGATTACAAATAGAAAGTAGACAGCAGCATTCTCAGAAACTGCTTTGTGATGTTTGCATTCAAGTCACCTAGTTGAACATTCCCTTTCATAGAGCAGGTTTGAATCACTGTTTCTGTCGTATCTAGAAGTGGATATTTCGAGCGTTTTCAGGCCTAAGGTGAGAAAGGAAATGTCTTCAAATAAGAACTAGACAGAAAGCATTCTCAGAAACTTATTTGTGATGTGTGTCCTCAACTAACAGAGTTGAACCTTTGTTTTGATACAGCAGTTTGGAAACACTCTTTTTGTAGAATCTACAAGTGGATATTTTGAGAGCATTTTAAATTTCGTTGGAAGCGGGAAAACCTTCATATAAAATCTAGACAGCAGCATTCTCAGAAACTTCTTTGTAATGTTTGCATTCAACTCATAGAGTTGAACATTCCCTTTCATACAGCAGGTTTGAAACACTCTTTTTGTAGTATGTGGAAGTGGACATTTGGAGCGCTTTGAGGCCTACGGTGAAAAAGGAAATATCTTCCCATAAAAACTAGACAGAAGCATTCTCAGAAACTTGTTTGTGACGTGTGTATTCAACTAACAGAGTTGAACATTTCTTTTTACAGAGCAGCTTTGAAACCCTGTTTTTGTGGAATCTGCAATTGGAAATTTCGATAGTTCTGAGGATTTCGTTGGAAACGGGATTACAAATAGAAAGTAGACAGCAGCATTCTCAGAAACTGCTTTGTGATGTTTGCATTCAAGTCACATAGTTGAACATTCCCTTTCATAGAGCAGGTTTGAATCACTGTTTCTGTAGTATCTGGAAGTGGGTATTTCGAGCGCTTTCAGGCCTAAGGTGAGAAAGGAAATGTCTTCAAATAAGAACTAGACAGAAGCATTCTCAGAAACTTATTTGTGATGTGTGTCCTCAACTAACAGAGATGAACCTTTGTTTTGATACAGCAGTTTGGAAACACTCTTTTTGTAGAATCTACAAGAGGATATTTTGAGAGCATTGAAAATTTCGTTGGAAGCGGGAAAACCTTCATATAAAATCTAGACAGCAGCATTCTCAGAAACTTC
The DNA here is from genome assembly GCF_000001405.40 of Homo sapiens. NCBI lineage: Eukaryota > Metazoa > Chordata > Mammalia > Primates > Hominidae > Homo > Homo sapiens. Next base: position 19,216,902 of record NC_000015.10, read on the forward strand.
TTTGTGATGTTTGCATTCAACTCATAGAGTTGAACATTCCCATTCATACAGCAGGTTTGAGACACTCTTTGTATAGCATGTGGAAATGGATATTTGGAGCGCTTTGAGGCCTATGGTGAAGAAGGAAATATCTTCCCAAAAAAACTAGACGAAAGCATTCTCGCAATCTTGTTTGCCATGTGTGTACTCAACTAACAGAGTTGAACCTATCTTTTGACAGAGCAGTTTTGAAACACTCTTTTTGTGGAATCTGCAAGTGGATATTTGGATAGCTTCGAGGATTTCGTTGGAAACGGGAATATCCTCATTTAAAATCTAGACGGAAGCATTCTCAGAACCTGCTTTGTGATGTTTGCATTCAACTCACAGAGCTGAACATTCCCGTTCATAGAGCACGTTTGAAACACTCTTTCTGTACTATCTGGAAGTGGACATTTCGAGCGCTTTCAGGCCTATGGTGAAAAAGGAAACATCTTCAAATAAAAACTAGACAGAAGCATTCTCAGAAACTTATTTGTGATGTGTGTCCTCAACTCACAGAGTTCAACCTTTGTTTTGATACAGCAGTTTGGAAACACTCTTTTTGTAGAATCTACAAATGGATATTTGGAGACCTTTGAAAATTTCGTTGGACACGGGAATATCTTCATATAAAATCTAGACAAAAGCATTCTCAGAATCTTCTTTGTGATGTTTGCATTCAACTCATAGAGTTGAACGTTCCCTTTCATACAGCACGTTTGAAACACACTTTGTGGAGTATGTGGAAATGGACATTTCGAGCACTCTTAGGCCTAAGGTGAAAAGGGAAATATCTTCAAATAAAAACTAGTCAGCAGCATTCTCAGAAACCTCTTTGTGATGTGTGTACTCAACTAACAGAGTTGAACCTTCCTTTTCACAGAGCAGTTTGGAAACACTCTTTTTGTGGCATTTGCAAGTGGATATTTGGATAGCTTTGAGGATTTCGTTGGAAACGGGAATATTTTCATATAAAATCTAGACAGAAGCATTCTCAGAATCTTCTTTGTGATGTATGCCCTCAATTCACAGAGTTGAACCTTTGTTTGGATACAGCATTTTGGAAACATTCCTTTTGTAGAATCTGCAAGTTGATATTTGGATAGCTTTGAGGATTTCGTTGGAAACGGGAATATCTACATATAAAATCTAGACAGAAGCATTCTCAGAAACCTCTTTGTAATGCTTGCATTCAACTCATAGGTTTCAACATTCCCTATCATAGAGCAGGTTTGAAACACTCTTTTTGTAGTATGTGGAAGTGGACATTTGGAGCGCTTTGAGGCCTACGGTGAAAAAGGAAATATCTTCCCATAAAAACTAGACAGAAGCATTCTCAGAAACTTGTTTGTGACGTGTGTATTCAACTAACAGAGTTGAACCTTTCTTTTTACAGAGCAGCTTTGAAACACGCTTTTTGTGGAATCTGCAATTGGAAATTTCGATAGTTCTGAGGATTTCGTTGGAAACGGGATTACAAATAGAAAGTAGACAGCAGCATTCTCAGAAACTGCTTTGTGATGTTTGCATTCAAGTCACCTAGTTGAACATTCCCTTTCATAGAGCAGGTTTGAATCACTGTTTCTGTCGTATCTGGAAGTGGATATTTCGAGCGTTTTCAGGCCTAAGGTGAGAAAGGAAATGTCTTCAAATAAGAACTAGACAGAAGCATTCTCAGAAACTTATTTGTGATGTGTGTCCTCAACTAACAGAGTTGAACCTTTCTTTTGACACAGCAGTTTGGAAACACTCTTTTTGTAGAATCTACAAGTGGATATTTTGAGAGCATTGAAAATTTCGTTGGAAACGGGAAAACCTTCATATAAAATCTAGACAGAAGCATTCTCAGAAACTTCTTTGTAATGTTTGCATTCAACTCATAGAGTTGAACATTCCCTTTCATACAGCAGGTTTGAAACACTCTTTTTGTAGTATGTGGACGTGGACATTTGGAGCGCTTTGAGGCCTACGGTGAAAAAGGAAATATCTTCCCATAAAAACTAGACAGAAGCATTCTCAGAAACTTGTTTGTGACGTGTGTATTCAACTAACAGAGTTGAACCTTTCTTTTTACAGAGCAGCTTTGAAACCCTGTTTCTGTGGAATCTGCAATTGGAAATTTCGATAGTTCTGAGGATTTCGTTGGAAACGGGATTACAAATAGAAAGTAGACAGCAGCATTCTCAGAAACTGCTTTGTGATGTTTGCATTCAAGTCACCTAGTTGAACATTCGCTTTCATAGAGCAGGTTTGAATCACTGTTTCTGTAGTATCTGGAAGTGTGTATTTCGAGCGCTTTCAGGCCTAAGGTGAGAAAGGAAATGTCTTCAAATAAGAACTAGACAGAAGCATTCTCAGAAACTTATTTGTGATGTGTGTCCTCAACTAACAGAGATGAACCTTTGTTTTGATACAGCAGTTTGGAAACACTCTTTTTGTAGAATCTACAAGAGGATATTTTGAGAGCATTGAAAATTTCGTTGGAAGCGGGAAAACCTTCATATAAAATCTAGACAGCAGCATTCTCAGAAACTTCTTTGTGATGTTTGCATTCAACTCATAGAGTTGAACATTCCCATTCATACAGCAGGTTTGAGACACTCTTTGTATAGCATGTGGAAATGGATATTTGGAGCGCTTTGAGGCCTATGGTGAAGAAGGAAATATCTTCCCAAAAAAACTAGATGAAAGCATTCTCGCAATCTTGTTTGCCATGTGTGTACTCAACTAACAGAGTTGAACCTATCTTTTGACAGAGCAGTTTTGAAACACTCTTTTTGTGGAATCTGCAAGTGGATATTTGGATAGCTTCGAGGATTTCGTTGGAAACGGGAATATCCTCATTTAAAATCTAGACGGAAGCATTCTCAGAACCTGCTTTGTGATGTTTGCATTCAACTCACAGAGCTGAACATTCCCGTTCATAGAGCAGGTTTGAAACACTCTTTCTGTACTATCTGGAAGTGGACATTTCGAGCGCTTTCAGGCCTATGGTGAAAAAGGAAACATCTTCAAATAAAAACTAGACAGAAGCATTCTCAGAAACTTATTTGTGATGTGTGTCCTCAACTCACAGAGTTCAACCTTTGTTTTGATACAGCAGTTTGGAAACACTCTTTTTGTAGAATCTACAAATGGATATTTGGAGAACTTTGAAAATTTCGTTGGACACGGGAATATCTTCATATAAAATCTAGACAAAAGCATTCTCAGAATCTTCTTTGTGATGTTTGAATTCAACTCATAGAGTTGAACATTCCCTTTCATACAGCACGTTTGAAACACACTTTGTGGAGTATGTGGAAATGGACATTTCGAGCACTCTTAGGCCTAAGGTGAAAAGGGAAATATCTTCAAATAAAAACTAGTCAGCAGCATTCTCAGAAACCTCTTTGTGATGTGTGTACTCAACTAACAGAGTTGAACCTTCCTTTTCACAGAGCAGTTTGGAAACACTCTTTTTGTGGCATTTGCAAGTGGATATTTAGATAGCTTTGAGGATTTCGTTGGAAACGGGAATATTTTCATATAAAATCTAGACAGAAGCATTCTCAGAATCTTCTTTGTGATGTATGCCCTCAATTCACAGAGTTGAACCTTTGTTTGGATACAGCATTTTGGAAACATTCCTTTTGCAGAATCTGCAAGTTGATATTTGGATAGCTTTGAGGATTTCGTTGGAAACGGGAATATCTACATATAAAATCTAGACAGAAGCATTCTCAGAAACCTCTTTGTAATGCTTGCATTCAACTCATAGGTTTCAACATTCCCTATCATAGAGCAGGTTTGAAACACTCTTTTTGTAGTATGTGGAAGTGGACATTTGGAGCGCTTTGAGGCCTACCGTGATAAAGGAAATATCTTCCCATAAAAACTAGACAGAAGCATTCTCAGAAACTTGTTTGTGACGTGTGTATTCAACTAACAGAGTTGAACCTTTCTTTTTACAGAGCAGCTTTGAAACCCTGTTTCTGTGGAGTCTGCAATTGGAAATTTCGATGGTTCTGAGGATTTCGTTGGAAACGGGATTACAAATAGAAAGTAGACAGCAGCATTCTCAGTAAACTGCTTTGTGATGTTTGCATTCAAGTCACATAGTTGAACATTCCCTTTCATAGAGCAGGTTTGAATCACTGTCTCTGCAGTATCTAGAAGTGGATATTTCGAGCGCTTTCAGCCCTAAGGTGAGAAAGGAAATGTCTTCAAATAAGAACTAGACAGAAGCATTCTCAGAAACTTATTTGTGATGTGTGTCCTCAACTAACAGAGTTGAACCTTTCTTTTGACACAGCAGTTTGGAAACACTCTTTTTGCAGAATCTACAAGTGGATATTTTGAGAGCATTGAAAATTTCGTTGGAAACGGGAAAACCTTCATATAAAATCTAGACAGAAGCATTCTCAGAAACTTCTTTGTAATGTTTGCATTCAACTCATAGAGTTGAACATTCCCTTTCATACAGCAGGTTTGAAACACTCTTTTTGTAGTATGTGGACGTGGACATTTGGAGCGCTTTGAGGCCTACGGTGAAAAAGGAAATATCTTCCCATAAAAACTAGACAGAAGCATTCTCAGAAACTTGTTTGTGACGTGTGTATTCAACTAACAGAGTTGAACCTTTCTTTTTACAGAGCAGCTTTGAAACACGCTTTTTGTGGAATCTGCAATTGGAAATTTCGATAGTTCTGAGGATTTCGTTGGAAACGGGATTACAAATAGAAAGTAGACAGCAGCATTCTCAGAAACTGCTTTGTGATGTTTGCATTCAAGTCACCTAGTTGAACATTCCCTTTCATAGAGCAGGTTTGAATCACTGTTTCTGTCGTATCTAGAAGTGGATATTTCGAGCGTTTTCAGGCCTAAGGTGAGAAAGGAAATGTCTTCAAATAAGAACTAGACAGAAGCATTCTCAGAAACTTATTTGTGATGTGTGTCCTCAACTAACAGAGATGAACCTTTGTTTTGATACAGCAGTTTGGAAACACTCTTTTTGTAGAATCTACAAGAGGATATTTTGAGAGCATTGAAAATTTCGTTGGAAGCGGGAAAACCTTCATATAAAATCTAGACAGCAGCATTCTCAGAAACTTCTTTGTGATGTTTGCATTCAACTCATAGAGTTGAACATTCCCATTCATACAGCAGGTTTGAGACACTCTTTGTATAGCATGTGGAAATGGATATTTGGAGCGCTTTGAGGCCTATGGTGAAGAAGGAAATATCTTCCCAAAAAAACTAGACGAAAGCATTCTCGGAATCTTGTTTGCCATGTGTGTACTCAACTAACAGAGTTGAACCTATCTTTTGACAGAGCAGTTTTGAAACACTCTTTTTGTGGAATCTGCAAGTGGATATTTGGATAGCTTCGAGGATTTCGTTGGAAACGGGAATATCCTCATTTAAAATCTAGACGGAAGCATTCTCAGAATCTTCTTTGTGATGTTTGCATTCAACTCATAGAGTTGAACATTCCCTTTCATACAGCACGTTTGAAACACACTTTGTGGAGTATGTGGAAATGGACATTTCGAGCACTCTTAGGCCTAAGGTGAAAAGGGAAATATCTTCAAATAAAAACTAGTCAGCAGCATTCTCAGAAACCTCTTTGTGATGTGTGTACTCAACTAACAGAGTTGAACCTTCCTTTTCACAGAGCAGTTTGGAAACACTCTTTTTGTGGCATTTGCAAGTGGATATTTGGATAGCTTGAGGATTTCGTTGGAAACGGGAATATTTTCATATAAAATCTAGACAGAAGCATTCTCAGAATCTTCTTTGTGATGTATGCCCTCAATTCACAGAGTTGAACCTTTGTTTGGATACAGCATTTTGGAAACATTCCTTTTGTAGAATCTGCAAGTTGATATTTGGATAGCTTTGAGGATTTCGTTGGAAACGGGAATATCTACATATAAAATCTAGACAGAAGCATTCTCAGAAACCTCTTTGTAATGCTTGCATTCAATTCATAGGTTTCAACATTCCCTATCATAGAGCAGGTTTGAAACACTCTTTTTGTAGTATGTGGAAGTGGACATTTGGAGCGCTTTGAGGCCTACCGTGAAAAAGGAAATATCTTCCCATAAAAACTAGACAGAAGCATTCTCAGAAACTTGTTTGTGACGTGTGTATTCAACTAACAGAGTTGAACCTTTCTTTTTACAGAGCAGCTTTGAAACCCTGTTTCTGTGGAATCTGCAATTGGAAATTTCGATAGTTCTGAGGATTTCGTTGCAAACGGGATTACAAATAGAAAGTAGACAGCAGCATTCTCAGAAACTGCTTTGTGATGTTTGCATTCAACTCACCTAGTTGAACATTCCCTTTCATAGAGCAGGTTTGAATCACTGTTTCTGTAGTATCTGGAAGTGGGTATTTCGAGCGCTTTCAGGCCTAAGGTGAGAAAGGAAATGTCTTCAAATAAGAACTAGACAGAAGCATTCTCAGAAACTTATTTGTGATGTGTGTCCTCAACTAACAGAGATGAACCTTTGTTTTGATACAGCAGTTTGGAAACACTCTTTTTGTAGAATCTACAAGAGGATATTTTGAGAGCATTGAAAATTTCGTTGGAAGCGGGAAAACCTTCATATAAAATCTAGACAGCAGCATTCTCAGAAACTTCTTTGTGATGTTTGCATTCAACTCATAGAGTTGAACATTCCCATTCATACAGCAGGTTTGAGACACTCTTTGTATAGCATGTGGAAATGGATATTTGGAGCGCTTTGAGGCCTATGGTGAAGAAGGAAATATCTTCCCTAAAAAACTAGACGAAAGCATTCTCGCAATCTTGTTTGCCATGTGTGTACTCAACTAACAGAGTTGAACCTATCTTTTGACAGAGCAGTTTTGAAACACTCTTTTTGTGGAATCTGCAAGTGGATATTTGGATAGCTTCGAGGATTTCGTTGGAAACGGGAATATCCTCATTTAAAATCTAGACGGAAGCATTCTCAGAACCTGCTTTGTGATGTTTGCATTCAACTCACAGAGCTGAACATTCCCGTTCATAGAGCAGGTTTGAAACACTCTTTCTGTACTATCTGGAAGTGGACATTTCGAGCGCTTTCAGGCCTATGGTGAAAAAGGAAACATCTTCAAATAAAAACTAGACAGAAGCATTCTCAGAAACTTATTTGTGATGTGTGTCCTCAACTCACAGAGTTCAACCTTTGTTTTGATACAGCAGTTTGGAAACACTCTTTTTGTAGAATCTACAAATGGATATTTGGAGACCTTTGAAAATTTCGTTGGACACGGGAATATCTTCATATAAAATCTAGACAAAAGCATTCTCAGAATCTTCTTTGTGATGTTTGCATTCAACTCATAGAGTTGAACATTCCCTTTCATACAGCACGTTTGAAACACACTTTGTGGAGTATGTGGAAATGGACATTTCGAGCACTCTTAGGCCTAAGGTGAAAAGGGAAATATCTTCAAATAAAAACTAGTCAGCAGCATTCTCAGAAACCTCTTTGTGATGTGTGTACTCAACTAACAGAGTTGAACCTTCCTTTTCACAGAGCAGTTTGGAAACACTCTTTTTGTGGCATTTGCAAGTGGATATTTGGATAGCTTTGAGGATTTCGTTGGAAACGGGAATATTTTCATATAAAATCTAGACAGAAGCATTCTCAGAATCTTCTTTGTGATGTATGCCCTCAATTCACAGAGTTGAACCTTTGTTTGGATACAGCATTTTGGAAACATTCCTTTTGCAGAATCTGCAAGTTGATATTTGGATAGCTTTGAGGATTTCGTTGGAAACGGGAATATCTACATATAAAATCTAGACAGAAGCATTCTCAGAAACCTCTTTGTAATGCTTGCATTCAACTCATAGGTTTCAACATTCCCTATCATAGAGCAGGTTTGAAACACTCTTTTTGTAGTATGTGGAAGTGGACATTTGGAGCGCTTTGAGGCCTACCGTGAAAAAGGAAATATCTTCCCATAAAAACTAGACAGAAGCATTCTCAGAAACTTGTTTGTGACGTGTGTATTCAACTAACAGAGTTGAACCTTTCTTTTTACAGAGCAGCTTTGAAACACGCTTTTTGTGGAATCTGCAATTGGAAATTTCGATAGTTCTGAGGATTTCGTTGGAAACGGGATTACAAATAGAAAGTAGACAGCAGCATTCTCAGAAACTGCTTTGTGATGTTTGCATTCAAGTCACCTAGTTGAACATTCCCTTTCATAGAGCAGGTTTGAATCACTGTTTCTGTAGTATCTGGAAGTGGGTATTTCGAGCGCTTTCAGGCCTAAGGTGAGAAAGGAAATGTCTTCAAATAAGAACTAGACAGAAGCATTCTCAGAAACTTATTTGTGATGTGTGTCCTCAACTCACAGAGTTCAACCTTTGTTTTGATACAGCAGTTTGGAAACACTCTTTTTGTAGAATCTACAAATGGATATTTGGAGACCTTTGAAAATTTCGTTGGACACGGGAATATCTTCATATAAAATCTAGACAAAAGCATTCTCAGAATCTTCTTTGTGATGTTTGCATTCAACTCATAGAGTTGAACATTCCCTTTCATACAGCACGTTTGAAACACACTTTGTGGAGTATGTGGAAATGGACATTTCGAGCACTCTTAGGCCTAAGGTGAAAAGGGAAATATCTTCAAATAAAAACTAGTCAGCAGCATTCTCAGAAACCTCTTTGTGATGTGTGTACTCAACTAACAGAGTTGAACCTTCCTTTTCACAGAGCAGTTTGGAAACACTCTTTTTGTGGCATTTGCAAGTGGATATTTGGATAGCTTTGAGGATTTCGTTGGAAACGGGAATATTTTCATATAAAATCTAGACAGAAGCATTCTCAGAATCTTCTTTGTGATGTATGCCCTCAATTCACAGAGTTGAACCTTTGTTTGGATACAGCATTTTGGAAACATTCCTTTTGTAGAATCTGCAAGTTGATATTTGGATAGCTTTGAGGATTTCGTTGGAAACGGGAATATCTACATATAAAATCTAGACAGAAGCATTCTCAGAAACCTCTTTGTAATGCTTGCATTCAACTCATAGGTTTCAACATTCCCTATCATAGAGCAGGTTTGAAACACTCTTTTTGTAGTATGTGGAAGTGGACATTTGGAGCGCTTTGAGGCCTACGGTGAAAAAGGAAATATCTTCCCATAAAAACTAGACAGAAGCATTCTCAGAAACTTGTTTGTGACGTGTGTATTCAACTAACAGAGTTGAACCTTTCTTTTTACAGAGCAGCTTTGAAACACGCTTTTTGTGGAATCTGCAATTGGAAATTTCGATAGTTCTGAGGATTTCGTTGGAAACGGGATTACAAATACAAAGTAGACAGCAGCATTCTCAGAAACTGCTTTGTGATGTTTGCATTCAAGTCACCTAGTTGAACATTCCCTTTCATAGAGCAGGTTTGAATCACTGTTTCTGTCGTATCTGGAAGTGGATATTTCGAGCGTTTTCAGGCCTAAGGTGAGAAAGGAAATGTCTTCAAATAAGAACTAGACAGAAGCATTCTCAGAAACTTATTTGTGATGTGTGTCCTCAACTAACAGAGTTGAACCTTTCTTTTGACACAGCAGTTTGGAAACACTCTTTTTGTAGAATCTACAAGTGGATATTTTGAGAGCATTGAAAATTTCCTTGGAAACGGGAAAACCTTCATATAAAATCTAGACAGCAGCATTCTCAGAAACTTCTTTGTAATGTTTGCATTCGACTCATAGAGTTGAACATTCCCTTTCATACAGCAGGTTTGAAACACTCTTTTTGTAGTATGTGGAAGTGGACATTTGGAGCGCTTTGAGGCCTACGGTGAAAAAGGAAATATCTTCCCATAAAAACTAGACAGAAGCATTCTCAGAAACTTGTTTGTGACGTGTGTATTCAACTAACAGAGTTGAACCTTTCTTTTTACAGAGCAGCTTTGAAACCCTGTTTCTGTGGAATCTGCAATTGGAAATTTCGATAGTTCTGAGGATTTCGTTGGAAACGGGATTACAAATAGAAAGTAGACAGCAGCATTCTCAGAAACTGCTTTGTGATGTTTGCATTCAAGTCACATAGTTGAACATTCCCTTTCATAGAGCAGGTTTGAATCCCTGTTTCTGTCGTATCTGGAAGTGGGTATTTCGAGCGTTTTCAGGCCTAAGGTGAGAAAGGAAATGTCTTCAAATAAGAACTAGACAGAAGCATTCTCAGAAACTTATTTGTGATGTGTGTCCTCAACTAACAGAGATGAACCTTTGTTTTGATACAGCAGTTTGGAAACACTCTTTTTGTAGAATCTACAAGAGGATATTTTGAGAGCATTGAAAATTTCGTTGGAAGCGGGAAAACCTTCATATAAAATCTAGACAGCAGCATTCTCAGAAACTTCTTTGTGATGTTTGCATTCAACTCATAGAGTTGAACATTCCCATTCGTACAGCAGGTTTGAGACACTCTTTGTATAGCATGTGGAAATGGATATTTGGAGCGCTTTGAGGCCTATGGTGAAGAAGGAAATATCTTCCCAAAAAAACTAGACGAAAGCATTCTCGGAATCTTGTTTGCCATGTGTGTACTCAACTAACAGAGTTGAACCTATCTTTTGACAGAGCAGTTTTGAAACACTCTTTTTGTGGAATCTGCAAGTGGATATTTGGATAGCTTCGAGGATTTCGTTGGAAACGGGAATATCCTCATTTAAAATCTAGACGGAAGCATTCTCAGAACCTGCGTTGTGATGTTTGCATTCAACTCACAGAGCTGAACATTCCCGTTCATAGAGCAGGATTGAAACACTCTTTCTGTACTATCTGGAAGTGGACATTTCGAGCGCTTTCAGGCCTATGGTGAAAAAGGAAACATCTTCAAATAAAAACTAGACAGAAGCATTCTCAGAAACTTATTTGTGATGTGTGTCCTCAACTCACAGAGTTCAACCTTTGTTTTGATACAGCAGTTTGGAAACAATCTTTATTTGGAGACCTTTGAAAATTTCGTTGGACACGGGAATATCTTCATATAAAATCTAGACAAAAGCATTCTCAGAGTCTTCTTTGTGATGTTTGCATTCAACTGATAGAGTTGAACATTCCCTTTCATACAGCACGTTTGAAACACACTTTGTGGAGTATGTGGAAATGGACATTTCGAGCACTCTTAGGCCTAAGGTGAAAAGGGAAATATCTTCAAATAAAAACTAGTCAGCAGCATTCTCAGAAACCTCTTTGTGATGTGTGTACTCAACTAACAGAGTTGAACCTTCCTTTTCACAGAGCAGTTTGGAAACACTCTTTTTGTGGCATTTGCAAGTGGATATTTGGATAGCTTTGAGGATTTCGTTGGAAACGGGAATATTTTCATATAAAATCTAGACAGAAGCATTCTCAGAATCTTCTTTGTGATGTATGCCCTCAATTCACAGAGTTGAACCTTTGTTTCGATACAGCATTTTGGAAACATTCCTTTTGTAGTATCTGCAAGTTTATATTTGGATAGCTTTGAGGATTTCGTTGGAAACGGGAATATCTACATATAAAATCTAGACAGAAGCATTCTCAGAAACCTCTTTGTAATGTTTGCATTCAACTCATAGGTTTCAACATTCCCTATCATAGAGCAGGTTTGAAACACTCTTTTTGTAGTATGTGGAAGTGGACATTTGGAGCGCTTTGAGGCCTACGGTGAAAAAGGAAATATCTTCCCATAAAAACTAGACAGAAGCATTCTCAGAAACTTGTTTGTGACGTGTGTATTCAACTAACAGAGTTGAACCTTTCTTTTTACAGAGCAGCTTTGAAACCCTGTTTCTGTGGAATCTGCAATTGGAAATTTCGATAGTTCTGAGGATTTCGTTGGAAACGGGATTACAAATAGAAAGTAGACAGCAGCATTCTCAGAAACTGCTTTGTGATGTTTGCATTCAAGTCACCTAGTTGAACATTCCCTTTCATAGAGCAGGTTTGAATCACTGTTTCTGTAGTATCTGGAAGTGGGTATTTCGAACGCTTTCAGGCCTAAGGTGAGAAAGGAAATGTCTTCAAATAAGAACTAGACAGAAGCATTCTCAGAAACTTATTTGTGATGTGTGTCCTCAACTAACAGAGATGAACCTTTGTTTTGATACAGCAGTTTGGAAACACTCTTTTTGTAGAATCTACAAGAGGATATTTTGAGAGCATTGAAAATTTCGTTGGAAGCGGGAAAACCTTCATATAAAATCTAGACAGCAGCATTCTCAGAAACTTCTTTGTGATGTTTGCATTCAACTCATAGAGTTGAACATTCCCATTCATACAGCAGGTTTGAGACACTCTTTGTATAGCATGTGGAAATGGATATTTGGAGCGCTTTGAGGCCTATGGTGAAGAAGGAAATATCTTCCCAAAAAAACTAGACGAAAGAAGCATTCTCGGAATCTTGTTTGCCATGTGTGTACTCAACTAACAGAGTTGAACCTATCTTTTGACAGAGCAGTTTTGAAACACTCTTTTTGTGGAATCTGCAAGTGGATATTTGGATAGCTTCGAGGATTTCGTTGGAAACGGGAATATCCTCATTTAAAATCTAGACGGAAGCATTCTCAGAACCTGCTTTGTGATGTTTGCATTCAACTCACAGAGCTGAACATTCCCGTTCATAGAGCAGGTTTGAAACACTCTTTCTGTACTATCTGGAAGTGGACATTTCGAGCGCTTTCAGGCCTATGGTGAAAAAGGAAACATCTTCAAATAAAAACTAGACAGAAGCATTCTCAGAAACTTATTTGTGATGTGTGTCCTCAACTCACAGAGTTCAACCTTTGTTTTGATACAGCAGTTTGGAAACACTCTTTTTGTAGAATCTACAAATGGATATTTGGAGACCTTTGAAAATTTCGTTGGACACGGGAATATCTTCATATAAAATCTAGACAAAAGCATTCTCAGAATCTTCTTTGTGATGTTTGCATTCAACTCATAGAGTTGAACATTCCCTTTCATACAGCACGTTTGAAACACACTTTGTGGAGTATGTGGAAATGGACATTTCGAGCACTCTTAGGCCTAAGGTGAAAAGGGAAATATCTTCAAATAAAAACTAGTCAGCAGCATTCTCAGAAACCTCTTTGTGATGTGTGTACTCAACTAACAGAGTTGAACCTTCCTTTTCACAGAGCAGTTTGGAAACACTCTTTTTGTGGCATTTGCAAGTGGATATTTGGATAGCTTTGAGGATTTCGTTGGAAACGGGAATATTTTCATATAAAATCTAGACAGAAGCATTCTCAGAATCTTCTTTGTGATGTATGCCCTCAATTCACAGAGTTGAACCTTTGTTTGGATACAGCATTTTGGAAACATTCCTTTTGTAGAATCTGCAAGTTGATATTTGGATAGTTTGAGGATTTCGTTGGAAACGGGAATATCTACATATAAAATCTAGACAGAAGCATTCTCAGAAACCTCTTTGTAATGCTTGCATTCAACTCATAGGTTTCAACATTCCCTATCATAGAGCAGGTTTGAAACACTCTTTTTGTAGTATGTGGAAGTGGACATTTGGAGCGCTTTGAGGCCTACGGTGAAAAAGGAAATATCTTCCCATAAAAACTAGACAGAAGCATTCTCAGAAACTTGTTTGTGACGTGTGTATTCAACTAACAGAGTTGAACCTTTCTTTTTACAGAGCAGCTTTGAAACACGCTTTTTGTGGAATCTGCAATTGGAAATTTCGATAGTTCTGAGGATTTCGTTGGAAACGGGATTACAAATAGAAAGTAGACAGCAGCATTCTCAGAAACTGCTTTGTGATGTTTGCATTCAAGTCACCTAGTTGAACATTCCCTTTCATAGAGCAGGTTTGAATCACTGTTTCTGTCGTATCTGGAAGTGGATATTTCGAGCGTTTTCAGGCCTAAGGTGAGAAAGGAAATGTCTTCAAATAAGAACTAGACAGAAGCATTCTCAGAAACTTATTTGTGATGTGTGTCCTCAACTAACAGAGTTGAACCTTTCTTTTGACACAGCAGTTTGGAAACACTCTTTTTGTAGAATCTACAAGTGGATATTTTGAGAGCATTGAAAATTTCGTTGGAAACGGGAAAACCTTCATATAAAATCTAGACAGAAGCATTCTCAGAAACTTCTTTGTAATGTTTGCATTCAACTCATAGAGTTGAACATTCCCTTTCATACAGCAGGTTTGAAACACTCTTTTTGTAGTATGTGGAAGTGGACATTTGGAGCGCTTTGAGGCCTACGGTGAAAAAGGAAATATCTTCCCATAAAAACTAGACAGAAGCATTCTCAGAAACTTGTTTGTGACGTGTGTATTCAACTAACAGAGTTGAACCTTTCTTTTTACAGAGCAGCTTTGAAACCCTGTTTCTGTGGAATCTGCAATTGGAAATTTCGATAGTTCTGAGGATTTCGTTGGAAACGGGATTACAAATAGAAAGTAGACAGCAGCATTCTCAGAAACTGCTTTGTGATGTTTGCATTCAAGTCACCTAGTTGAACATTCCCTTTCATAGAGCAGGTTTGAATCACTGTTTCTGTAGTATCTGGAAGTGGGTATTTCGAGCGCTTTCAGGCCTAAGGTGAGAAAGGAAATGTCTTCAAATAAGAACTAGACAGAAGCATTCTCAGAAACTTATTTGTGATGTGTGTCCTCAACTAACAGAGATGAACCTTTGTTTTGATACAGCAGTTTGGAAACACTCTTTTTGTAGAATCTACAAGAGGATATTTTGAGAGCATTGAAAATTTCGTTGGAAGCGGGAAAACCTTCATATAAAATCTAGACAGCAGCATTCTCAGAAACTTCTTTGTGATGTTTGCATTCAACTCATAGAGTTGAACATTCCCATTCATACAGCAGGTTTGAGACACTCTTTGTATAGCATGTGGAAATGGATATTTGGAGCGCTTTGAGGCCTATGGTGAAGAAGGAAATATCTTCCCAAAAAAACTAGACGAAAGCATTCTCGGAATCTTGTTTGCCATGTGTGTACTCAACTAACAGAGTTGAACCTATCTTTTGACAGAGCAGTTTTGAAACACTCTTTTTGTGGAATCTGCAAGTGGATATTTGGATAGCTTCGAGGATTTCGTTGGAAACGGGAATATCCTCATTTAAAATCTAGACGGAAGCATTCTCAGAACCTGCTTTGTGATGTTTGCATTCAACTCACAGAGCTGAACATTCCCGTTCATAGAGCAGGTTTGAAACACTCTTTCTGTACTATCTGGAAGTGGACATTTCCAGCGCTTTCAGGCCTATGGTGAAAAAGGAAACATCTTCAAATAAAAACTAGACAGAAGCATTCTCAGAAACTTATTTGTGATGTGTGTCCTCAACTCACAGAGTTCAACCTTTGTTTTGATACAGCAGTTTGGAAACACTCTTTTTGTAGAATCTACAAATGGATATTTGGAGACCTTTGAAAATTTCGTTGGACACGGGAATATCTTCATATAAAATCTAGACAAAAGCATTCTCAGAATCTTCTTTGTGATGTTTGCATTCAACTCATAGAGTTGAACATTCCCTTTCATACAGCACGTTTGAAACACACTTTGTGGAGTATGTGGAAATGGACATTTCGAGCACTCTTAGGCCTAAGGTGAAAAGGGAAATATCTTCAAATAAAAACTAGTCAGCAGCATTCTCAGAAACCTCTTTGTGATGTGTGTACTCAACTAACAGAGTTGAACCTTCCTTTTCACAGAGCAGTTTGGAAACACTCTTTTTGTGGCATTTGCAAGTGGATATTTGGATAGCTTTGAGGATTTCGTTGGAAACGGGAATATTTTCATATAAAATCTAGACAGAAGCATTCTCAGAATCTTCTTTGTGATGTATGCCCTCAATTCACAGAGTTGAACCTTTGTTTGGATACAGCATTTTGGAAACATTCCTTTTGTAGAATCTGCAAGTTGATATTTGGATAGCTTTGAGGATTTCGTTGGAAACGGGAATATCTACATATAAAATCTAGACAGAAGCATTCTCAGAAACCTCTTTGTAATGTTTGCATTCAACTCATAGGTTTCAACATTCCCTATCATAGAGCAGGTTTGAAACACTCTTTTTGTAGTATGTGGAAGTGGACATTTGGAGCGCTTTGAGGCCTACGGTGAAAAAGGAAATATGCTTCCCATAAAAACTAGACAGAAGCATTCTCAGAAACTTGTTTGTGACGTGTGTATTCAACTAACAGAGTTGAACCTTTCTTTTTACAGAGCAGCTTTGAAACCCTGTTTCTGTGGAATCTGCAATTGGAAATTTCGATAGTTGCTGAGGATTTCGTTGGAAACGGGATTACAAATAGAAAGTAGACAGCAAGCATTCTCAGAAACTGCTTTGTGATGTTTGCATTCAAGTCACATAGTTGAACATTCCCTTTCATAGAGCAGGTTTGAATCACTGTTTCTGTAGTATCTGGAAGTGGGTATTTCGAGCGCTTTCAGGCCTAAGGTGAGAAAGGAAATGTCTTCAAATAAGAACTAGACAGAAGCATTCTCAGAAACTTATTTGTGATGTGTGTCCTCAACTAACAGAGATGAACCTTTGTTTTGATACAGCAGTTTGGAAACACTCTTTTTGTAGAATCTACAAGAGGATA
This sequence comes from Homo sapiens, assembly GCF_000001405.40. NCBI lineage: Eukaryota > Metazoa > Chordata > Mammalia > Primates > Hominidae > Homo > Homo sapiens. Next base: position 19,233,517 of record NC_000015.10, read on the forward strand.
TTTTGAGAGCATTGAAAATTTCGTTGGAAGCGGGAAAACCTTCATATAAAATCTAGACAGCAGCATTCTCAGAAACTTCTTTGTGATGTTTGCATTCAACTCATAGAGTTGAACATTCCCATTCATACAGCAGGTTTGAGACACTCTTTGTATAGCATTTGGAAATGGATATTTGGAGCGCTTTGAGGCCTATGGTGAAGAAGGAAATATCTTCCCAAAAAAACTAGACGAAAAGCATTCTCGGAATCTTGTTTGCCATGTGTGTACTCAACTAACAGAGTTGAACCTATCTTTTGACAGAGCAGTTTTGAAACACTCTTTTTGTGGAATCTGCAAGTGGATATTTGGATAGCTTCGAGGATTTCGTTGGAAACGGGAATATCCTCATTTAAAATCTAGACGGAAGAATTCTCAGAACCTGCTTTGTGATGTTTGCATTCAACTCACAGAGCTGAACATTCCCGTTCATAGAGCAGGTTTGAAACACTCTTTCTGTACTATCTGGAAGTGGACATTTCGAGCGCTTTCAGGCCTATGGTGAAAAAGGAAACATCTTCAAATAAAAACTAGACAGAAGCATTCTCAGAAACTTATTTGTGATGTGTGTCCTCAACTCACAGAGTTCAACCTTTGTTTTGATACAGCAGTTTGGAAACACTCTTTTTGTAGAATCTACAAATGGATATTTGGAGACCTTTGAAAATTTCGTTGGACACGGGAATATCTTCATATAAAATCTAGACAAAAGCATTCTCAGAATCTTCTTTGTGATGTTTGCATTCAACTCATAGAGTTGAACATTCCCTTTCATACAGCACGTTTGAAACACACTTTGTGGAGTATGTGGAAATGGACATTTCGAGCACTCTTAGGCCTAAGGTGAAAAGGGAAATATCTTCAAATAAAAACTAGTCAGCAGCATTCTCAGAAACCTCTTTGTGATGTGTGTACTCAACTAACAGAGTTGAACCTTCCTTTTCACAGAGCAGTTTGGAAACACTCTTTTTGTGGCATTTGCAAGTGGATATTTGGATAGCTTTGAGGATTTCGTTGGAAACGGGAATATTTTCATATAAAATCTAGACAGAAGCATTCTCAGAATCTTCTTTGTGATGTATGCCCTCAATTCACAGAGTTGAACCTTTGTTTGGATACAGCATTTTGGAAACATTCCTTTTGTAGAATCTGCAAGTTGATATTTGGATAGCTTTGAGGATTTCGTTGGAAACGGGAATATCTACATATAAAATCTAGACAGAAGCATTCTCAGAAACCTCTTTGTAATGCTTGCATTCAACTCATAGGTTTCAACATTCCCTATCATAGAGCAGGTTTGAAACACTCTTTTTGTAGTATGTGGAAGTGGACATTTGGAGCGCTTTGAGGCCTACCGTGAAAAAGGAAATATCTTCCCATAAAAACTAGACAGAAGCATTCTCAGAAACTTGTTTGTGACGTGTGTATTCAACTAACAGAGTTGAACCTTTCTTTTTACAGAGCAGCTTTGAAACACGCTTTTTGTGGAATCTGCAATTGGAAATTTCGATGGTTCTGAGGATTTCGTTGGAAACGGGATTACAAATAGAAAGTAGACAGCAGCATTCTCAGAAACTGCTTTGTGATGTTTGCATTCAAGTCACCTAGTTGAACATTCCCTTTCATAGAGCAGGTTTGAATCACTGTTTCTGTCGTATCTGGAAGTGGATATTTCGAGCGCTTTCAGGCCTAAGGTGAGAAAGGAAATGTCTTCAAATAAGAACTAGACAGAAGCATTCTCAGAAACTTATTTGTGATGTGTGTCCTCAACTAACAGAGTTGAACCTTTCTTTTGACACAGCAGTTTGGAAACACTCTTTTTGTAGAATCTACAAGTGGATATTTTGAGAGCATTGAAAATTTCGTTGGAAACGGGAAAACCTTCATATAAAATCTAGACAGAAGCATTCTCAGAAACCTCTTTGTAATGTTTGCATTCAACTCATAGGTTTCAACATTCCCTATCATAGAGCAGGTTTGAAACACTCTTTTTGTAGTATGTGGAAGTGGACATTTGGAGCGCTTTGAGGCCTACGGTGAAAAAGGAAATATCTTCCCATAAAAACTAGACAGAAGCATTCTCAGAAACTTGTTTGTGACGTGTGTATTCAACTAACAGAGTTGAACTTTTCTTTTTACAGAGCAGCTTGGAAACACGCTTTTTGTGGAACCTGCAATTGGAAATTTTGATAGTTCTGAGGATTTCGTTGGAAACCGGATTACAAATAGAAAGTAGACAGCAGCATTCTCAGAAACTTATTTGTGATGTGTGTCCTCAACTAACAGAGTTGAACCTTTCTTTTGACACAGCAGTTTGGAAACACTCTTTTTGTAGAATCTACAAGTGGATATTTTGAGAGCATTGAAAATTTCGTTGGAAACGGGAAAACCTTCATATAAAATCTAGACAGAAGCATTCTCAGAAACTTCTTTGTAATGTTTGCATTCAACTCATAGAGTTGAACATTCCCTTTCATACAGCAGGTTTGAAACACTCTTTTTGTAGTATGTGGAAGTGGACATTTGGAGCGCTTTGAGGCCTACGGTGAAAAAGGAAATATCTTCCCATAAAAACTAGACAGAAGCAATCTCAGAAACTTGTTTGTGACGTGTGTATTCAACTAACAGAGTTGAACCTATCTTTTGACAGAGCAGTTTTGAAACACTCTTTTTGTGGAATCTGCAAGTGGATATTTGGATAGCTTCGAGGATTTCTTTGGAAACGGGAATATCCTCATTTAAAATCTAGACGGAAGCATTCTCAGAACCTGCTTTGTGATGTTTGCATTCAACTCACAGAGCTGAACATTCCCGTTCATAGAGCAGGTTTGAAACACTCTTTCTGTACTATCTGGAAGTGGACATTTCGAGCGCTTTCAGGCCTATGGTGAAAAAGGAAACATCTTCAAATAAAAACTAGACAGAAGCATTCTCAGAAACTTATTTGTGATGTGTGTCCTCAACTCACAGAGTTCAACCTTTGTTTTGATACAGCAGTTTGGAAACACTCTTTTTGTAGAATCTACAAATGGATATTTGGAGACCTTTGAAAATTTCGTTGGACACGGGAATATCTTCATATAAAATCTAGACAAAAGCATTCTCAGAATCTTCTTTGTGATGTTTGAATTCAACTCATAGAGTTGAACATTCCCTTTCATACAGCACGTTTGAAACACACTTTGTGGAGTATGTGGAAATGGACATTTCGAGCACTCTTAGGCCTAAGGTGAAAAGGGAAATATCTTCAAATAAAAACTAGTCAGCAGCATTCTCAGAAACCTCTTTGTGATGTGTGTACTCAACTAACAGAGTTGAACCTTCCTTTTCACAGAGCAGTTTGGAAACACTCTTTTTGTGGCATTTGCAAGTGGATATTTGGATAGCTTTGAGGATTTCGTTGGAAACGGGAATATTTTCATATAAAATCTAGACAGAAGCATTCTCAGAATCTTCTTTGTGATGTATGCCCTCAATTCACAGAGTTGAACCTTTGTTTGGATACAGCATTTTGGAAACATTCCTTTTGTAGAATCTGCAAGTTGATATTTGGATAGTTTGAGGATTTCGTTGGAAACGGGAATATCTACATATAAAATCTAGACAGAAGCATTCTCAGAAACCTCTTTGTAATGCTTGCATTCAACTCATAGGTTTCAACATTCCCTATCATAGAGCAGGTTTGAAACACTCTTTTTGTAGTATGTGGAAGTGGACATTTGGAGCGCTTTGAGGCCTACGGTGAAAAAGGAAATATCTTCCCATAAAAACTAGACAGAAGCATTCTCAGAAACTTGTTTGTGACGTGTGTATTCAACTAACAGAGTTGAACCTTTCTTTTTACAGAGCAGCTTTGAAACACGCTTTTTGTGGAATCTGCAATTGGAAATTTCGATAGTTCTGAGGATTTCGTTGGAAACGGGATTACAAATAGAAAGTAGACAGCAGCATTCTCAGAAACTGCTTTGTGATGTTTGCATTCAAGTCACCTAGTTGAACATTCCCTTTCATAGAGCAGGTTTGAATCACTGTTTCTGTAGTATCTGGAAGTGGGTATTTCGAGCGCTTTCAGGCCTAAGGTGAGAAAGGAAATGTCTTCAAATAAGAACTAGACAGAAGCATTCTCAGAAACTTATTTGTGATGTGTGTCCTCAACTAACAGAGTTGAACCTTTCTTTTGACACAGCAGTTTGGAAACACTCTTTTTGTAGAATCTACAAGTGGATATTTTGAGAGCATTGAAAATTTCGTTGGAAACGGGAAAACCTTCATATAAAATCTAGACAGAAGCATTCTCAGAAACTTCTTTGTAATGTTTGCATTCAACTCATAGAGTTGAACATTCCCTTTCATACAGCAGGTTTGAAACACTCTTTTTGTAGTATGTGGAAGTGGACATTTGGAGCGCTTTGAGGCCTACGGTGAAAAAGGAAATATCTTCCCATAAAAACTAGACAGAAGCATTCTCAGAAACTTGTTTGTGACGTGTGTATTCAACTAACAGAGTTGAACCTTTCTTTTTACAGAGCAGCTTTGAAACCCTGTTTCTGTGGAATCTGCAATTGGAAATTTCGATAGTTCTGAGGATTTCGTTGGAAACGGGATTACAAATAGAAAGTAGACAGCAGCATTCTCAGAAACTGCTTTGTGATGTTTGCATTCAAGTCACCTAGTTGAACATTCCCTTTCATAGAGCAGGTTTGAATCACTGTTTCTGTAGTATCTGGAAGTGGGTATTTCGAGCGCTTTCAGGCCTAAGGTGAGAAAGGAAATGTCTTCAAATAAGAACTAGACAGAAGCATTCTCAGAAACTTATTTGTGATGTGTGTCCTCAACTAACAGAGATGAACCTTTGTTTTGATACAGCAGTTTGGAAACACTCTTTTTGTAGAATCTACAAGAGGATATTTTGAGAGCATTGAAAATTTCGTTGGAAGCGGGAAAACCTTCATATAAAATCTAGACAGCAGCATTCTCAGAAACTTCTTTGTGATGTTTGCATTCAACTCATAGAGTTGAACTTTCCCATTCATACAGCAGGTTTGAGACACTCTTTGTATAGCATGCGGAAATGGATATTTGGAGCGCTTTGAGGCCTATGGTGAAGAAGGAAATATCTTCCCAAAAAAACTAGACGAAAGCATTCTCGGAATCTTGTTTGCCATGTGTGTACTCAACTAACAGAGTTGAACCTATCTTTTGACAGAGCAGTTTTGAAACACTCTTTTTGTGGAATCTGCAAGTGGATATTTGGATAGCTTCGAGGATTTCGTTGGAAACGGGAATATCCTCATTTAAAATCTAGATGGAAGCATTCTCAGAACCTGCTTTGTGATGTTTGCATTCAACTCACAGAGCTGAACATTCCCGTTCATAGAGCAGGTTTGAAACACTCTTTCTGTACTATCTGGAAGTGGACATTTCGAGCGCTTTCAGGCCTATGGTGAAAAAGGAAATATCTTCAAATAAAAACTAGACAGAAGCATTCTCAGAAACTTATTTGTGATGTGTGTCCTCAACTCACAGAGTTCAACCTTTGTTTTGATACAGCAGTTTGGAAACACTCTTTTTGTAGAATCTACAAATGGATATTTGGAGACCTTTGAAAATTTCGTTGGACACGGGAATATCTTCATATAAAATCTAGACAAAAGCATTCTCAGAATCTTCTTTGTGATGTTTGCATTCAACTCATAGAGTTGAACATTCCCTTTCATACAGCACGTTTGAAACACACTTTGTGGAGTATGTGGAAATGGACATTTCGAGCACTCTTAGGCCTAAGGTGAAAAGGGAAATATCTTCAAATAAAAACTAGTCAGCAGCATTCTCAGAAACCTCTTTGTGATGTGTGTACTCAACTAACAGAGTTGAACCTTCCTTTTCACAGAGCAGTTTGGAAACACTCTTTTTGTGGCATTTGCAAGTGGATATTTGGATAGCTTTGAGGATTTCGTTGGAAACGGGAATATTTTCATATAAAATCTAGACAGAAGCATTCTCAGAATCTTCTTTGTGATGTATGCCCTCAATTCACAGAGTTGAACCTTTGTTTGGATACAGCATTTTGGAAACATTCCTTTTGTAGAATCTGCAAGTTGATATTTGGATAGCTTTGAGGATTTCGTTGGAAACGGGAATATCTACATATAAAATCTAGACAGAAGCATTCTCAGAAACCTCTTTGTAATGCTTGCATTCAACTCATAGGTTTCAACATTCCCTATCATAGAGCAGGTTTGAAACACTCTTTTTGTAGTATGTGGAAGTGGACATTTGGAGCGCTTTGAGGCCTACCGTGAAAAAGGAAATATCTTCCCATAAAAACTAGACAGAAGCATTCTCAGAAACTTGTTTGTGACGTGTGTATTCAACTAACAGAGTTGAACCTTTCTTTTTACAGAGCAGCTTTGAAACACGCTTTTTGTGGAATCTGCAATTGGAAATTTCGATAGTTCTGAGGATTTCGTTGGAAACGGGATTACAAATAGAAAGTAGACAGCAGCATTCTCAGAAACTGCTTTGTGATGTTTGCATTCAAGTCACCTAGTTGAACATTCCCTTTCATAGAGCAGGTTTGAATCACTGTTTCTGTCGTATCTGGAAGTGGATATTTCGAGCGTTTTCAGGCCTAAGGTGAGAAAGGAAATGTCTTCAAATAAGAACTAGACAGAAGCATTCTCAGAAACTTATTTGTGATGTGTGTCCTCAACTAACAGAGATGAACCTTTGTTTTGATACAGCAGTTTGGAAACACTCTTTTTGTAGAATCTACAAGAGGATATTTTGAGAGCATTGAAAATTTCGTTGGAAGCGGGAAAACCTTCATATAAAATCTAGACAGCAGCATTCTCAGAAACTTCTTTGTGATGTTTGCATTCAACTCATAGAGTTGAACATTCCCATTCATACAGCAGGTTTGAGACACTCTTTGTATAGCATGTGGAAATGGATATTTGGAGCGCTTTGAGGCCTATGGTGAAGAAGGAAATATCTTCCCAAAAAAACTAGACGAAAGCATTCTCGGAATCTTGTTTGCCATGTGTGTACTCAACTAACAGAGTTGAACCTATCTTTTGACAGAGCAGTTTTGAAACACTCTTTTTGTGGAATCTGCAAGTGGATATTTGGATAGCTTCGAGGATTTCGTTGGAAACGGGAATATCCTCATTTAAAATCTAGACGGAAGCATTCTCAGAACCTGCTTTGTGATGTTTGCATTCAACTCACAGAGCTGAACATTCCCGTTCATAGAGCAGGTTTGAAACACTCTTTCTGTACTATCTGGAAGTGGACATTTCGAGCGCTTTCAGGCCTATGGTGAAAAAGGAAACATCTTCAAATAAAAACTAGACAGAAGCATTCTCAGAAACTTATTTGTGATGTGTGTCCTCAACTCACAGAGTTCAACCTTTGTTTTGATACAGCAGTTTGGAAACACTCTTTTTGTAGAATCTACAAATGGATATTTGGAGACCTTTGAAAATTTCGTTGGACACGGGAATATCTTCATATAAAATCTAGACAAAAGCATTCTCAGAATCTTCTTTGTGATGTTTGCATTCAACTCATAGAGTTGAACATTCCCTTTCATACAGCACGTTTGAAACACACTTTGTGGAGTATGTGGAAATGGACATTTCGAGCACTCTTAGGCCTAAGGTGAAAAGGGAAATATCTTCAAATAAAAACTAGTCAGCAGCATTCTCAGAAACCTCTTTGTGATGTGTGTACTCAACTAACAGAGTTGAACCTTCCTTTTCACAGAGCAGTTTGGAAACACTCTTTTTGTGGCATTTGCAAGTGGATATTTGGATAGCTTTGAGGATTTCGTTGGAAACGGGAATATTTTCATATAAAATCTAGACAGAAGCATTCTCAGAATCTTCTTTGTGATGTATGCCCTCAATTCACAGAGTTGAACCTTTGTTTGGATACAGCATTTTGGAAACATTCCTTTTGTAGAATCTGCAAGTTGATATTTGGATAGCTTTGAGGATTTCGTTGGAAACGGGAATATCTACATATAAAATCTAGACAGAAGCATTCTCAGAAACCTCTTTGTAATGCTTGCATTCAACTCATAGGTTTCAACATTCCCTATCATAGAGCAGGTTTGAAACACTCTTTTTGTAGTATGTGGAAGTGGACATTTGGAGCGCTTTGAGGCCTACCGTGAAAAAGGAAATATCTTCCCATAAAAACTAGACAGAAGCATTCTCAGAAACTTGTTTGTGACGTGTGTATTCAACTAACAGAGTTGAACCTTTCTTTTTACAGAGCAGCTTTGAAACACGCTTTTTGTGGAATCTGCAATTGGAAATTTCGATAGTTCTGAGGATTTCGTTGGAAACGGGATTACAAATAGAAAGTAGACAGCAGCATTCTCAGAAACTGCTTTGTGATGTTTGCATTCAAGTCACCTAGTTGAACATTCCCTTTCATAGAGCAGGTTTGAATCACTGTTTCTGTCGTATCTGGAAGTGGATATTTCGAGCGTTTTCAGGCCTAAGGTGAGAAAGGAAATGTCTTCAAATAAGAACTAGACAGAAGCATTCTCAGAAACTTATTTGTGATGTGTGTCCTCAACTAACAGAGTTGAACCTTTCTTTTGACACAGCAGTTTGGAAACACTCTTTTTGTAGAATCTACAAGTGGATATTTTCAGAGCATTGAAAATTTCGTTGGAAACGGGAAAACCTTCATATAAAATCTAGACAGAAGCATTCTCAGAAACTTCTTTGTAATGTTTGCATTCAACTCATAGAGTTGAACATTCCCTTTCATACAGCAGGTTTGAAACACTCTTTTTGTAGTATGTGGACGTGGACATTTGGAGCGCTTTGAGGCCTACGGTGAAAAAGGAAATATCTTCCCATAAAAACTAGACAGAAGCATTCTCAGAAACTTGTTTGTGACGTGTGTATTCAACTAACAGAGTTGAACCTTTCTTTTTACAGAGCAGCTTTGAAACCCTGTTTCTGTGGAATCTGCAATTGGAAATTTCGATAGTTCTGAGGATTTCGTTGGAAACGGGATTACAAATAGAAAGTAGACAGCAGCATTCTCAGAAACTGCTTTGTGATGTTTGCATTCAAGTCACCTAGTTGAACATTCCCTTTCATAGAGCAGGTTTGAATCACTGTTTCTGTAGTATCTGGAAGTGGGTATTTCGAGCGCTTTCAGGCCTAAGGTGAGAAAGGAAATGTCTTCAAATAAGAACTAGACAGAAGCATTCTCAGAAACTTATTTGTGATGTGTGTCCTCAACTAACAGAGATGAACCTTTGTTTTGATACAGCAGTTTGGAAACACTCTTTTTGTAGAATCTACAAGAGGATATTTTGAGAGCATTGAAAATTTCGTTGGAAGCGGGAAAACCTTCATATAAAATCTAGACAGCAGCATTCTCAGAAACTTCTTTGTGATGTTTGCATTCAACTCATAGAGTTGAACATTCCCATTCATACAGCAGGTTTGAGACACTCTTTGTATAGCATGTGGAAATGGATATTTGGAGCGCTTTGAGGCCTATGGTGAAGAAGGAAATATCTTCCCAAAAAAACTAGACGAAAGCATTCTCGGAATCTTGTTTGCCATGTGTGTACTCAACTAACAGAGTTGAACCTATCTTTTGACAGAGCAGTTTTGAAACACTCTTTTTGTGGAATCTGCAAGTGCATATTTGGATAGCTTCGAGGATTTCGTTGGAAACGGGAATATCCTCATTTAAAATCTAGACGGAAGCATTCTCAGAACCTGCTTTGTGATGTTTGCATTCAACTCACAGAGCTGAACATTCCCGTTCATAGAGCAGGTTTGAAACACTCTTTCTGTACTATCTGGAAGTGGACATTTCGAGCGCTTTCAGGCCTATGGTGAAAAAGGAAACATCTTCAAATAAAAACTAGACAGAAGCATTCTCAGAAACTTATTTGTGATGTGTGTCCTCAACTCACAGAGTTCAACCTTTGTTTTGATACAGCAGTTTGGAAACACTCTTTTTGTAGAATCTACAAATGGATATTTGGAGACCTTTGAAAATTTCGTTGGACACGGGAATATCTTCATATAAAATCTAGACAAAAGCATTCTCAGAATCTTCTTTGTGATGTTTGCATTCAACTCATAGAGTTGAACATTCCCTTTCATACAGCACGTTTGAAACACACTTTGTGGAGTATGTGGAAATGGACATTTCGAGCACTCCTTAGGCCTAAGGTGAAAAGGGAAATATCTTCAAATAAAAACTAGTCAGCAGCATTCTCAGAAACCTCTTTGTGATGTGTGTACTCAACTAACAGAGTTGAACCTTCCTTTTCACAGAGCAGTTTGGAAACACTCTTTTTGTGGCATTTGCAAGTGGATATTTGGATAGCTTTGAGGATTTCGTTGGAAACGGGAATATTTTCATATAAAATCTAGACAGAAGCATTCTCAGAATCTTCTTTGTGATGTATGCCCTCAATTCACAGAGTTGAACCTTTGTTTGGATACAGCATTTTGGAAACATTCCTTTTGTAGAATCTGCAAGTTGATATTTGGATAGCTTTGAGGATTTCGTTGGAAACGGGAATATCTACATATAAAATCTAGACAGAAGCATTCTCAGAAACCTCTTTGTAATGCTTGCATTCAACTCATAGGTTTCAACATTCCCTATCATAGAGCAGGTTTGAAACACTCTTTTTGTAGTATGTGGAAGTGGACATTTGGAGCGCTTTGAGGCCTACGGTGAAAAAGGAAATATCTTCCCATAAAAACTAGACAGAAGCATTCTCAGAAACTTGTTTGTGACGTGTGTATTCAACTAACAGAGTTGAACCTTTCTTTCTACAGAGCAGCTTTGAAACACGCTTTTTGTGGAATCTGCAATTGGAAATTTCGATAGTTCTGAGGATTTCGTTGGAAACGGGATTACAAATAGAAAGTAGACAGCAGCATTCTCAGAAACTGCTTTGTGATGTTTGCATTCAAGTCACCTAGTTGAACATTCCCTTTCATAGAGCAGGTTTGAATCACAGTTTCTGTCGTATCTGGAAGTGGATATTTCGAGCGTTTTCAGGCCTAAGGTGAGAAAGGAAATGTCTTCAAATAAGAACTAGACAGAAACATTCTCAGAAACCTATTTGTGATGTGTGTCCTCAGCTAACAGAGATGAACCTTTGTTTTGATACAGCAGTTTGGAAACACTCTTTTTGTAGAATCTACAAGAGGATATTTTGAGAGCATTGAAAATTTCGTTGGATGCGGGAAAACCTTCATATAAAATCTAGACAGCAGCATTCTCAGAAACTTCTTTGTGATGTTTGCATTCAACTCATAGAGTTGAACATTCCCATTCATACAGCAGGTTTGAGACACTCTTTGTATAGCATGTGGAAATGGATATTTGGAGCGCTTTGAGGCCTATGGTGAAGAAGGAAATATCTTCCCAAAAAAACTAGACGAAAGCATTCTCGGAATCTTGTTTGCCATGTGTGTACTCAACTAACAGAGTTGAACCTATCTTTTGACAGAGCAGTTTTGAAACACTCTTTTTGTGGAATCTGCAAGTGGATATTTGGATAGCTTCGAGGATTTCGTTGGAAACGGGAATATCCTCATTTAAAATCTAGACGGAAGCATTCTCAGAACCTGCTTTGTGATGTTTGCATTCAACTCACAGAGCTGAACATTCCCGTTCATAGAGCAGGTTTGAAACACTCTTTCTGTACTATCTGGAAGTGGACATTTCGAGCGCTTTCAGGCCTATGGTGAAAAAGGAAACATCTTCAAATAAAAACTAGACAGAAGCATTCTCAGAAACTTATTTGTGATGTGTGTCCTCAACTCACAGAGTTCAACCTTTGTTTTGATACAGCAGTTTGGAAACAATCTTTATTTGGAAACCTTTGAAAATTTCGTTGGACACGGGAATATCTTCATATAAAATCTAGACAAAAGCATTCTCAGAATCTTCTTTGTGATGTTTGCATTCAACTCATAGAGTTGAACATTCCCTTTCATACAGCACGTTTGAAACACACTTTGTGGAGTATGTGGAAATGGACATTTCGAGCACTCTTAGGCCTAAGGTGAAAAGGGAAATATCTTCAAATAAAAACTAGTCAGCAGCATTCTCAGAAACCTCTTTGTGATGTGTGTACTCAACTAACAGAGTTGAACCTTCCTTTTCACAGAGCAGTTTGGAAACACTCTTTTTGTGGCATTTGCAAGTGGATATTTGGATAGCTTTGAGGATTTCGTTGGAAACGGGAATATTTTCATATAAAATCTAGACAGAAGCATTCTCAGAATCTTCTTTGTGATGTATGCCCTCAATTCACAGAGTTGAACCTTTGTTTGGATACAGCATTTTGGAAACATTCCTTTTGTAGAATCTGCAAGTTGATATTTGGATAGCTTTGAAGATTTCGTTGGAAACGGGAATATCTACATATAAAATCTAGACAGGAAGCATTCTCAGAAACCTCTTTGTAATGCTTGCATTCAACTCATAGGTTTCAACATTCCCTATCATAGAGCAGGTTTGAAACACTCTTTTTGTAGGATGTGGAAGTGGACATTTGGAGCGCTTTGAGGCCTACGGTGAAAAAGGAAATATCTTCCCATAAAAACTAGACAGAAGCATTCTCAGAAACTTGTTTGTGACGTGTGTATTCAACTAACAGAGTTGAACCTTTCTTTTTACAGAGCAGCTTTGAAACACGCTTTTTGTGGAATCTGCAATTGGAAATTTCGATAGTTCTGAGGATTTCGTTGGAAACGGGATTACAAATAGAAAGTAGACAGCAGCATTCTCAGAAACTGCTTTGTGATGTTTGCATTCAAGTCACCTAGTTGAACATTCCCTTTCATAGAGCAGGTTTGAATCACTGTTTCTGTCGTATCTGGAAGTGGATATTTCGAGCGTTTTCAGGCCTAAGGTGAGAAAGGAAATGTCTTCAAATAAGAACTAGACAGAAGCATTCTCAGAAACTTATTTGTGATGTGTGTCCTCAACTCACAGAGTTCAACCTTTGTTTTGATACAGCAGTTTGGAAACACTCTTTTTGTAGAATCTACAAATGGATATTTGGAGACCTTTGAAAATTTCGTTGGACACGGGAATATCTTCATATAAAATCTAGACAAAAGCATTCTCAGAGTCTTCTTTGTGATGTTTGCATTCAACTCATAGAGTTGAACATTCCCTTTCATACAGCACGTTTGAAACACACTTTGTGGAGTATGTGGAAATGGACATTTCGAGCACTCTTAGGCCTAAGGTGAAAAGGGAAATATCTTCAAATAAAAACTAGTCAGCAGCATTCTCAGAAACCTCTTTGTGATGTGTGTACTCAACTAACAGAGTTGAACCTTCCTTTTCACAGAGCAGTTTGGAAACACTCTTTTTGTGGCATTTGCAAGTGGATATTTGGATAGCTTTGAGGATTTCGTTGGAACCGGGAATATTTTCATATAAAATCTAGACAGAAGCATTCTCAGAATCTTCTTTGTGATGTATGCCCTCAATTCACAGAGTTGAACCTTTGTTTGGATACAGCACTTTGGAAACATTCCTTTTGTAGAATCTGCAAGTTGATATTTGGATAGCTTTGAGGATTTCGTTGGAAACGGGAATATCTACATATAAAATCTAGACAGAAGCATTCTCAGAAACCTCTTTGTAATGCTTGCATTCAACTCATAGGTTTCAACATTCCCTATCATAGAGCAGGTTTGAAACACTCTTTTTGTAGTATGTGGAAGTGGACATTTGGAGCGCTTTGAGGCCTACCGTGAAAAAGGAAATATCTTCCCATAAAAACTAGACAGAAGCATTCTCAGAAACTTGTTTGTGACGTGTGTATTCAACTAACAGAGTTGAACCTTTCTTTTTACAGAGCAGCTTTGAAACACGCTTTTTGTGGAATCTGCAATTGGAAATTTCGATAGTTCTGAGGATTTCGTTGGAAACGGGATTACAAATAGAAAGTAGACAGCAGCATTCTCAGAAACTGCTTTGTGATGTTTGCATTCAAGTCACCTAGTTGAACATTCCCTTTCATAGAGCAGGTTTGAATCACTGTTTCTGTAGTATCTGGAAGTGGGTATTTCGAGCGCTTTCAGGCCTAAGGTGAGAAAGGAAATGTCTTCAAATAAGAACTAGACAGAAGCATTCTCAGAAACTTATTTGTGATGTGTGTCCTCAACTAACAGAGATGAACCTTTGTTTTGATACAGCAGTTTGGAAACACTCTTTTTGTAGAATCTACAAGAGGATATTTTGAGAGCATTGAAAATTTCGTTGGAAGCGGGAAAACCTTCATATAAAATCTAGACAGCAGCATTCTCAGAAACTTCTTTGTGATGTTTGCATTCAACTCATAGAGTTGAACATTCCCATTCATACAGCAGGTTTGAGACACTCTTTGTATAGCATGTGGAAATGGATATTTGGAGCGCTTTGAGGCCTATGGTGAAGAAGGAAATATCTTCCCAAAAAAACTAGACGAAAGCATTCTCGGAATCTTGTTTGCCATGTGTGTACTCAACTAACAGAGTTGAACCTATCTTTTGACAGAGCAGTTTTGAAACACTCTTTTTGTGGAATCTGCAAGTGGATATTTGGATAGCTTCGAGGATTTCCTTGGAAACGGGAATATCCTCATATAAAATCTAGACGGAAGCATTCTCAGAACCTGCTTTGTGATGTTTGCATTCAACTCACAGAGCTGAACATTCCCGTTCATAGAGCAGGTTTGAAACACTCTTTCTGTACTATCTAGAAGTGGACATTTCGAGCGCTATCAGGCCTATGGTGAAAAAGGAAACATCTTCAAATAAAAACTAGACAGAAGCATTCTCAGAAACTTATTTGTGATGTGTGTCCTCAACTCACAGAGTTCAACCTTTGTTTTGATACAGCAGTTTGGAAACACTCTTTTTGTAGAATCTACAAATGGATATTTGGAGACCTTTGAAAATTTCGTTGGACACGGGAATATCTTCATATAAAATCTAGACAAAAGCATTCTCAGAATCTTCTTTGTGATGTTTGCATTCAACTCATAGAGTTGAACATTCCCTTTCATACAGCACGTTTGAAACACACTTTGTGGAGTATGTGGAAATGGACATTTCGAGCACTCTTAGGCCTAAGGTGAAAAGGGAAATATCTTCAAATAAAAACTAGTCAGCAGCATTCTCAGAAACCTCTTTGTGATGTGTGTACTCAACTAACAGAGTTGAACCTTCCTTTTCACAGAGCAGTTTGGAAACACTCTTTTTGTGGCATTTGCAAGTGGATATTTGGATAGCTTTGAGGATTTCGTTGGAAACGGGAATATTTTCATATAAAATCTAGACAGAAGCATTCTCAGAATCTTCTTTGTGATGTATGCCCTCAATTCACCGAGTTGAACCTTTGTTTGGATACAGCATTTTGGAAACATTCCTTTTGTAGAATCTGCAAGTTGATATTTGGATAGTTTGAGGATTTCGTTGGAAACGGGAATATCTATCTACATATAAAATCTAGACAGAAGCATTCTCAGAAACCTCTTTGTAATGCTTGCATTCAACTCATAGGTTTCAACATTCCCTATCATAGAGCAGGTTTGAAACACTCTTTTTGTAGTATGTGGAAGTGGACATTTGGAGCGCTTTGAGGCCTACGGTGAAAAAGGAAATATCTTCCCATAAAAACTAGACAGAAGCATTCTCAGAAACTTGTTTGTGACGTGTGTATTCAACTAACAGAGTTGAACCTTTCTTTTTACAGAGCAGCTTTGAAACACGCTTTTTGTGGAATCTGCAATTGGAAATTTCGATAGTTCTGAGGATTTCGTTGGAAACGGGATTACAAATAGAAAGTAGACAGCAGCATTCTCAGAAACTGCTTTCTGATGTTTGCATTCAAGTCACCTAGTTGAACATTCCCTTTCATAGAGCAGGTTTGAATCACTGTTTCTGTCATATCTGGAAGTGGATATTTCGAGCGTTTTCAGGCCTAAGGTGAGAAAGGAAATGTCTTCAAATAAGAACTAGACAGAAGCATTCTCAGAAACTTATTTTTGATGTGTGTCCTCAACTAACAGAGATGAACCTTTGTTTTGATACAGCAGTTTGGAAACACTCTTTTTGTAGAATCTACAAGAGGATATTTTGAGAGCATTGAAAATTTCGTTGGAAGCGGGAAAACCTTCATATAAAATCTAGACAGCAGCATTCTCAGAAACTTCTTTGTGATGTTTGCATTCAACTCATAGAGTTGAACATTCCCATTCATACAGCAGGTTTGAGACACTCTTTGTATAGCATGTGGAAATGGATATTTGGAGCGCTTTGAGGCCTATGGTGAAGAAGGAAATATCTTCCCAAAAAAACTAGACGAAAGCATTCTCGGAATCTTGTTTGCCATGTGTGTACTCAACTAACAGAGTTGAACCTATCTTTTGACAGAGCAGTTTTGAAACACTCTTTTTGTGGAATCTGCAAGTGGATATTTGGATAGCTTTGAGGATTTCGTTGGAAACGGGAATATCCTCATTTAAAATCTAGACGGAAGCATTCTCAGAACCTGCTTTGTGATGTTTGCATTCAACTCACAGAGCTGAACATTCCCGTTCATAGAGCAGGTTTGAAACACTCTTTCTGTACTATCTGGAAGTGGACATTTCGAGCGCTTTCAGGCCTATGGTGAAAAAGGAAACATCTTCAAATAAAAACTAGACAGAAGCATTCTCAGAAACTTATTTGTGATGTGTGTCCTCAACTCACAGAGTTCAACCTTTGTTTTGATACAGCAGTTTGGAAACACTCTTTTTGTAGAATCTACAAATGGATATTTGGAGACCTTTGAAAATTTCGTTGGACACGGGAATATCTTCATATAAAATCTAGGCAAAAGCATTCTCAGAGTCTTCTTTGTGATGTTTGCATTCAACTCATAGAGTTGAACATTCCCTTTCATACAGCACGTTTGAAACACACTTTGTGGAGTATGTGGAAATGGACATTTCGAGCACTCTTAGGCCTAAGGTGAAAAGGGAAATATCTTCAAATAAAAACTAGTCAGCAGCATTCTCAGAAACCTCTTTGTGATGTGTGTACTCAACTAACAGAGTTGAACCTTCCTTCTCACAGAGCAGTTTGGAAACACTCTTTTTGTGGCATTTGCAAGTGGATATTTGGATAGCTTTGAGGATTTCGTTGGAAACGGGAATATTTTCATATAAAATCTAGACAGAAGCATTCTCAGAATCTTCTTTGTGATGTATGCCCTCAATTCACAGAGTTGAACCTTTGTTTGGATACAGCATTTTGGAAACATTCCTTTTGTAGAATCTGCAAGTTGATATTTGGATAGCTTTGAGGATTTCGTTGGAAACGGGAATATCTACATATAAAATCTAGACAGAAGCATTCTCAGAAACCTCTTTGTAATGCTTGCATTCAACTCATAGGTTTCAACATTCCCTATCATAGAGCAGGTTTGAAACACTCTTTTTGTAGTATGTGGAAGTGGACATTTGGAGCGCTTTGAGGCCTACGGTGAAAAAGGAAATATCTTCCCATAAAAACTAGACAGAAGCATTCTCAGAAACTTGTTTGTGACGTGTGTATTCAACTAACAGAGTTGAACCTTTCTTTTTACAGAGCAGCTTTGAAACACGCTTTTTGTGGAATCTGCAATTGGAAATTTCGATAGTTCTGAGGATTTCGTTGGAAACGGGATTACAAATAGAAAGTAGACAGCAGCATTCTCAGAAACTTCTTTCTGACGTGTATTCAACTAAAAGAGTTGAACCTTTCCTTTTACAGAGCAGCTTTGAAACACACTTTTGTGGAATCTGCAATTGGAAATTTCGATAGTTCTGAGGATTTCTTTGGAAACGGGATTACAAATAGAAAGTAGACAGCAGCATTCTCAGAAACTTATTTGTGATGTGTGTCCTCAACTAACAGAGTTGAACCTTCCTTTTGACACAGCAGTTTGGAAACACTCTTTTTGTAGAATCTACAAGTGGATATTTTGAGAGCATTGAAAATTTCGTTGGAAACGGGAAAACCTTCATATAAAATCTAGACAGAAGCATTCTCAGAAACTTCTTTGTAATGTTTGCATTCAACTCATAGAGTTGAACATTCCCTTTCATACAGCAGGTTTGAAACACTCTTTTTGTAGTATGTGGAAGTGGACATTTGGAGCGCTTTGAGGCCTACGGTGAAAAAGGAAATATCTTCCCATAAAAACTAGACAGAAGCATTCTCAGAAACTTGTTTGTGACGTGTGTATTCAACTAACAGAGTTGAACCTTTCTTTTTACAGAGCAGCTTTGAAACCCTGTTTCTGTGGAATCTGCAATTTGAAACTTCGATAGTTCTGAGGATTTCGTTGGAAACGGGATTACAAATACAAAGTAGACAGCAGCATTCTCAGAAACTGCTTTCTGATGTTTGCATTCAAGTCACCTAGATGAACATTCCCTTTCATAGAGCAGGTTTGAATCACTGTTTCTGTAGTATCTGGAAGTGGGTATTTCGAGCGCTTTCAGGCCTAAGGTGAGAAAGGAAATGTCTTCAAATAAGAACTAGACAGAAGCATTCTCAGAAACTTATTTGTGATGTGTGTCCTCAACTAACAGAGATGAACCTTTGTTTTGATACAGCAGTTTGGAAACACTCTTTTTGTAGAATCTACAAGAGGATATTTTGAGAGCATTGAAAATTTCGTTGGAAGCGGGAAAACCTTCATATAAAATCTAGACAGCAGCATTCTCAGAAACTTCTTTGTGATGTTTGCATTCAACTCATAGAGTTGAACATTCCCATTCATACAGCAGGTTTGAGACACTCTTTGTATAGCATGTGGAAATGGATATTTGGAGCGCTTTGAGGCCTATGGTGAAGAAGGAAATATCTTCCCAAAAAAACTAGACGAAAGCATTCTCGGAATCTTGTTTGCCATGTGTGTACTCAACTAACAGAGTTGAACCTATCTTTTGACAGAGCAGTTTTGAAACACTCTTTTTGTGGAATCTGCAAGTGGATATTTGGATAGCTCGAGGATTTCGTTGGAAACGGGAATATCCTCATTTAAAATCTAGACGGAAGCATTCTCAGAACCTGCTTTGTGATGTTTGCATTCAACTCACAGAGCTGAACATTCCCGATCATAGAGCAGGTTTGAAACACTCTTTCTGTACTATCTGGAAGTGGACATTTCGAGCGCTTTCAGGCCTATGGTGAAAAAGGAAACATCTTCAAATAAAAACTAGACAGAAGCATTCTCAGAAACTTATTTGTGATGTGTGTCCTCAACTCACAGAGTTCAACCTTTGTTTTGATACAGCAGTTTGGAAACACTCTTTTTGTAGAATCTACAAATGGATATTTGGAGACCTTTGAAAATTTCGTTGGACACGGGAATATCTTCATATAAAATCTAGACAAAAGCATTCTCAGAATCTTCTTTGTGATGTTTGCATTCAACTCATAGAGTTGAACATTCCCTTTCATACAGCACGTTTGAAACACACTTTGTGGAGTATGTGGAAATGGACATTTCGAGCACTCTTAGGCCTAAGGTGAAAAGGGAAATATCTTCAAATAAAAACTAGTCAGCAGCATTCTCAGAAACCTCTTTGTGATGTGTGTACTCAACTAACAGAGTTGAACCTTCCTTTTCACAGAGCAGTTTGGAAACACTCTTTTTGTGGCATTTGCAAGTGGATATTTGGATAGCTTTGAGGATTTCGTTGGAAACGGGAATATTTTCATATAAAATCTAGACAGAAGCATTCTCAGAATCTTCTTTGTGATGTATGCCCTCAATTCACAGAGTTGAACCTTTGTTTGGATACAGCATTTTGGAAACATTCCTTTTGTAGAATCTGCAAGTTGATATTTGGATAGCTTTGAGGATTTCGTTGGAAACGGGAATATCTACATATAAAATCTAGACAGAAGCATTCTCAGAAACCTCTTTGTAATGCTTGCATTCAACTCATAGGTTTCAACATTCCCTATCATAGAGCAGGTTTGAAACACTCTTTTTGTAGTATGTGGAAGTGGACATTTGGAGCGCTTTGAGGCCTACGGTGAAAAAGGAAATATCTTCCCATAAAAACTAGACAGAAGCATTCTCAGAAACTTGTTTGTGACGTGTGTATTCAACTAACAGAGTTGAACCTTTCTTTTTACAGAGCAGCTTTGAAACACGCTTTTTGTGGAATCTGCAATTGGAAATTTCGATAGTTCTGAGGATTTCGTTGGAAACGGGATTACAAATAGAAAGTAGACAGCAGCATTCTCAGAAACTGCTTTGTGATGTTTGCATTCAAGTCACCTAGTTGAACATTCCCTTTCATAGAGCAGGTTTGAATCACTGTTTCTGTCGTATCTGGAAGTGGATATTTCGAGCGTTTTCAGGCCTAAGGTGAGAAAGGAAATGTCTTCAAATAAGAACTAGACAGAAGCATTCTCAGAAACTTATTTGTGATGTGTGTCCTCAACTAACAGAGTTGAACCTTTCTTTTGACACAGCAGTTTGGAAACACTCTTTTTGTAGAATCTACAAGTGGATATTTTGAGAGCATTGAAAATTTCGTTGGAAACGGGAAAACCTTCATATAAAATCTAGACAGAAGCATTCTCAGAAACTTCTTTGTAATGTTTGCATTCAACTCATAGAGTTGAACATTCCCTTTCATACAGCAGGTTTGAAACACTCTTTTTGTAGTATGTGGACGTGGACATTTGGAGCGCTTTGAGGCCTACGGTGAAAAAGGAAATATCTTCCCATAAAAACTAGACAGAAGCATTCTCAGAAACTTGTTTGTGACGTGTGTATTCAACTAACAGAGTTGAACCTTTCTTTTTACAGAGCAGCTTTGAAACACGCTTTTTGTGGAATCTGCAATTGGAAATTTCGATAGTTCTGAGGATTTCGTTGGAAACGGGATTACAAATAGAAAGTAGACAGCAGCATTCTCAGAAACTGCTTTGTGATGTTTGCATTCAAGTCACCTAGTTGAACATTCCCTTTCATAGAGCAGGTTTGAATCACAGTTTCTGTCGTATCTGGAAGTGGATATTTCGAGCGCTTTCAGGCCTAAGGTGAGAAAGGAAATGTCTTCAAATAAGAACTAGACAGAAGCATTCTCAGAAACTTATTTGTGATGTGTGTCCTCAACTAACAGAGATGAACCTTTGTTTTGATACAGCAGTTTGGAAACACTCTTTTTGTAGAATCTACAAGAGGATATTTTGAGAGCATTGAAAATTTCGTTGGAAGCGGGAAAACCTTCATATAAATCTAGACAGCAGCATTCTCAGAAACTTCTTTGTGATGTTTGCATTCAACTCATAGAGTTGAACATTCCCATTCATACAGCAGGTTTGAGACACTCTTTGTATAGCATGTGGAAATGGATATTTGGAGCGCTTTGAGGCCTATGGTGAAGAAGGAAATATCTTCCCAAAAAAACTAGACGAAAGCATTCTCGCAATCTTGTTTGCCATGTGTGTACTCAACTAACAGAGTTGAACCTATCTTTTGACAGAGCAGTTTTGAAACACTCTTTTTGTGGAATCTGCAAGTGGATATTTGGATAGCTTCGAGGATTTCGTTGGAAACGGGAATATCCTCATTTAAAATCTAGACGGAAGCATTCTCGGAACCTGCTTTGTGATGTTTGCATTCAACTCACAGAGCTGAACATTCCCGTTCATAGAGCAGGTTTGAAACACTCTTTCTGTACTATCTGGAAGTGGACATTTCGAGCGCTTTCAGGCCTATGGTGAAAAAGGAAACATCTTCAAATAAAAACTAGACAGAAGCATTCTCAGAAACTTATTTGTGATGTGTGTCCTCAACTCACAGAGTTCAACCTTTGTTTTGATACAGCAGTTTGGAAACACTCTTTTTGTAGAATCTACAAATGGATATTTGGAGACCTTTGAAAATTTCGTTGGACACGGGAATATCTTCATATAAAATCTAGACAAAAGCATTCTCAGAGTCTTCTTTGTGATGTTTGCATTCAACTGATAGAGTTGAACATTCCCTTTCATACAGCACGTTTGAAACACACTTTGTGGAGTATGTGGAAATGGACATTTCGAGCACTCTTAGGCCTAAGGTGAAAAGGGAAATATCTTCAAATAAAAACTAGTCAGCAGCATTCTCAGAAACCTCTTTGTGATGTGTGTACTCAACTAACAGAGTTGAACCTTCCTTTTCACAGAGCAGTTTGGAAACACTCTTTTTGTGGCATTTGCAAGTGGATATTTGGATAGCTTTGAGGATTTCGTTGGAAACGGGAATATTTTCATATAAAATCTAGACAGAAGCATTCTCAGAATCTTCTTTGTGATGTATGCCCTCAATTCACAGAGTTGAACCTTTGTTTGGATACAGCATTTTGGAAACATTCCTTTTGTAGAATCTGCAAGTTGATATTTGGATAGCTTTGAGGATTTCGTTGGAAACGGGAATATCTACATATAAAATCTAGACAGAAGCATTCTCAGAAACCTCTTTGTAATGCTTGCATTCAACTCATAGGTTTCAACATTCCCTATCATAGAGCAGGTTTGAAACACTCTTTTTGTAGTATGTGGAAGTGGACATTTGGAGCGCTTTGAGGCCTACGGTGAAAAAGGAAATATCTTCCCATAAAAACTAGACAGAAGCATTCTCAGAAACTTGTTTGTGACGTGTGTATTCAACTAACAGAGTTGAACCTTTCTTTTTACAGAGCAGCTTTGAAACACGCTTTTTGTGGAATCTGCAATTGGAAATTTCGATAGTTCTGAGGATTTCGTTGGAAACGGGATTACAAATAGAAAGTAGACAGCAGCATTCTCAGAAACTGCTTTGTGATGTTTGCATTCAAGTCACCTAGTTGAACATTCCCTTTCATAGAGCAGGTTTGAATCACTGTTTCTGTCGTATCTGGAAGTGGATATTTCGAGCGTTTTCAGTCCTAAGGTGAGAAAGGAAATGTCTTCAAATAAGAACTAGACAGAAGCATTCTCAGAAACTTATTTGTGATGTGTGTCCTCAACTAACAGAGTTGAACCTTTCTTTTGACACAGCAGTTTGGAAACACTCTTTTTGTAGAATCTACAAGTGGATATTTTGAGAGCATTGAAAATTTCATTGGAAACGGGAAAACCTTCATATAAAATCTAGACAGAAGCATTCTCAGAAACTTCTTTGTAATGTTTGCATTCAACTCATAGAGTTGAACATTCCCTTTCATACAGCAGGTTTGAAACACTCTTTTTGTAGTATGTGGACGTGGACATTTGGAGCGCTTTGAGGCCTACGGTGAAAAAGGAAATATCTTCCCATAAAAACTAGACAGAAGCAATTTCAGAAACTTGTTTGTGACGTGTGTATTCAACTAACAGAGTTGAACCTTTCTTTTTACAGAGCAGCTTTGAAACCCTGTTTCTGTGGAATCTGCAATTGGAAATTTCGATAGTTCTGAGGATTTCGTTGGAAACGGGATTACAAATAGAAAGTAGACAGCAGCATTCTCAGAAACTGCTTTGTGATGTTTGCATTCAAGTCACCTAGTTGAACATTCCCTTTCATAGAGCAGGTTTGAATCACAGTTTCTGTCGTATCTGGAAGTGGATATTTCGAGCGTTTTCAGGCCTAAGGTGAGAAAGGAAATGTCTTCAAATAAGAACTAGACAGAAGCATTCTCAGAAACTTATTTGTGATGTGTGTCCTCAACTAACAGAGATGAACCTTTGTTTTGATACAGCAGTTTGGAAACACTCTTTTTGTAGAATCTACAAGAGGATATTTTGAGAGCATTGAAAATTTCGTTGGAAGCGGGAAAACCTTCATATAAAATCTAGACAGCAGCATTCTCAGAAACTTCTTTGTGATGTTTGCATTCAACTCATAGAGTTGAACATTCCCATTCATACAGCAGGTTTGAGACACTCTTTGTATAGCATGTGGAAATGGATATTTGGAGCGCTTTGAGGCCTATGGTGAAGAAGGAAATATCTTCCCCAAAAAACTAGACGAAAGCATTCTCGGAATCTTGTTTGCCATGTGTGTACTCAACTAACAGAGTTGAACCTATCTTTTGACAGAGCAGTTTTGAAACACTCTTTTTGTGGAATCTGCAAGTGGATATTTGGATAGCTTCGAGGATTTCGTTGGAAACGGGAATATCCTCATTTAAAATCTAGACGGAAGCATTCTCAGAACCTGCTTTGTGATGTTTGCATTCAACTCACAGAGCTGAACATTCCCGTTCATAGAGCAGGTTTGAAACACTCTTTCTGTACTATCTGGAAGTGGACATTTCGAGCGCTTTCAGGCCTATGGTGAAAAAGGAAACATCTTCAAATAAAAACTAGACAGAAGCATTCTCAGAAACTTATTTGTGATGTGTGTCCTCAACTCACAGAGTTCAACCTTTGTTTTGATACAGCAGTTTGGAAACACTCTTTTTGTAGAATCTACAAATGGATATTTAGAGACCTTTGAAAATTTCGTTGGACACGGGAATATCTTCATATAAAATCTAGACAAAAGCATTCTCAGAATCTTCTTTGTGATGTTTGCATTCAACTCATAGAGTTGAACATTCCCTTTCATACAGCACGTTTGAAACACACTTTGTGGAGTATGTGGAAATGGACATTTCGAGCACTCTTAGGCCTAAGGTGAAAAGGGAAATATCTTCAAATAAAAACTAGTCAGCAGCATTCTCAGAAACCTCTTTGTGATGTGTGTACTCAACTAACAGAGTTGAACCTTCCTTTTCACAGAGCAGTTTGGAAACACTCTTTTTGTGGCATTTGCAAGTGGATATTTGGATAGCTTTGAGGATTTCGTTGGAAACGGGAATATTTTCATATAAAATCTAGACAGAAGCATTCTCAGAATCTTCTTTGTGATGTATGCCCTCAATTCACAGAGTTGAACCTTTGTTTGGATACAGCATTTTGGAAACATTCCTTTTGTAGAATCTGCAAGTTGATATTTGGATAGCTTTGAGGATTTCGTTGGAAACGGGAATATCTACATATAAAATCTAGACAGAAGCATTCTCAGAAACCTCTTTGTAATGCTTGCATTCAACTCATAGGTTTCAACATTCCCTATCATAGAGCAGGTTTGAAACACTCTTTTTGTAGTATGTGGAAGTGGACATTTGGAGCGCTTTGAGGCCTACGGTGAAAAAGGAAATATCTTCCCATAAAAACTAGACAGAAGCATTCTCAGAAACTTGTTTGTGACGTGTGTATTCAACTAACAGAGTTGAACCTTTCTTTTTACAGAGCAGCTTTGAAACACGCTTTTTGTGGAATCTGCAATTGGAAATTTCGATAGTTCTGAGGATTTCGTTGGAAACGGGATTACAAATAGAAAGTAGACAGCAGCATTCTCAGAAACTGCTTTGTGATGTTTGCATTCAAGTCACCTAGTTGAACATTCCCTTTCATAGAGCAGGTTTGAATCACTGTTTCTGTCGTATCTGGAAGTGGATATTTCGAGCGTTTTCAGGCCTAAGGTGAGAAAGGAAATGTCTTCAAATAAGAACTAGACAGAAGCATTCTCAGAAACTTATTTGTGATGTGTGTCCTCAACTAACAGAGTTGAACCTTTCTTTTGACACAGCAGTTTGGAAACACTCTTTTTGTAGAATCTACAAGTGGATATTTTGAGAGCATGGAAAATTTCGTTGGAAACGGGAAAACCTTCATATAAAATCTAGACAGAAGCATTCTCAGAAACTTCTTTGTAATGTTTGCATTCAACTCATAGAGTTGAACATTCCCTTTCATACAGCAGGTTTGAAACACTCTTTTTGTAGTATGTGGACGTGGACATTTGGAGCGCTTTGAGGCCTACGGTGAAAAAGGAAATATCTTCCCATAAAAACTAGACAGAAGCATTCTCAGAAACTTGTTTGTGACGTGTGTATTCAACTAACAGAGTTGAACCTTTCTTTTTACAGAGCAGCTTTGAAACCCTGTTTCTGTGGAATCTGCAATTGGAAATTTCGATAGTTCTGAGGATTTCGTTGGAAACGGGATTACAAATAGAAAGTAGACAGCAGCATTCTCAGAAACTGCTTTGTGATGTTTGCATTCAAGTCACCTAGTTGAACATTCCCTTTCATAGAACAGGTTTGAATCACTGTTTCTGTAGTATCTGGAAGTGGGTATTTCGAGCGCTTTCAGGCCTAAGGTGAGAAAGGAAATGTCTTCAAATAAGAACTAGACAGAAGCATTCTCAGAAACTTATTTGTGATGTGTGTCCTCAACTAACAGAGATAAACCTTTGTTTTGATACAGCAGTTTGGAAACACTCTTTTTGTAGAATCTACAAGAGGATATTTTGAGAGCGTTGAAAATTTCGTTGGAAGCGGGAAAACCTTCATATAAAATCTAGACAGCAGCATTCTCAGAAACTTCTTTGTGATGTTTGCATTCAACTCATAGAGTTGAACATTCCCATTCATACAGCAGGTTTGAGACACTCTTTGTATAGCATGTGGAAATGGATATTTGGAGCGCTTTGAGGCCTATGGTGAAGAAGGAAATATCTTCCCAAAAAAACTAGACGAAAGCATTCTCGGAATCTTGTTTGCCATGTGTGTACCTCAACTAACAGAGTTGAACCTATCTTTTGACAGAGCAGTTTTGAAACACTCTTTTTGTGGAATCTGCAAGTGGATATTTGGATAGCTTCGAGGATTTCGTTGGAAACGGGAATATCCTCATTTAAAATCTAGACGGAAGCATTCTCAGAACCTGCTTTGTGATGTTTGCATTCAACTCACAGAGCTGAACATTCCCGTTCATAGAGCAGGTTTGAAACACTCTTTCTGTACTATCTGGAAGTGGACATTTCGAGCGCTTTCAGGCCTATGGTGAAAAAGGAAACATCTTCAAATAAAAACTAGACAGAAGCATTCTCAGAAACTTATTTGTGATGTGTGTCCTCAACTCACAGAGTTCAACCTTTGTTTTGATACAGCAGTTTGGAAACACTCTTTTTGTAGAATCTACAAATGGATATTTGGAGACCTTTGAAAATTTCGTTGGACACGGGAATATCTTCATATAAAATCTAGACAAAAGCATTCTCAGAGTCTTCTTTGTGATGTTTGCATTCAACTCATAGAGTTGAACATTCCCTTTCATACAGCACGTTTGAAACACACTTTGTGGAGTATGTGGAAATGGACATTTCGAGCACTCTTAGGCCTAAGGTGAAAAGGGAAATATCTTCAAATAAAAACTAGTCAGCAAGCATTCTCAGAAACCTCTTTGTGATGTGTGTACTCAACTAACAGAGTTGAACCTTCCTTTTCACAGAGCAGTTTGGAAACACTCTTTTTGTGGCATTTGCAAGTGGATATTTGGATAGCTTTGAGGATTTCGTTGGAAACGGGAATATTTTCATATAAAATCTAGACAGAAGCATTCTCAGAATCTTCTTTGTGATGTATGCCCTCAATTCACAGAGTTGAACCTTTGTTTGGATACAGCATTTTGGAAACATTCCTTTTGTAGAATCTGCAAGTTGATATTTGGATAGCTTTGAGGATTTCGTTGGAAACGGGAATATCTACATATAAAATCTAGACAGAAGCATTCTCAGAAACCTCTTTGTAATGCTTGCATTCAACTCATAGGTTTCAACATTCCCTATCATAGAGCAGGTTTGAAACACTCTTTTTGTAGTATGTGGAAGTGGACATTTGGAGCGCTTTGAGGCCTACCGTGAAAAAGGAAATATCTTCCCATAAAAACTAGACAGAAGCATTCTCAGAAACTTGTTTGTGACGTGTGTATTCAACTAACAGAGTTGAACCTTTCTTTTTACAGAGCAGCTTTGAAACCCTGTTTCTGTGGAATCTGCAATTGGAAATTTCGATAGTTCTGAGGATTTCGTTGGAAACGGGATTACAAATAGAAAGTAGACAGCAGCATTCTCAGAAACTGCTTTGTGATGTTTGCATTCAAGTCACATAGTTGAACATTCCCTTTCATAGAGCAGGTTTGAATCACTGTTTCTGTAGTATCTGGAAGTGGGTATTTCGAGCGCTTTCAGGCCTAAGGTGAGAAAGGAAATGTCTTCAAATAAGAACTAGACAGAAGCATTCTCAGAAACTTATTTGTGATGTGTGTCCTCAACTAACAGAGATGAACCTTTGTTTTGATACAGCAGTTTGGAAACACTCTTTTTGTAGAATCTACAAGAGGATATTTTGAGAGCATTGAAAATTTCGTTGGAAGCGGGAAAACCTTCATATAAAATCTAGACAGCAGCATTCTCAGAAACTTCTTTGTGATGTTTGCATTCAACTCATAGAGTTGAACATTCCCATTCATACAGCAGGTTTGAGACACTCTTTGTATAGCATGTGGAAATGGATATTTGGAGCGCTTTGAGGCCTATGGTGAAGAAGGAAATATCTTCCCAAAAAAACTAGACGAAAGCATTCTCGGAATCTTGTTTGCCATGTGTGTACTCAACTAACAGAGTTGAACCTATCTTTTGACAGAGCAGTTTTGAAACACTCTTTTTGTGGAATCTGCAAGTGGATATTTGGATAGCTTCGAGGATTTCATTGGAAACGGGAATATCCTCATTTAAAATCTAGACGGAAGCATTCTCAGAACCTGCTTTGTGATGTTTGCATTCAACTCACAGAGCTGAACATTCCCGTTCATAGAGCAGGTTTGAAACACTCTTTCTGTACTATCTGGAAGTGGACATTTCGAGCGCTTTCAGGCCTATGGTGAAAAAGGAAACATCTTCAAATAAAAACTAGACAGAAGCATTCTCAGAAACTTATTTGTGATGTGTGTCCTCAACTCACAGAGTTCAACCTTTGTTTTGATACAGCAGTTTGGAAACACTCTTTTTGTAGAATCTACAAATGGATATTTGGAGACCTTTGAAAATTTCGTTGGACACGGGAATATCTTCATATAAAATCTAGACAAAAGCATTCTCAGAATCTTCTTTGTGATGTTTGCATTCAACTCATAGAGTTGAACATTCCCTTTCATACAGCACGTTTGAAACACACTTTGTGGAGTATGTGGAAATGGACATTTCGAGCACTCTTAGGCCTAAGGTGAAAAGGGAAATATCTTCAAATAAAAACTAGTCAGCAGCATTCTCAGAAACCTCTTTGTGATGTGTGTACTCAACTAACAGAGTTGAACCTTCCTTTTCACAGAGCAGTTTGGAAACACTCTTTTTGTGGCATTTGCAAGTGGATATTTGGATAGCTTTGAGGATTTCGTTGGAAACGGGAATATTTTCATATAAAATCTAGACAGAAGCATTCTCAGAATCTTCTTTGTGATGTATGCCCTCAATTCACAGAGTTGAACCTTTGTTTGGATACAGCATTTTGGAAACATTCCTTTTGTAGAATCTGCAAGTTGATATTTGGATAGCTTTGAGGATTTCGTTGGAAACGGGAATATCTACATATAAAATCTAGACAGAAGCATTCTCAGAAACCTCTTTGTAATGCTTGCATTCAACTCATAGGTTTCAACATTCCCTATCATAGAGCAGGTTTGAAACACTCTTTTTGTAGTATGTGGAAGTGGACATTTGGAGCGCTTTGAGGCCTACGGTGAATAAAGGAAATATCTTCCCATAAAAACTAGACAGAAGCATTCTCAGAAACTTGTTTGTGACGTGTGTATTCAACTAACAGAGTTGAACCTTTCTTTTTACAGAGCAGCTTTGAAACACGCTTTTTGTGGAATCTGCAATTGGAAATTTCGATAGTTCTGAGGATTTCGTTGGAAACGGGATTACAAATAGAAAGTAGACAGCAGCATTCTCAGAAACTGCTTTGTGATGTTTGCATTCAAGTCACCTAGTTGAACATTCCCTTTCATAGAGCAGGTTTGAATCACTGTTTCTGTCGTATCTGGAAGTGGATATTTCGAGCGTTTTCAGGCCTAAGGTGAGAAAGGAAATGTCTTCAAATAAGAACTAGACAGAAGCATTCTCAGAAACTTATTTGTGATGTGTGTCCTCAACTAACAGAGTTGAACCTTTCTTTTGACACAGCAGTTTGGAAACACTCTTTTTGTAGAATCTACAAGTGGATATTTTGAGAGCATTGAAAATTTCGTTGGAAACGGGAAAACCTTCATATAAAATGCTAGACAGAAGCATTCTCAGAAACTTCTTTGTAATGTTTGCATTCAACTCATAGAGTTGAACATTCCCTTTCATACAGCAGGTTTGAAACACTCTTTTTGTAGTATGTGGACGTGGACATTTGGAGCGCTTTGAGGCCTACGGTGAAAAAGGAAATATCTTCCCATAAAAACTAGACAGAAGCATTCTCAGAAACTTGTTTGTGACGTGTGTATTCAACTAACAGAGTTGAACCTTTCTTTTTACAGAGCAGCTTTGAAACCCTGTTTCTGTGGAATCTGCAATTGGAAATTTCGATAGTTCTGAGGATTTCGTTGGAAACGGGATTACAAATAGAAAGTAGACAGCAGCATTCTCAGAAACTGCTTTGTGATGTTTGCATTCAAGTCACCTAGTTGAACATTCCCTTTCATAGAGCAGGTTTGAATCACTGTTTCTGTAGTATCTGGAAGTGGGTATTTCGAGCGCTTTCAGGCCTAAGGTGAGAAAGGAAATGTCTTCAAATAAGAACTAGACAGAAGCATTCTCAGAAACTTATTTGTGATGTGTGTCCTCAACTAACAGAGATGAACCTTTGTTTTGATACAGCAGTTTGGAAACACTCTTTTTGTAGAATCTACAAGAGGATATTTTGAGAGCATTGAAAATTTCGTTGGAAGCGGGAAAACCTTCATATAAAATCTAGACAGCAGCATTCTCAGAAACTTCTTTGTGATGTTTGCATTCAACTCATAGAGTTGAACATTCCCATTCATACAGCAGGTTTGAGACACTCTTTGTATAGCATGTGGAAATGGATATTTGGAGCACTTTGAGGCCTATGGTGAAGAAGGAAATATCTTCCCAAAAAAACTAGACGAAAGCATTCTCGGAATCTTGTTTGCCATGTGTGTACTCAACTAACAGAGTTGAACCTATCTTTTGACAGAGCAGTTTTGAAACACTCTTTTTGTGGAATCTGCAAGTGGATATTTGGATAGCTTCGAGGATTTCGTTGGAAACGGGAATATCCTCATTTAAAATCTAGACGGAAGCATTCTCAGAACCTGCTTTGTGATGTTTGCATTCAACTCACAGAGCTGAACATTCCCGTTCATAGAGCAGGTTTGAAACACTCTTTCTGTACTATCTGGAAGTGGACATTTCGAGCGCTTTCAGGCCTATGGTGAAAAAGGAAACATCTTCAAATAAAAACTAGACAGAAGCATTCTCAGAAACTTATTTGTGATGTGTGTCCTCAACTCACAGAGTTCAACCTTTGTTTTGATACAGCAGTTTGGAAACACTCTTTTTGTAGAATCTACAAATGGATATTTGGAGACCTTTGAAAATTTCGTTGGACACGGGAATATCTTCATATAAAATCTAGACAAAAGCATTCTCAGAATCTTCTTTGTGATGTTTGCATTCAACTCATAGAGTTGAACATTCCCTTTCATACAGCACGTTTGAAACACACTTTGTGGAGTATGTGGAAATGGACATTTCGAGCACTCTTAGGCCTAAGGTGAAAAGGGAAATATCTTCAAATAAAAACTAGTCAGCAGCATTCTCAGAAACCTCTTTGTGATGTGTGTACTCAACTAACAGAGTTGAACCTTCCTTTTCACAGAGCAGTTTGGAAACACTCTTTTTGTGGCATTTGCAAGTGGATATTTGGATAGCTTTGGGGATTTTGTTGGAAACGGGAATGTTTTCATATAAAATCTTGACAGAAGCATTCTCAGAATCTTCTTTGTGATGTATGCCCTCAATTCACAGAGTTGAACCTTTGTTTGGATACAGCATTTTGGAAACATTCCTTTTGTAGAATCTGCAAGTTGATATTTGGATAGCTTTGAGGATTTCGTTGGAAACGGGAATATCTACATATAAAATCTAGACAGAAGCATTCTCAGAAACCTCTTTGTAATGCTTGCATTCAACTCATAGGTTTCAACATTCCCTATCATAGAGCAGGTTTGAAACACTCTTTTTGTAGTATGTGGAAGTGGACATTTGGAGCGCTTTGAGGCCTACGGTGAAAAAGGAAATATCTTCCCATAAAAACTAGACAGAAGCATTCTCAGAAACTTGTTTGTGACGTGTGTATTCAACTAACAGAGTTGAACCTTTCTTTTTACAGAGCAGCTTTGAAACCCTGTTTCTGTGGAATCTGCAATTGGAAATTTCGATAGTTCTGAGGATTTCGTTGGAAACGGGATTACAAATAGAAAGTAGACAGCAGCATTCTCAGAAACTGCTTTGTGATGTTTGCATTCAAGTCACCTAGTTGAACATTCCCTTTCATAGAGCAGGTTTGAATCACTGTTTCTGTCGTATCTGGAAGTGGATATTTCGAGCGTTTTCAGGCCTAAGGTGAGAAAGGAAATGTCTTCAAATAAGAACTAGACAGAAGCATTCTCAGAAACTTATTTGTGATGTGTGTCCTCAACTAACAGAGTTGAACCTTTCTTTTGACACAGCAGTTTGGAAACACTCTTTTTGTAGAATCTACAAGTGGATATTTTGAGAGCATTGAAAATTTCGTTGGAAACGGGAAAATCTTCATATAAAATCTAGACAGAAGCATTCTCAGAAACTTCTTTGTAATGTTTGCATTCAACTCATAGAGTTGAACATTCCCTTTCATACAGCAGGTTTGAAACACTCTTTTTGTAGTATGTGGAAGTGGACATTTGGAGCGCTTTGAGGCCTACGGTGAAAAAGGAAATATCTTCCCATAAAAACTAGACAGAAGCATTCTCAGAAACTTGTTTGTGACGTGTGTATTCAACTAACAGAGTTGAACCTTTCTTTTTACAGAGCAGCTTTGAAACACGCTTTTTGTGGAATCTGCAATTGGAAATTTCGATAGTTCTGAGGATTTCGTTGGAAACGGGATTACAAATAGAAAGTAGACAGCAGCATTCTCAGAAACTGCTTTGTGATGTTTGCATTCAAGTCACCTAGTTGAACATTCCCTTTCATAGAGCAGGTTTGAATCACTGTTTCTGTCGTATCTGGAAGTGGATATTTCGAGCGTTTTCAGGCCTAAGGTGAGAAAGGAAATGTCTTCAAATAAGAACTAGACAGAAGCATTCTCAGAAACTTATTTGTGATGTGTGTCCTCAACTAACAGAGTTGAACCTTTCTTTTGACACAGCAGTTTGGAAACACTCTTTTTGTAGAATCTACAAGTGGATATTTTGAGAGCATTGAAAATTTCGTTGGAAACGGGAAAACCTTCATATAAAATCTAGACAGAAGCATTCTCAGAAACTTCTTTGTAATGTTTGCATTCAACTCATAGAGTTGAACATTCCCTTTCATACAGCAGGTTTGAAACACTCTTTTTGTAGTATGTGGAAGTGGACATTTGGAGCGCTTTGAGGCCTACGGTGAAAAAGGAAATATCTTCCCATAAAAACTAGACAGAAGCATTCTCAGAAACTTGTTTGTGACGTGTGTATTCAACTAACAGAGTTGAACCTTTCTTTTTACAGAGCAGCTTTGAAACCCTGTTTCTGTGGAATCTGCAATTGGAAATTTCGATAGTTCTGAGGATTTCGTTGGAAACGGGATTACAAATAGAAAGTAGACAGCAGCATTCTCAGAAACTGCTTTGTGATGTTTGCATTCAAGTCACCTAGTTGAACATTCCCTTTCATAGAGCAGGTTTGAATCACTGTTTCTGTCGTATCTGGAAGTGGATATTTCGAGCGTTTTCAGGCCTAAGGTGAGAAAGGAAATGTCTTCAAATAAGAACTAGACAGAAGCATTCTCAGAAACTTATTTGTGATGTGTGTCCTCAACTAACAGAGTTGAACCTTTCTTTTGACACAGCAGTTTGGAAACACTCTTTTTGTAGAATCTACAAGTGGATATTTTGAGAGCATTGAAAATTTCGTTGGAAACGGGAAAACCTTCATATAAAATCTAGACAGAAGCATTCTCAGAAACTTCTTTGTAATGTTTGCATTCAACTCATAGAGTTGAACATTCCCTTTCATACAGCAGGTTTGAAACACTCTTTTTGTAGTATGTGGACGTGGACATTTGGAGCGCTTTGAGGCCTACGGTGAAAAAGGAAATATCTTCCCATAAAAACTAGACAGAAGCATTCTCAGAAACTTGTTTGTGACGTGTGTATTCAACTAACAGAGTTGAACCTTTCTTTTTACAGAGCAGCTTTGAAACCCTGTTTCTGTGGAATCTGCAATTGGAAATTTCGATAGTTCTGAGGATTTCGTTGGAAACGGGATTACAAATAGAAAGTAGACAGCAGCATTCTCAGAAACTGCTTTGTGATGTTTGCATTCAAGTCACCTAGTTGAACATTCCCTTTCATAGAGCAGGTTTGAATCACTGTTTCTGTAGTATCTGGAAGTGGGTATTTCGAGCGCTTTCAGGCCTAAGGTGAGAAAGGAAATGTCTTCAAATAAGAACTAGACAGAAGCATTCTCAGAAACTTATTTGTGATGTGTGTCCTCAACTAACAGAGATGAACCTTTGTTTTGATACAGCAGTTTGGAAACACTCTTTTTGTAGAATCTACAAGAGGATATTTTGAGAGCATTGAAAATTTCGTTGGAAGCGGGAAAACCTTCATATAAAATCTAGACAGCAGCATTCTCAGAAACTTCTTTGTGATGTTTGCATTCAACTCATAGAGTTGAACATTCCCATTCATACAGCAGGTTTGAGACACTCTTTGTATAGCATGTGGAAATGGATATTTGGAGCGCTTTGAGGCCTATGGTGAAGAAGGAAATATCTTCCCAAAAAAACTAGACGAAAGCATTCTCGGAATCTTGTTTGCCATGTGTGTACTCAACTAACAGAGTTGAACCTGTCTTTTGACAGAGCAGTTTTGAAACACTCTTTTTGTGGAATCTGCAAGTGGATATTTGGATAGCTTCGAGGATTTCGTTGGAAACGGGAATATCCTCATTTAAAATCTAGACGGAAGCATTCTCAGAACCTGCTTTGTGATGTTTGCATTCAACTCACAGAGCTGAACATTCCCGTTCATAGAGCAGGTTTGAAACACTCTTTCTGTACTATCTGGAAGTGGACATTTCGAGCGCTTTCAGGCCTATGGTGAAAAAGGAAACATCTTCAAATAAAAACTAGACAGAAGCATTCTCAGAAACTTATTTGTGATGTGTGTCCTCAACTCACAGAGTTCAACCTTTGTTTTGATACAGCAGTTTGGAAACACTCTTTTTGTAGAATCTACAAATGGATATTTGGAGACCTTTGAAAATTTCGTTGGACACGGGAATATCTTCATATAAAATCTAGACAAAAGCATTCTCAGAATCTTCTTTGTGATGTTTGCATTCAACTCATAGAGTTGAACATTCCCTTTCATACAGCACGTTTGAAACACACTTTGTGGAGTATGTGGAAATGGACATTTCGAGCACTCTTAGGCCTAAGGTGAAAAGGGAAATATCTTCAAATAAAAACTAGTCAGCAGCATTCTCAGAAACCTCTTTGTGATGTGTGTACTCAACTAACAGAGTTGAACCTTCCTTTTCACAGAGCAGTTTGGAAACACTCTTTTTGTGGCATTTGCAAGTGGATATTTGGATAGCTTGAGGATTTCGTTGGAAACGGGAATATTTTCATATAAAATCTAGACAGAAGCATTCTCAGAATCTTCTTTGTGATGTATGCCCTCAATTCACAGAGGTTGAACCTTTGTTTGGATACAGCATTTTGGAAACATTCCTTTTGTAGAATCTGCAAGTTGATATTTGGATAGCTTTGAGGATTTCGTTGGAAACGGGAATATCTACATATAAAATCTAGACAGAAGCATTCTCAGAAACCTCTTTGTAATGCTTGCATTCAACTCATAGGTTTCAACATTCCCTATCATAGAGCAGGTTTGAAACACTCTTTTTGTAGTATGTGGAAGTGGACATTTGGAGCGCTTTGAGGCCTACGGTGAAAAAGGAAATATCTTCCCATAAAAACTAGACAGAAGCATTCTCAGAAACTTGTTTGTGACGTGTGTATTCAACTAACAGAGTTGAACCTTTCTTTTTACAGAGCAGCTTTGAAACACGCTTTTTGTGGAATCTGCAATTGGAAATTTCGATAGTTACTGAGGATTTCGTTGGAAACGGGATTACAAATAGAAAGTAGACAGCAAGCATTCTCAGAAACTGCTTTGTGATGTTTGCATTCAAGTCACCTAGTTGAACATTCCCTTTCATAGAGCAGGTTTGAATCACTGTTTCTGTCGTATCTGGAAGTGGATATTTCGAGCGTTTTCAGGCCTAAGGTGAGAAAGGAAATGTCTTCAAATAAGAACTAGACAGAAGCATTCTCAGAAACTTATTTGTGATGTGTGTCCTCAACTAACAGAGTTGAACCTTTCTTTTGACACAGCAGTTTGGAAACACTCTTTTTGTAGAATCTACAAGTGGATATTTTGAGAGCATTGAAAATTTCGTTGGAAACGGGAAAACCTTCATATAAAATCTAGACAGAAGCATTCTCAGAAACTTCTTTGTAATGTTTGCATTCAACTCATAGAGTTGAACATTCCCTTTCATACAGCAGGTTTGAAACACTCTTTTTGTAGTATGTGGAAGTGGACATTTGGAGCGCTTTGAGGCCTACGGTGAAAAAGGAAATATCTTCCCATAAAAACTAGACAGAAGCATTCTCAGAAACTTGTTTGTGACGTGTGTATTCAACTAACAGAGTTGAACCTTTCTTTTTACAGAGCAGCTTTGAAACACGCTTTTTGTGGAATCTGCAATTGGAAATTTCGATAGTTCTGAGGATTTCGTTGGAAACGGGATTACAAATAGAAAGTAGACAGCAGCATTCTCAGAAACTGCTTTGTGATGTTTGCATTCAAGTCACCTAGTTGAACATTCCCTTTCATAGAGCAGGTTTGAATCACAGTTTCTGTCGTATCTGGAAGTGGATATTTCGAGAGTTTTCAGGCCTAAGGTGAGAAAGGAAATGTCTTCAAATAAGAACTAGACAGAAGCATTCTCAGAAACTTATTTGTGATGTGTGTCCTCAACTAACAGAGATGAACCTTTGTTTTGATACAGCAGTTTGGAAACACTCTTTTTGTAGAATCTACAAGAGGATATTTTGAGAGCATTGAAAATTTCGTTGGAAGCGGGAAAACCTTCATATAAAATCTAGACAGCAGCATTCTCAGAAACTTCTTTGTGATGTTTGCATTCAACTCATAGAGTTGAACATTCCCATTCATACAGCAGGTTTGAGTCACTCTTTGTATAGCATGTGGAAATGGATATTTGGAGCGCTTTGAGGCCTATGGTGAAGAAGGAAATATCTTCCCAAAAAAACTAGACGAAAGCATTCTCGGAATCTTGTTTGCCATGTGTGTACTCAACTAACAGAGTTGAACCTATCTTTTGACAGAGCAGTTTTGAAACACTCTTTTTGTGGAATCTGCAAGTGGATATTTGGATAGCTTCGAGGATTTCGTTGGAAACGGGAATATCCTCATTTAAAATCTAGACGGAAGCATTCTCAGAACCTGCTTTGTGATGTTTGCATTCAACTCACAGAGCTGAACATTCCCGTTCATAGAGCAGGTTTGAAACACTCTTTCTGTACTATCTGGAAGTGGACATTTCGAGCGCTTTCAGGCCTATGGTGAAAAAGGAAACATCTTCAAATAAAAACTAGACAGAAGCATTCTCAGAAACTTATTTGTGATGTGTGTCCTCAACTCACAGAGTTCAACCTTTGTTTTGATACAGCAGTTTGGAAACACTCTTTTTGTAGAATCTACAAATGGATATTTGGAGACCTTTGAAAATTTCGTTGGACACGGGAATATCTTCATATAAAATCTAGACAAAAGCATTCTCAGAATCTTCTTTGTGATGTTTGCATTCAACTCATAGAGTTGAACATTCCCTTTCATACAGCACGTTTGAAACACACTTTGTGGAGTATGTGGAAATGGACATTTCGAGCACTCTTAGGCCTAAGGTGAAAAGGGAAATATCTTCAAATAAAAACTAGTCAGCAGCATTCTCAGAAACCTCTTTGTGATGTGTGTACTCAACTAACAGAGTTGAACCTTCCTTTTCACAGAGCAGTTTGGAAACACTCTTTTTGTGGCATTTGCAAGTGGATATTTGGATAGCTTTGAGGATTTCGTTGGAAACGGGAATATTTTCATATAAAATCTAGACAGAAGCATTCTCAGAATCTTCTTTGTGATGTATGCCCTCAATTCACAGAGTTAAACCTTTGTTTGGATACAGCATTTTGGAAACATTCCTTTTGTAGAATCTGCAAGTTGATATTTGGATAGTTTGAGGATTTCGTTGGAAACGGGAATATCTATCTACATATAAAATCTAGACAGAAGCATTCTCAGAAACCTCTTTGTAATGCTTGCATTCAACTCATAGGTTTCAACATTCCCTATCATAGAGCAGGTTTGAAACACTCTTTTTGTAGTATGTGGAAGTGGACATTTGGAGCGCTTTGAGGCCTACCGTGAAAAAGGAAATATCTTCCCATAAAAACTAGACAGAAGCATTCTCAGAAACTTGTTTGTGACGTGTGTATTCAACTAACAGAGTTGAACCTTTCTTTTTACAGAGCAGCTTTGAAACACGCTTTTTGTGGAATCTGCAATTGGAAATTTCGATAGTTCTGAGGATTTCGTTGGAAACGGGATTACAAATAGAAAGTAGACAGCAGCATTCTCAGAAACTGCTTTGTGGATGTTTGCATTCAAGTCACCTAGTTGAACATTCCCTTTCATAGAGCAGGTTTGAATCACTGTTTCTGTCGTATCTGGAAGTGGATATTTCGAGCGTTTTCAGGCCTAAGGTGAGAAAGGAAATGTCTTCAAATAAGAACTAGACAGAAGCATTCTCAGAAACTTATTTGTGATGTGTGTCCTCAACTAACAGAGTTGAACCTTTCTTTTGACACAGCAGTTTGGAAACACTCTTTTTGTAGAATCTACAAGTGGATATTTTGAGAGCATTGAAAATTTCGTTGGAAACGGGAAAACCTTCATATAAAATCTAGACAGAAGCATTCTCAGAAACTTCTTTGTAATGTTTGCATTCAACTCATAGAGTTGAACATTCCCTTTCATACAGCAGGTTTGAAACACTCTTTTTGTAGTATGTGGAAGTGGACATTTGGAGCGCTTTGAGGCCTACGGTGAAAAAGGAAATATCTTCCCATAAAAACTAGACAGAAGCATTCTCAGAAACTTGTTTGTGACGTGTGTATTCAACTAACAGAGTTGAACCTTTCTTTTTACAGAGCAGCTTTGAAACCCTGTTTCTGTGGAATCTGCAATTGGAAATTTCGATAGTTCTGAGGATTTCGTTGGAAACGGGATTACAAATAGAAAGTAGACAGCCAGCATTCTCAGAACTGCTTTGTGATGTTTGCATTCAAGTCACCTAGTTGAACATTCCCTTTCATAGAGCAGGTTTGAATCACTGTTTCTGTCGTATCTGGAAGTGGATATTTCGAGCGTTTTCAGGCCTAAGGTGAGAAAGGAAATGTCTTCAAATAAGAACTAGACAGAGCATTCTCAGAAACTTATTTGTGATGTGTGTCCTCAACTAACAGAGTTGAACCTTTCTTTTGACACAGCAGTTTGGAAACACTCTTTTTGTAGAATCTACAAGTGGATATTTTGAGAGCATTGAAAATTTCGTTGGAAACGGGAAAATCTTCATATAAAATCTGGACAGAAGCATTCTCAGAAACTTCTTTGTAATGTTTGCATTCAACTCATAGAGTTGAACATTCCCTTTCATACAGCAGGTTTGAAACACTCTTTTTGTAGTATGTGGAAGTGGACATTTGGAGCGCTTTGAGGCCTACGGTGAAAAAGGAAATATCTTCCCATAAAAACTAGACAGAAGCATTCTCAGAAACTTGTTTGTGACGTGTGTATTCAACTAACAGAGTTGAACCTTTCTTTTTACAGAGCAGCTTTGAAACACGCTTTTTGTGGAATCTGCAATTGGAAATTTCGATAGTTCTGAGGATTTCGTTGGAAACGGGATTACAAATAGAAAGTAGACAGCAGCATTCTCAGAAACTGCTTTGTGATGTTTGCATTCAAGTCACCTAGTTGAACATTCCCTTTCATAGAGCAGGTTTGAATCACTGTTTCTGTCGTATCTGGAAGTGGATATTTCGAGCGTTTTCAGGCCTAAGGTGAGAAAGGAAATGTCTTCAAATAAGAACTAGACAGAAGCATTCTCAGAAACTTATTTGTGATGTGTGTCCTCAACTAACAGAGTTGAACCTTTCTTTTGACACAGCAGTTTGGAAACACTCTTTTTGTAGAATCTACAAGTGGATATTTTGAGAGCATTGAAAATTTCGTTGGAAACGGGAAAACCTTCATATAAAATCTAGACAGAAGCATTCTCAGAAACTTCTTTGTAATGTTTGCATTCAACTCATAGAGTTGAACATTCCCTTTCATACAGCAGGTTTGAAACACTCTTTTTGTAGTATGTGGAAGTGGACATTTGGAGCGCTTTGAGGCCTACGGTGAAAAAGGAAATATCTTCCCATAAAAACTAGACAGAAGCATTCTCAGAAACTTGTTTGTGACGTGTGTATTCAACTAACAGAGTTGAACCTTTCTTTTTACAGAGCAGCTTTGAAACCCTGTTTCTGTGGAATCTGCAATTGGAAATTTCGATAGTTCTGAGGATTTCGTTGCAAACGGGATTACAAATAGAAAGTAGACAGCAGCATTCTCAGAAAACTGCTTTGTGATGTTTGCATTCAAGTCACCTAGTTGAACATTCCCTTTCATAGAGAAGGTTTGAATCACTGTTTCTGTCGTATCTGGAAGTGGATATTTCGA
Source organism: Homo sapiens (assembly GCF_000001405.40). Taxonomy (NCBI): domain Eukaryota; kingdom Metazoa; phylum Chordata; class Mammalia; order Primates; family Hominidae; genus Homo; species Homo sapiens. Next base: position 19,274,591 of record NC_000015.10, read on the forward strand.
GCGTTTTCAGGCCTAAGGTGAGAAAGGAAATGTCTTCAAATAAGAACTAGACAGAAGCATTCTCAGAAACTTAATTGTGATGTGTGTCCTCAACTAACAGAGTTGAACCCTTCTTTTGACACAGCAGTTTGGAAACACTCTTTTTGTAGAATCTACAAGTGGATATTTTGAGAGCATTGAAAATTTCGTTGGAAACGGGAAAACCTTCATATAAAATCTAGACAGAAGCATTCTCAGAAACTTCTTTGTGATGTTTGCATTCAACTCATAGAGTTGAACATTCCCATTCATACAGCAGGTTTGAGACACTCTTTGTATAGCATGTGGAAATGGATATTTGGAGCGCTTTGAGGCCTATGGTGAAGAAGGAAATATCTTCCCAAAAAAACTAGACGAAAGCATTCTCGGAATCTTGTTTGCCATGTGTGTACTCAACTAACAGAGTTGAACCTATCTTTTGACAGAGCAGTTTTGAAACACTCTTTTTGTGGAATCTGCAAGTGCATATTTGGATAGCTTCGAGGATTTCGTTGGAAACGGGAATATCCTCATTTAAAATCTAGACGGAAGCATTCTCAGAACCTGCTTTGTGATGTTTGCATTCAACTCACAGAGCTGAACATTCCCGTTCATAGAGCAGGTTTGAAACACTCTTTCTGTACTATCTGGAAGTGGACATTTCGAGCGCTTTCAGGCCTATGGTGAAAAAGGAAACATCTTCAAATAAAAACTAGACAGAAGCATTCTCAGAAACTTATTTGTGATGTGTGTCCTCAACTCACAGAGTTCAACCTTTGTTTTGATACAGCAGTTTGGAAACACTCTTTTTGTAGAATCTACAAATGGATATCTGGAGACCTTTGAAAATTTCGTTGGACACGGGAATATCTTCATATAAAATCTAGACAAAAGCATTCTCAGAATCTTCTTTGTGATGTTTGCATTCAACTCATAGAGTTGAACATTACCTTTCATACAGCACGTTTGAAACACACTTTGTGGAGTATGTGGAAATGGACATTTCGAGCACTCTTAGGCCTAAGGTGAAAAGGGAAATATCTTCAAATAAAAACTAGTCAGCAGCATTCTCAGAAACCTCTTTGTGATGTGTGTACTCAACTAACAGAGTTGAACCTTCCTTTTCACAGAGCAGTTTGGAAACACTCTTTTTGTGGCATTTGCAAGTGGATATTTGGATAGCTTTGAGGATTTCGTTGGAAACGGGAATATTTTCATATAAAATCTAGACAGAAGCATTCTCAGAATCTTCTTTGTGATGTATGCCCTCAATTCACAGAGTTGAACCTTTGTTTGGATACAGCATTTTGGAAACATTCCTTTTGTAGAATCTGCAAGTTGATATTTGGATAGCTTTGAGGATTTCGTTGGAAACGGGAATATCTACATATAAAATCTAGACAGAAGCATTCTCAGAAACCTCTTTGTAATGCTTGCATTCAACTCATAGGTTTCAACATTCCCTATCATAGAGCAGGTTTGAAACACTCTTTTTGTAGTATGTGGAAGTGGACATTTGGAGCGCTTTGAGGCCTACGGTGAAAAAGGAAATATCTTCCCATAAAAACTAGACAGAAGCATTCTCAGAAACTTGTTTGTGACGTGTGTATTCAACTAACAGAGTTGAACCTTTCTTTTTACAGAGCAGCTTTGAAACACGCTTTTTGTGGAATCTGCAATTGGAAATTTCGATAGTTACTGAGGATTTCGTTGGAAACGGGATTACAAATAGAAAGTAGACAGCAAGCATTCTCAGAAACTTATTTGTGATGTGTGTCCTCAACTAACAGAGTTGAACCTTTCTTTTGACACAGCAGTTTGGAAACACTCTTTTTGTAGAATCTACAAGTGGATATTTTGAGAGCATTGAAAATTTCGTTGGAAACGGGAAAACCTTCATATAAAATCTAGACAGAAGCATTCTCAGAAACTTCTTTGTAATGTTTGCATTCAACTCATAGAGTTGAACATTCCCTTTCATACAGCAGGTTTGAAACACTCTTTTTGTAGTATGTGGACGTGGACATTTGGAGCGCTTTGAGGCCTACGGTGAAAAAGGAAATATCTTCCCATAAAAACTAGACAGAAGCAATTTCAGAAACTTGTTTGTGACGTGTGTATTCAACTAACAGAGTTGAACCTTTCTTTTTACAGAGCAGCTTTGAAACCCTGTTTCTGTGGAATCTGCAATTGGAAATTTCGATAGTTCTGAGGATTTCGTTGGAAACGGGATTACAAATAGAAAGTAGACAGCAGCATTCTCAGAAACTGCTTTGTGATGTTTGCATTCAAGTCACCTAGTTGAACATTCCCTTTCGTAGAGCAGGTTTGAATCACAGTTTCTGTCGTATCTGGAAGTGGATATTTCGAGCGTTTTCAGGCCTAAGGTGAGAAAGGAAATGTCTTCAAATAAGAACTAGACAGAAGCATTCTCAGAAACTTATTTGTGATGTGTGTCCTCAACTAACAGAGATGAACCTTTGTTTTGATACAGCAGTTTGGAAACACTCTTTTTGTAGAATCTACAAGAGGATATTTTGAGAGCATTGAAAATTTCGTTGGAAGCGGGAAAACCTTCATATAAAATCTAGACAGCAGCATTCTCAGAAACTTCTTTGTGATGTTTGCATTCAACTCATAGAGTTGAACATTCCCATTCATACAGCAGGTTTGAGACACTCTTTGTATAGCATGTGGAAATGGATATTTGGAGCGCTTTGAGGCCTATGGTGAAGAAGGAAATATCTTCCCAAAAAAACTAGACGAAAGCATTCTCGGAATCTTGTTTGCCATGTGTGTACTCAACTAACAGAGTTGAACCTATCTTTTGACAGAGCAGTTTTGAAACACTCTTTTTGTGGAATCTGCAAGTGGATATTTGGATAGCTTCGAGGATTTCGTTGGAAACGGGAATATCCTCATTTAAAATCTAGACGGAAGCATTCTCAGAACCTGCTTTGTGATGTTTGCATTCAACTCACAGAGCTGAACATTCCCGTTCATAGAGCAGGTTTGAAACACTCTTTCTGTACTATCTGGAAGTGGACATTTCGAGCGCTTTCAGGCCTATGGTGAAAAAGGAAACATCTTCAAATAAAAACTAGACAGAAGCATTCTCAGAAACTTATTTGTGATGTGTGTCCTCAACTCACAGAGTTCAACCTTTGTTTTGATACAGCAGTTTGGAAACAATCTTTATTTGGAGACCTTTGAAAATTTCGTTGGACACGGGAATATCTTCATATAAAATCTAGACAAAAGCATTCTCAGAATCTTCTTTGTGATGTTTGCATTCAACTCATAGAGTTGAACATTCCCTTTCATACAGCACGTTTGAAACACACTTTGTGGAGTATGTGGAAATGGACATTTCGAGCACTCTTAGGCCTAAGGTGAAAAGGGAAATATCTTCAAATAAAAACTAGTCAGCAGCATTCTCAGAAACCTCTTTGTGATGTGTGTACTCAACTAACAGAGTTGAACCTTCCTTTTCACAGAGCAGTTTGGAAACACTCTTTTTGTGGCATTTGCAAGTGGATATTTGGATAGCTTTGAGGATTTCGTTGGAAACGGGAATATTTTCATATAAAATCTAGACAGAAGCATTCTCAGAATCTTCTTTGTGATGTATGCCCTCAATTCACAGAGTTGAACCTTTGTTTGGATACAGCATTTTGGAAACATTCCTTTTGTAGAATCTGCAAGTTGATATTTGGATAGCTTTGAGGATTTCGTTGGAAACGGGAATATCTACATATAAAATCTAGACAGAAGCATTCTCAGAAACCTCTTTGTAATGCTTGCATTCAACTCATAGGTTTCAACATTCCCTATCATAGAGCAGGTTTGAAACACTCTTTTTGTAGTATGTGGAAGTGGACATTTGGAGCGCTTTGAGGCCTACGGTGAAAAAGGAAATATCTTCCCATAAAAACTAGACAGAAGCATTCTCAGAAACTTGTTTGTGACGTGTGTATTCAACTAACAGAGTTGAACCTTTCTTTTTACAGAGCAGCTTTGAAACACGCTTTTTGTGGAATCTGCAATTGGAAATTTCGATAGTTCTGAGGATTTCGTTGGAAACGGGATTACAAATAGAAAGTAGACAGCAGCATTCTCAGAAACTGCTTTGTGATGTTTGCATTCAAGTCACCTAGTTGAACATTCCCTTTCATAGAGCAGGTTTGAATCACTGTTTCTGTCGTATCTGGAAGTGGATATTTCGAGCGTTTTCAGGCCTAAGGTGAGAAAGGAAATGTCTTCAAATAAGAACTAGACAGAAGCATTCTCAGAAACTTATTTGTGATGTGTGTCCTCAACTAACAGAGATGAACCTTTGTTTTGATACAGCAGTTTGGAAACACTCTTTTTGTAGAATCTACAAGAGGATATTTTGAGAGCATTGAAAATTTCGTTGGAAGCGGGAAAACCTTCATATAAAATCTAGACAGCAGCATTCTCAGAAACTTCTTTGTGATGTTTGCATTCAACTCATAGAGTTGAACATTCCCATTCATACAGCAGGTTTGAGACACTCTTTGTATAGCATGTGGAAATGGATATTTGGAGCGCTTTGAGGCCTATGGTGAAGAAGGAAATATCTTCCCAAAAAAACTAGACGAAAGCATTCTCGCAATCTTGTTTGCCATGTGTGTACTCAACTAACAGAGTTGAACCTATCTTTTGACAGAGCAGTTTTGAAACACTCTTTTTGTGGAATCTGCAAGGGGATATTTGGATAGCTTCGAGGATTTCGTTGGAAACGGGAATATCCTCATTTAAAATCTAGACGGAAGCATTCTCAGAACCTGCTTTGTGATGTTTGCATTCAACTCACAGAGCTGAACATTCCCGTTCATAGAGCAGGTTTGAAACACTCTTTCTGTACTATCTGGAAGTGGACATTTCGAGCGCTTTCAGGCCTATGGTGAAAAAGGAAACATCTTCAAATAAAAACTAGACAGAAGCATTCTCAGAAACTTATTTGTGATGTGTGTCCTCAACTCACAGAGTTCAACCTTTGTTTTGATACAGCAGTTTGGAAACACTCTTTTTGTAGAATCTACAAATGGATATTTGGAGACCTTTGAAAATTTCGTTGGACACGGGAATATCTTCATATAAAATCTAGACAAAAGCATTCTCAGAATCTTCTTTGTGATGTTTGCATTCAACTCATAGAGTTGAACATTCCCTTTCATACAGCACGTTTGAAACACACTTTGTGGAGTATGTGGAAATGGACATTTCGAGCACTCTTAGGCCTAAGGTGAAAAGGGAAATATCTTCAAATAAAAACTAGTCAGCAGCATTCTCAGAAACCTCTTTGTGATGTGTGTACTCAACTAACAGAGTTGAACCTTCCTTTTCACAGAGCAGTTTGGAAACACTCTTTTTGTGGCATTTGCAAGTGGATATTTGGATAGCTTTGAGGATTTCGTTGGAAACGGGAATATTTTCATATAAAATCTAGACAGAAGCATTCTCAGAATCTTCTTTGTGATGTATGCCCTCAATTCACAGAGTTGAACCTTTGTTTGGATACAGCATTTTGGAAACATTCCTTTTGTAGAATCTGCAAGTTGATATTTGGATAGCTTTGAGGATTTCGTTGGAAACGTGAATATCTACATATAAAATCTAGACAGAAGCATTCTCAGAAACCTCTTTGTAATGCTTGCATTCAACTCATAGGTTTCAACATTCCCTATCATAGAGCAGGTTTGAAACACTCTTTTTGTAGTATGTGGAAGTGGACATTTGGAGCGCTTTGAGGCCTACCGTGAAAAAGGAAATATCTTCCCATAAAAACTAGACAGAAGCATTCTCAGAAACTTGTTTGTGACGTGTGTATTCAACTAACAGAGTTGAACCTTTCTTTTTACAGAGCAGCTTTGAAACACGCTTTTTGTGGAATCTGCAATTGGAAATTTCGATAGTTCTGAGGATTTCGTTGGAAACGGGATTGCAAATAGAAAGTAGACAGCAGCATTCTCAGAAACTGCTTTGTGATGTTTGCATTCAAGTCACCTAGTTGAACATTCCCTTTCATAGAGCAGGTTTGAATCACTGTTTCTGTCGTATCTGGAAGTGGATATTTCGAGCGTTTTCAGGCCTAAGGTGAGAAAGGAAATGTCTTCAAATAAGAACTAGACAGAAGCATTCTCAGAAACTTATTTGTGATGTGTGTCCTCAACTAACAGAGTTGAACCTTTCTTTTGACACAGCAGTTTGGAAACACTCTTTTTGTAGAATCTACAAGTGGATATTTTGAGAGCATTGAAAATTTCGTTGGAAACGGGAAAACCTTCATATAAAATCTAGACAGAAGCGTTCTCAGAAACTTCTTTGTAATGTTTGCATTCAACTCATAGAGTTGAACATTCCCTTTCATACAGCAGGTTTGAAACACTCTTTTTGTAGTATGTGGAAGTGGACATTTGGAGCGCTTTGAGGCCTACGGTGAAAAAGGAAATATCTTCCCATAAAAACTAGACAGAAGCATTCTCAGAAACTTGTTTGTGACGTGTGTATTCAACTAACAGAGTTGAACCTTTCTTTTTACAGAGCAGCTTTGAAACCCTGTTTCTGTGGAATCTGCAATTGGAAATTTCGATAGTTCTGAGGATTTCGTTGGAAACGGGATTACAAATAGAAAGTAGACAGCAGCATTCTCAGAAACTGCTTTGTGATGTTTGCATTCAAGTCACATAGTTGAACATTCCCTTTCATAGAGCAGGTTTGAATCACTGTTTCTGTAGTATCTGGAAGTGGGTATTTCGAGCGCTTTCAGGCCTAAGGTGAGAAAGGAAATGTCTTCAAATAAGAACTAGACAGAAGCATTCTCAGAAACTTATTTGTGATGTGTGTCCTCAACTAACAGAGATGAACCTTTGTTTTGATACAGCAGTTTGGAAACACTCTTTTTGTAGAATCTACAAGAGGATATTTTGAGAGCATTCAAAATTTCGTTGGAAGCGGGAAAACCTTCATATAAAATCTAGACAGCAGCATTCTCAGAAACTTCTTTGTGATGTTTGCATTCAACTCATAGAGTTGAACATTCCCATTCATACAGCAGGTTTGAGACACTCTTTGTATAGCATGTGGAAATGGATATTTGGAGCGCTTTGAGGCCTATGGTGAAGAAGGAAATATCTTCCCAAAAAAACTAGACGAAAGCATTCTCGGAATCTTGTTTGCCATGTGTGTACTCAACTAACAGAGTTGAACCTATCTTTTGACAGAGCAGTTTTGAAACACTCTTTTTGTGGAATCTGCAAGTGGATATTTGGATAGCTTCGAGGATTTCGTTGGAAACGGGAATATCCTCATTTAAAATCTAGACGGAAACATTCTCAGAACCTGCTTTGTGATGTTTGCATTCAACTCACAGAGCTGAACATTCCCGTTCATAGAGCAGGTTTGAAACACTCTTTCTGTACTATCTGGAAGTGGACATTTCGAGCGCTTTCAGGCCTATGGTGAAAAAGGAAACATCTTCAAATAAAAACTAGACAGAAGCATTCTCAGAAACTTATTTGTGATGTGTGTCCTCAACTCACAGAGTTCAACCTTTGTTTTGATACAGCAGTTTGGAAACACTCTTTTTGTAGAATCTACAAATGGATATTTGGAGACCTTTGAAAATTTCGTTGGACACGGGAATATCTTCATATAAAATCTAGACAAAAGCATTCTCAGAATCTTCTTTGTGATGTTTGCATTCAACTCATAGAGTTGAACATTCCCTTTCATACAGCACGTTTGAAACACACTTTGTGGAGTATGTGGAAATGGACATTTCGAGCACTCTTAGGCCTAAGGTGAAAAGGGAAATATCTTCAAATAAAAACTAGTCAGCAGCATTCTCAGAAACCTCTTTGTGATGTGTGTACTCAACTAACAGAGTTGAACCTTCCTTTTCACAGAGCAGTTTGGAAACACTCTTTTTGTGGCATTTGCAAGTGGATATTTGGATAGCTTTGAGGATTTCGTTGGAAACGGGAATATTTTCATATAAAATCTAGACAGAAGCATTCTCAGAATCTTCTTTGTGATGTATGCCCTCAATTCACAGAGTTGAACCTTTGTTTGGATACAGCATTTTGGAAACATTCCTTTTGTAGAATCTGCAAGTTGATATTTGGATAGCTTTGAGGATTTCGTTGGAAACGGGAATATCTACATATAAAATCTAGACAGAAGCATTCTCAGAAACCTCTTTGTAATGCTTGCATTCAACTCATAGGTTTCAACATTCCCTATCATAGAGCAGGTTTGAAACACTCTTTTTGTAGTATGTGAAAGTGGACATTTGGAGCGCTTTGAGGCCTACGGTGAAAAAGGAAATATCTTCCCATAAAAACTAGACAGAAGCATTCTCAGAAACTTGTTTGTGACGTGTGTATTCAACTAACAGAGTTGAACCTTTCTTTTTACAGAGCAGCTTTGAAACACGCTTTTTGTGGAATCTGCAATTGGAAATTTCGATAGTTCTGAGGATTTCGTTGGAAACGGGATTACAAATAGAAAGTAGACAGCAGCATTCTCAGAAACTGCTTTGTGATGTTTGCATTCAAGTCACCTAGTTGAACATTCCCTTTCATAGAGCAGGTTTGAATCACTGTTTCTGTCGTATCTGGAAGTGGATATTTCGAGCGTTTTCAGGCCTAAGGTGAGAAAGGAAATGTCTTCAAATAAGAACTAGACAGAAGCATTCTCATGAAACTTATTTGTGATGTGTGTCCTCAACTAACAGAGTTGAACCTTTCTTTTGACACAGCAGTTTGGAAACACTCTTTTTGTAGAATCTACAAGTGGATATTTTCAGAGCATTGAAAATTTCGTTGGAAACGGGAAAACCTTCATATAAAATCTAGACAGAAGCATTCTCAGAAACTTCTTTGTAATGTTTGCATTCAACTCATAGAGTTGAACATTCCCTTTCATACAGCAGGTTTGAAACACTCTTTTTGTAGTATGTGGAAGTGGACATTTGGAGCGCTTTGAGGCCTACGGTGAAAAAGGAAATATCTTCCCATAAAAACTAGACAGAAGCATTCTCAGAAACTTGTTTGTGACGTGTGTATTCAACTAACAGAGTTGAACCTTTCTTTTTACAGAGCAGCTTTGAAACCCTGTTTCTGTGGAATCTGCAATTGGAAATTTCGATAGTTCTGAGGATTTCGTTGGAAACGGGATTACAAATAGAAAGTAGACAGCAGCATTCTCAGAAACTGCTTTGTGATGTTTGCATTCAAGTCACCTAGTTGAACATTCCCTTTCATAGAGCAGGTTTGAATCACTGTTTCTGTAGTATCTGGAAGTGGGTATTTCGAGCGCTTTCAGGCCTAAGGTGAGAAAGGAAATGTCTTCAAATAAGAACTAGACAGAAGCATTCTCAGAAACTTATTTGTGATGTGTGTCCTCAACTAACAGAGATGAACCTTTGTTTTGATACAGCAGTTTGGAAACACTCTTTTTGTAGAATCTACAAGAGGATATTTTGAGAGCATTGAAAATTTCGTTGGAAGCGGGAAAACCTTCATATAAAATCTAGACAGCAGCATTCTCAGAAACTTCTTTGTGATGTTTGCATTCAACTCATAGAGTTGAACATTCCCATTCATACAGCAGGTTTGAGACACTCTTTGTATATCATGTGGAAATGGATATTTGGAGCGCTTTGAGGCCTATGGTGAAGAAGGAAATATCTTCCCAAAAAAACTAGACGAAAGCATTCTCGCAATCTTGTTTGCCATGTGTGTACTCAACTAACAGAGTTGAACCTATCTTTTGACAGAGCAGTTTTGAAACACTCTTTTTGTGGAATCTGCAAGTGGATATTTGGATAGCTTCGAGGATTTCGTTGGAAACGGGAATATCCTCATTTAAAATCTAGACGGAAGCATTCTCAGAACCTGCTTTGTGATGTTTGCATTCAACTCACAGAGCTGAACATTCCCGTTCATAGAGCAGGTTTGAAACACTCTTTCTGTACTATCTGGAAGTGGACATTTCGAGCGCTTTCAGGCCTATGGTGAAAAAGGAAACATCTTCAAATAAAAACTAGACAGAAGCATTCTCAGAAACTTATTTGTGATGTGTGTCCTCAACTCACAGAGTTCAACCTTTGTTTTGATACAGCAGTTTGGAAACACTCTTTTTGTAGAATCTACAAATGGATATTTGGAGACCTTTGAAAATTTCGTTGGACACGGGAATATCTTCATATAAAATCTAGACAAAAGCATTCTCAGAATCTTCTTTGTGATCTTTGCATTCAACTCATAGAGTTGAACATTCCCTTTCATACAGCACGTTTGAAACACACTTTGTGGAGTATGTGGAAATGGACATTTCGAGCACTCTTAGGCCTAAGGTGAAAAGGGAAATATCTTCAAATAAAAACTAGTCAGCAGCATTCTCAGAAACCTCTTTGTGATGTGTGTACTCAACTAACAGAGTTGAACCTTCCTTTTCACAGAGCAGTTTGGAAACACTCTTTTTGTGGCATTTGCAAGTGGATATTTGGATAGCTTTGAGGATTTCATTGGAAACGGGAATATTTTCATATAAAATCTAGACAGAAGCATTCTCAGAATCTTCTTTGTGATGTATGCCCTCAATTCACAGAGTTGAACCTTTGTTTGGATACAGCATTTTGGAAACATTCCTTTTGTAGAATCTGCAAGTTCATATTTGGATAGCTTTGAGGATTTCGTTGGAAACGGGAATATCTACATATAAAATCTAGACAGAAGCATTCTCAGAAACCTCTTTGTAATGCTTGCATTCAACTCATAGGTTTCAACATTCCCTATCATAGAGCAGGTTTGAAACACTCTTTTTGTAGTATGTGGAAGTGGACATTTGGAGCGCTTTGAGGCCTACCGTGAAAAAGGAAATATCTTCCCATAAAAACTAGACAGAAGCATTCTCAGAAACTTGTTTGTGACGTGTGTATTCAACTAACAGAGTTGAACCTTTCTTTTTACAGAGCAGCTTTGAAACCCTGTTTCTGTGGAATCTGCAATTGGAAATTTCGATGGTTCTGAGGATTTCGTTGGAAACGGGATTACAAATAGAAAGTAGACAGCAGCATTCTCAGAAACTGCTTTGTGATGTTTGCATTCAAGTCACCTAGTTGAACATTCCCTTTCATAGAGCAGGTTTGAATCACAGTTTCTGTCGTATCTGGAAGTGGATATTTCGAGCGTTTTCAGGCCTAAGGTGAGAAAGGAAATGTCTTCAAATAAGAACTAGACAGAAGCATTCTCAGAAACTTATTTGTGATGTGTGTCCTCAACTAACAGAGATGAACCTTTGTTTTGATACAGCAGTTTGGAAACACTCTTTTTGTAGAATCTACAAGAGGATATTTTGAGAGCATTGAAAATTTCGTTGGAAGCGGGAAAACCTTCATATAAAATCTAGACAGCAGCATTCTCAGAAACTTCTTTGTGATGTTTGCATTCAACTCATAGAGTTGAACATTCCCATTCATACAGCAGGTTTGAGACACTCTTTGTATAGCATGTGGAAATGGATATTTGGAGCGCTTTGAGGCCTATGGTGAAGAAGGAAATATCTTCCCAAAAAAACTAGACGAAAGCATTCTCGGAATCTTGTTTGCCATGTGTGTACTCAACTAACAGAGTTGAACCTATCTTTTGACAGAGCAGTTTTGAAACACTCTTTTTGTGGAATCTGCAAGTGGATATTTGGATAGCTTCGAGGATTTCGTTGGAAACGGGAATATCCTCATTTAAAATCTAGACGGAAGCATTCTCAGAACCTGCTTTGTGATGTTTGCATTCAACTCACAGAGCTGAACATTCCCGTTCATAGAGCAGGTTTGAAACACTCTTTCTGTACTATCTGGAAGTGGACATTTCGAGCGCTTTCAGGCCTATGGTGAAAAAGGAAACATCTTCAAATAAAAACTAGACAGAAGCATTCTCAGAAACTTATTTGTGATGTGTGTCCTCAACTCACAGAGTTCAACCTTTGTTTTGATACAGCAGTTTGGAAACACTCTTTTTGTAGAATCTACAAATGGATATTTGGAGACCTTTGAAAATTTCGTTGGACACGGGAATATCTTCATATAAAATCTAGACAAAAGCATTCTCAGAATCTTCTTTGTGATGTTTGCATTCAACTCATAGAGTTGAACATTACCTTTCATACAGCACGTTTGAAACACACTTTGTGGAGTATGTGGAAATGGACATTTCGAGCACTCTTAGGCCTAAGGTGAAAAGTGAAATATCTTCAAATAAAAACTAGTCAGCAGCATTCTCAGAAACCTCTTTGTGATGTGTGTACTCAACTAACAGAGTTGAACCTTCCTTTTCACAGAGCAGTTTGGAAACACTCTTTTTGTGGCATTTGCAAGTGGATATTTGGATAGCTTTGAGGATTTTGTTGGAAACGGGAATGTTTTCATATAAAATCTTGACAGAAGCATTCTCAGAATCTTCTTTGTGATGTATGCCCTCAATTCACAGAGTTGAACCTTTGTTTGGATACAGCATTTTGGAAACATTCCTTTTGTAGAATCTGCAAGTTGATATTTGGATAGCTTTGAGGATTTCGTTGGAAACGGGAATATCTACATATAAAATCTAGACAGAAGCATTCTCAGAAACCTCTTTGTAATGCTTGCATTCAACTCATAGGTTTCAACATTCCCTATCATAGAGCAGGTTTGAAACACTCTTTTTGTAGTATGTGGAAGTGGACATTTGGAGCGCTTTGAGGCCTACGGTGAAAAAGGAAATATCTTCCCATAAAAACTAGACAGAAGCATTCTCAGAAACTTGTTTGTGACGTGTGTATTCAACTAACAGAGTTGAACCTTTCTTTTTACAGAGCAGCTTTGAAACACGCTTTTTGTGGAATCTGCAATTGGAAATTTCGATAGTTCTGAGGATTTCGTTGGAAACGGGATTACAAATAGAAAGTAGACAGCAGCATTCTCAGAAACTGCTTTGTGATGTTTGCATTCAAGTCACCTAGTTGAACATTCCCTTTCATAGAGCAGGTTTGAATCACTGTTTCTGTCGTATCTGGAAGTGGATATTTCGAGCGTTTTCAGGCCTAAGGTGAGAAAGGAAATGTCTTCAAATAAGAACTAGACAGAAGCATTCTCAGAAACTTATTTGTGATGTGTGTCCTCAACTAACAGAGTTGAACCTTTCTTTTGACACAGCAGTTTGGAAACACTCTTTTTGTAGAATCTACAAGTGGATATTTTGAGAGCATTGAAAATTTCGTTGGAAACGGGAAAACCTTCATATAAAATCTAGACAGAAGCATTCTCAGAAACTTCTTTGTAATGTTTGCATTCAACTCATAGAGTTGAACATTCCCTTTCATACAGCAGGTTTGAAACACTCTTTTTGTAGTATGTGGACGTGGACATTTGGAGCGCTTTGAGGCCTACGGTGAAAAAGGAAATATCTTCCCATAAAAACTAGACAGAAGCATTCTCAGAAACTTGTTTGTGACGTGTGTATTCAACTAACAGAGTTGAACCTTTCTTTTTACAGAGCAGCTTTGAAACCCTGTTTCTGTGGAATCTGCAATTGGAAATTTCGATAGTTCTGAGGATTTCGTTGGAAACGGGATTACAAATAGAAAGTAGACAGCAGCATTCTCAGAAACTGCTTTGTGATGTTTGCATTCAAGTCACCTAGTTGAACATTCCCTTTCATAGAGCAGGTTTGAATCACTGTTTCTGTAGTATCTGGAAGTGGGTATTTCGAGCGCTTTCAGGCCTAAGGTGAGAAAGGAAATGTCTTCAAATAAGAACTAGACAGAAGCATTCTCAGAAACTTATTTGTGATGTGTGTCCTCAACTAACAGAGATGAACCTTTGTTTTGATACAGCAGTTTGGAAACACTCTTTTTGTAGAATCTACAAGAGGATATTTTGAGAGCATTGAAAATTTCGTTGGAAGCGGGAAAACCTTCATATAAAATCTAGACAGCAGCATTCTCAGAAACTTCTTTGAGATGTTTGCATTCAACTCATAGAGTTGAACATTCCCATTCATACAGCAGGTTTGAGACACTCTTTGTATAGCATGTGGAAATGGATATTTGGAGCGCTTTGAGGCCTATGGTGAAGAAGGAAATATCTTCCCAAAAAAACTAGACGAAAGCATTCTCGGAATCTTGTTTGCCATGTGTGTACTCAACTAACAGAGTTGAACCTATCTTTTGAGAGAGCAGTTTTGAAACACTCTTTCTGTGGAATCTGCAAGTGGATATTTGGATAGCTTCGAGGATTTCGTTGGAAACGGGAATATCCTCATTTAAAATCTAGACGGAAGCATTCTCAGAACCTGCTTTGTGATGTTTGCATTCAACTCACAGAGCTGAACATTCCCGTTCATAGAGCAGGTTTGAAACACTCTTTCTGTACTATCTGGAAGTGGACATTTCGAGCGCTTTCAGGCCTATGGTGAAAAAGGAAACATCTTCAAATAAAAACTAGACAGGAAGCATTCTCAGAAACTTATTTGTGATGTGTGTCCTCAACTCACAGAGTTCAACCTTTGTTTTGATACAGCAGTTTGGAAACACTCTTTTTGTAGAATCTACAAATGGATATTTGGAGACCTTTGAAAATTTCGTTGGACACGGGAATATCTTCATATAAAATCTAGACAAAAGCATTCTCAGAATCTTCTTTGTGATATTTGCATTCAACTCATAGAGTTGAACATTCCCTTTCATACAGCACGTTTGAAACACACTTTGTGGAGTATGTGGAAATGGACATTTCGAGCACTCTTAGGCCTAAGGTGAAAAGGGAAATATCTTCAAATAAAAACTAGTCAGCAGCATTCTCAGAAACCTCTTTGTGATGTGTGTACTCAACTAACAGAGTTGAACCTTCCTTTTCACAGAGCAGTTTGGAAACACTCTTTTTGTGGCATTTGCAAGTGGATATTTGGATAGCTTTGAGGATTTCGTTGGAAACGGGAATATTTTCATATAAAATCTAGACAGAAGCATTCTCAGAATCTTCTTTGTGATGTATGCCCTCAATTCCCAGAGTTGAACCTTTGTTTGGATACAGCATTTTGGAAACATTCCTTTTGTAGAATCTGCAAGTTGATATTTGGATAGCTTTGAGGATTTCGTTGGAAACGGGAATATCTACATATAAAATCTAGACAGAAGCATTCTCAGAAACCTCTTTGTAATGCTTGCATTCAACTCATAGGTTTCAACATTCCCTATCATAGAGCAGGTTTGAAACACTCTTTTTGTAGTATGTGGAAGTGGACATTTGGAGCGCTTTGAGGCCTACGGTGAAAAAGGAAATATCTTCCCATAAAAACTAGACAGAAGCATTCTCAGAAACTTGTTTGTGACGTGTGTATTCAACTAACAGAGTTGAACCTTTCTTTTTACAGAGCAGCTTTGAAACACGCTTTTTGTGGAATCTGCAATTGGAAATTTTGATAGTTCTGAGGATTTCGTTGGAAACGGGATTACAAATAGAAAGTAGACAGCAGCATTCTCAGAAACTTATTTGTGATGTGTGTCCTCAACTAACAGAGTTGAACCTTTTTTTTGACACAGCAGTTTGGAAACACTCTTTTTGTAGAATCTACAAGTGGATATTTTGAGAGCATTGAAAATTTCGTTGGAAACGGGAAAACCTTCATATAAAATCTAGACAGAAGCATTCTCAGAAACTTCTTTGTAATGTTTGCATTCAACTCATAGAGTTGAACATTCCCTTTCATACAGCAGGTTTGAAACACTCTTTTTGTAGTATGTGGAAGTGGACATTTGGAGCGCTTTGAGGCCTACGGTGAAAAAGGAAATATCTTCCCATAAAAACTAGACAGAAGCATTCTCAGAAACTTGTTTGTGACGTGTGTATTCAACTAACAGAGTTGAACCTTTCTTTTTACAGAGCAGCTTTGAAACCTTGTTTCTGTGGAATCTGCAATTGGAAATTTCGATAGTTCTGAGGATTTCGTTGGAAACGGGATTACAAATAGAAAGTAGACAGCAGCATTCTCAGAAACTGCTTTGTGATGTTTGCATTCAACTCATAGAGTTGAACATTCCCTTTCATAGAGCAGGTTTGAATCACTGTTTCTGTAGTATCTGGAAGTGGGTATTTCGAGCGCTTTCAGGCCTAAGGTGAGAAAGGAAATGTCTTCAAATAAGAACTAGACAGAAGCATTCTCAGAAACTTATTTGTGATGTGTGTCCTCAACTAACAGAGATGAACCTTTGTTTTGATACAGCAGTTTGGAAACACTCTTTTTGTAGAATCTACAAGAGGATATTTTGAGAGCATTGAAAATTTCGTTGGAAGCGGGAAAACCTTCATATAAAATCTAGACAGCAGCATTCTCAGAAACTTCTTTGTGATGTTTGCATTCAACTCATAGAGTTGAACATTCCCATTCATACAGCAGGTTTGAGACACTCTTTGTATAGCATGTGGAAATGGATATTTGGAGCGCTTTGAGGCCTATGGTGAAGAAGGAAATATCTTCCCAAAAAAACTAGACGAAAGCATTCTCGCAATCTTGTTTGCCATGTGTGTACTCAACTAACAGAGTTGAACCTATCTTTTGACAGAGCAGTTTTGAAACACTCTTTCTGTGGAATCTGCAAGTGGATATTTGGATAGCTTCGAGGATTTCGTTGGAAACGGGAATATCCTCATTTAAAATCTAGACGGAAGCATTCTCAGAACCTGCTTTGTGATGTTTGCATTCAACTCACAGAGCTGAACATTCCCGTTCATAGAGCAGGTTTGAAACACTCTTTCTGTACTATCTGGAAGTGGACATTTCGAGCGCTTTCAGGCCTATGGTGAAAAAGGAAACATCTTCAAATAAAAACTAGACAGAAGCATTCTCAGAAACTTATTTGTGATGTGTGTCCTCAACTCACAGAGTTCAACCTTTGTTTTGATACAGCAGTTTGGAAACAATCTTTATTTGGAGACATTTGAAAATTTCGTTGGACACGGGAATATCTTCATATAAAATCTAGACAAAAGCATTCTCAGAATCTTCTTTGTGATGTTTGCATTCAACTCATAGAGTTGAACATTCCCTTTCATACAGCACGTTTGAAACACACTTTGTGGAGTATGTGGAAATGGACATTTCGAGCACTCTTAGGCCTAAGGTGAAAAGGGAAATATCTTCAAATAAAAACTAGTCAGCAGCATTCTCAGAAACCTCTTTGTGATGTGTGTACTCAACTAACAGAGTTGAACCTTCCTTTTCACAGAGCAGTTTGGAAACACTCTTTTTGTGGCATTTGCAAGTGGATATTTGGATAGCTTTGAGGATTTCGTTGGAAACGGGAATATTTTCATATAAAATCTAGACAGAAGCATTCTCAGAATCTTCTTTGTGATGTATGCCCTCAATTCACAGAGTTGAACCTTTGTTTGGATACAGCATTTTGGAAACATTCCTTTTGTAGAATCTGCAAGTTGATATTTGGATAGCTTTGAGGATTTCGTTGGAAACGGGAATATCTACATATAAAATCTAGACAGAAGCATTCTCAGAAACCTCTTTGTAATGCTTGCATTCAACTCATAGGTTTCAACATTCCCTATCATAGAGCAGGTTTGAAACACTCTTTTTGTAGTATGTGGAAGTGGACATTTGGAGCGCTTTGAGGCCTACCGTGAAAAAGGAAATATCTTCCCATAAAAACTAGACAGAAGCATTCTCAGAAACTTGTTTGTGACGTGTGTATTCAACTAACAGAGTTGAACCTTTCTTTTTACAGAGCAGCTTTGAAACCCTGTTTCTGTGGAATCTGCAATTGGAAATTTCGATAGTTCTGAGGATTTCGTTGGAAACGGGATTACAAATAGAAAGTAGACAGCAGCATTCTCAGAAACTGCTTTGTGATGTTTGCATTCAAGTCACCTAGTTGAACATTCGCTTTCATAGAGCAGGTTTGAATCACTGTTTCTGTAGTATCTGGAAGTGTGTATTTCGAGCGCTTTCAGGCCTAAGGTGAGAAAGGAAATGTCTTCAAATAAGAACTAGACAGAAACATTCTCAGAAACTTATTTGTGATGTGTGTCCTGAACTAACAGAGATGAACCTTTGTTTTGATACAGCAGTTTGGAAACACTCTTTTTGTAGAATCTACAAGAGGATATTTTGAGAGCATTGAAAATTTCGTTGGAAGCGGGAAAACCTTCATATAAAATCTAGACAGCAGCATTCTCAGAAACTTCTTTGTGATGTTTGCATTCAACTCATAGAGTTGAACATTCCCATTCATACAGCAGGTTTGAGACACTCTTTGTATAGCATGTGGAAATGGATATTTGGAGCGCTTTGAGGCCTATGGTGAAGAAGGAAATATCTTCCCAAAAAAACTAGACGAAAGCATTCTCGGAATCTTGTTTGCCATGTGTGTACTCAACTAACAGAGTTGAACCTATCTTTTGACAGAGCAGTTTTGAAACACTCTTTTTGTGGAATCTGCAAGTGGATATTTGGATAGCTTCGAGGATTTCGTTGGAAACGGGAATATCCTCATTTAAAATCTAGACGGAAGCATTCTCAGAACCTGCTTTGTGATGTTTGCATTCAACTCACAGAGGTGAACATTCCCGTTCATAGAGCAGGTTTGAAACACTCTTTCTGTACTATCTGGAAGTGGACATTTCGAGCGCTTCAGGCCTATGGTGAAAAAGGAAACATCTTCAAATAAAAACTAGACAGAAAGCATTCTCAGAAACTTATTTGTGATGTGTGTCCTCAACTCACAGAGTTCAACCTTTGTTTTGATACAGCAGTTTGGAAACACTCTTTTTGTAGAATCTACAAATGGATATTTGGAGACCATTGAAAATTTCGTTGGACACGGGAATATCTTCATATAAAATCTAGACAAAAGCATTCTCAGAATCTTCTTTGTGATGTTTGCATTCAACTCATAGAGTTGAACATTCCCTTTCATACAGCACGTTTGGAACACACTTTGTGGAGTATGTGGAAAGGGACATTTCGAGCACTCTTAGGCCTAAGGTGAAAAGGGAAATATCTTCAAATAAAAACTAGCCAGCAGCATTCTCAGAAACCTCTTTGTGATGTGTGTACTCAACTAACAGAGTTGAACCTTCCTTTTCACAGAGCAGTTTGGAAACACTCTTTTTGTGGCATTTGCAAGTGGATATTTGGATAGCTTTGAGGATTTCGTTGGAAACGGGAATATTTTCATATAAAATCTAGACAGAAGCATTCTCAGAATCTTCTTTGTGATGTATGCCCTCAATTCACAGAGTTGAACCTTTGTTTGGATACAGCATTTTGGAAACATTCCTTTTGTAGAATCTGCAAGTTGATATTTGGATAGCTTTGAGGATTTCGTTGGAAACGGGAATATCTACATATAAAATACTAGACAGAAGCATTCTCAGAAACCTCTTTGTAATGCTTGCATTCAACTCATAGGTTTCAACATTCCCTATCATAGAGCAGGTTTGAAACACTCTTTTTGTAGTATGTGGAAGTGGACATTTGGAGCGCTTTGAGGCCTACGGTGAAAAAGGAAATATCTTCCCATAAAAACTAGACAGAAGCATTCTCAGAAACTTGTTTGTGACGTGTGTATTCAACTAACAGAGTTGAACCTTTCTTTTTACAGAGCAGCTTTGAAACACGCTTTTTGTGGAATCTGCAATTGGAAATTTCGATAGTTCTGAGGATTTCGTTGGAAACGGGATTACAAATAGAAAGTAGACAGCAGCATTCTCAGAAACTGCTTTGTGATGTTTGCATTCAAGTCACCTAGTTGAACATTCCCTTTCATAGAGCAGGTTTGAATCACTGTTTCTGTCGTATCTGGAAGTGGATATTTCGAGCGTTTTCAGGCCTAAGGTGAGAAAGGAAATGTCTTCAAATAAGAACTAGGCAGAAGCATTCTCAGAAACTTATTTGTGATGTGTGTCCTCAACTAACAGAGATGAACCTTTGTTTTGATACAGCAGTTTGGAAACACTCTTTTTGTAGAATCTACAAGAGGATATTTTGAGAGCATTGAAAATTTCGTTGGAAGCGGGAAAACCTTCATATAAAATCTAGACAGCAGCATTCTCAGAAACTTCTTTGTGATGTTTGCATTCAACTCATAGAGTTGAACATTCCCATTCATACAGCAGGTTTGAGACACTCTTTGTATAGCATGTGGAAATGGATATTTGGAGCGCTTTGAGGCCTATGGTGAAGAAGGAAATATCTTCCCAAAAAAACTAGACGAAAGCATTCTCGGAATCTTGTTTGCCATGTGTGTACTCAACTAACAGAGTTGAACCTATCTTTTGAGAGAGCAGTTTTGAAACACTCTTTCTGTGGAATCTGCAAGTGGATATTTGGATAGCTTCGAGGATTTCGTTGGAAACGGGAATATCCTCATTTAAAATCTAGACGGAAGCATTCTCAGAACCTGCTTTGTGATGTTTGCATTCAACTCACAGAGCTGAACATTCCCGTTCATAGAGCAGGTTTGAAACACTCTTTCTGTACTATCTGGAAGTGGACATTTCGAGCGCTTTCAGGCCTATGGTGAAAAAGGAAACATCTTCAAATAAAAACTAGACAGAAGCATTCTCAGAAACTTATTTGTGATGTGTGTCCTCAACTCACAGAGTTCAACCTTTGTTTTGATACAGCAGTTTGGAAACAATCTTTATTTGGAGACATTTGAAAATTTCGTTGGACACGGGAATATCTTCATATAAAATCTAGACAAAAGCATTCTCAGAATCTTCTTTGTGATGTTTGCATTCAACTCATAGAGTTGAACATTCCCTTTCATACAGCACGTTTGAAACACACTTTGTGGAGTATGTGGAAATGGACATTTCGAGCACTCTTAGGCCTAAGGTGAAAAGGGAAATATCTTCAAATAAAAACTAGTCAGCAGCATTCTCAGAAACCTCTTTGTGATGTGTGTACTCAACTAACAGAGTTGAACCTTCCTTTTCACAGAGCAGTTTGGAAACACTCTTTTTGTGGCATTTGCAAGTGGATATTTGGATAGCTTTGAGGATTTCGTTGGAAACGGGAATATTTTCATATAAAATCTAGACAGAAGCATTCTCAGAATCTTCTTTGTGATGTATGCCCTCAATTCACAGAGTTGAACTTTTGTTTGGATACAGCATTTTGGAAACATTCCTTTTGTAGAATCTGCAAGTTGATATTTGGATAGCTTTGAGGATTTCGTTGGAAACGGGAATATCTACATATAAAATCTAGACAGAAGCATTCTCAGAAACCTCTTTGTAATGCTTGCATTCAACTCATAGGTTTCAACATTCCCTATCATAGAGCAGGTTTGAAACACTCTTTTTGTAGTATGTGGAAGTGGACATTTGGAGCGCTTTGAGGCCTACGGTGAAAAAGGAAATATCTTCCCATAAAAACTAGACAGAAGCATTCTCAGAAACTTGTTTGTGACGTGTGTATTCAACTAACAGAGTTGAACCTTTCTTTTTACAGAGCAGCTTTGAAACACGCTTTTTGTGGAATCTGCAATTGGAAATTTCGATAGTTCTGAGGATTTCGTTGGAAACGGGATTACAAATAGAAAGTAGACAGCAGCATTCTCAGAAACTGCTTTGTGATGTTTGCATTCAAGTCACCTAGTTGAACATTCCCTTTCATAGAGCAGGTTTGAATCACTGTTTCTGTCGCATCTGGAAGTGGATATTTCGAGCGTTTTCAGGCCTAAGGTGAGAAAGGAAATGTCTTCAAATAAGAACTAGACAGAAGCATTCTCAGAAACTTATTTGTGATGTGTGTCCTCAACTAACAGAGTTGAACCTTTCTTTTGACACAGCAGTTTGGAAACACTCTTTTTGTAGAATCTACAAGTGGATATTTTGAGAGCATTGAAAATTTCGTTGGAAACGGGAAAACCTTCATATAAAATCTAGACAGAAGCATTCTCAGAAACTTCTTTGTAATGTTTGCATTCAACTCATAGAGTTGAACATTCCCTTTCATACAGCAGGTTTGAAACACTCTTTTTGTAGTATGTGGAAGTGGACATTTGGAGCGCTTTGAGGCCTACGGTGAAAAAGGAAATATCTTCCCATAAAAACTAGACAGAAGCATTCTCAGAAACTTGTTTGTGACGTGTGTATTCAACTAACAGAGTTGAACCTTTCTTTTTACAGAGCAGCTTTGAAACCCTGTTTCTGTGGAATCTGCAATTGGAAATTTCGATAGTTCTGAGGATTTCGTTGGAAACGGGATTACAAATAGAAAGTAGACAGCAGCATTCTCAGAAACTGCTTTGTGATGTTTGCATTCAAGTCACCTAGTTGAACATTCCCTTTCATAGAGCAGGTTTGAATCACTGTTTCTGTAGTATCTGGAAGTGGGTATTTCGAGCGCTTTCAGGCCTAAGGTGAGAAAGGAAATGTCTTCAAATAAGAACTAGACAGAAGCATTCTCAGAAACTTATTTGTGATGTGTGTCCTCAACTAACAGAGATGAACCTTTGTTTTGATACAGCAGTTTGGAAACACTCTTTTTGTAGAATCTGCAAGAGGATATTTTGAGAGCATTGAAAATTTCGTTGGAAGCGGGAAAACCTTCATATAAAATCTAGACAGCAGCATTCTCAGAAACTTCTTTGTGATGTTTGCATTCAACTCATAGAGTTGAACATTCCCATTCATACAGCAGGTTTGAGACACTCTTTGTATAGCATGTGGAAATGGATATTTGGAGCGCTTTGAGGCCTATGGTGAAGAAGGAAATATCTTCCCAAAAAAACTAGACGAAAGCATTCTCGGAATCTTGTTTGCCATGTGTGTACTCAACTAACAGAGTTGAACCTATCTTTTGACAGAGCAGTTTTGAAACACTCTTTTTGTGGAATCTGCAAGTGGATATTTGGATAGCTTCGAGGATTTCGTTGGAAACGGGAATATCCTCATTTAAAATCTAGACGGAAGCATTCTCAGAACCTGCTTTGTGATGTTTGCATTCAACTCACAGAGCTGAACATTCCCGTTCATAGAGCAGGTTTGAAACACTCTTTCTGTACTATCTGGAAGTGGACATTTCGAGCGCTTTCAGGCCTATGGTGAAAAAGGAAACATCTTCAAATAAAAACTAGACAGAAGCATTCTCAGAAACTTATTTGTGATGTGTGTCCTCAACTCACAGAGTTCAACCTTTGTTTTGATACAGCAGTTTGGAAACACTCTTTTTGTAGAATCTACAAATGGATATTTGGAGACCTTTGAAAATTTCGTTGGACACGGGAATATCTTCATATAAAATCTAGACAAAAGCATTCTCAGAATCTTCTTTGTGATGTTTGCATTCAACTCATAGAGTTGAACATTCCCTTTCATACAGCACGTTTGAAACACACTTTGTGGAGTATGTGGAAATGGACATTTCGAGCACTCTTAGGCCTAAGGTGAAAAGGGAAATATCTTCAAATAAAAACTAGTCAGCAGCATTCTCAGAAACCTCTTTGTGATGTGTGTACTCAACTAACAGAGTTGAACCTTCCTTTTCACAGAGCAGTTTGGAAACACTCTTTTTGTGGCATTTGCAAGTGGATATTTGGATAGCTTTGAGGATTTCGTTGGAAACGGGAATATTTTCATATAAAATGCTAGACAGAAGCATTCTCAGGAATCTTCTTTGTGATGTATGCCCTCAATTCACAGAGTTGAACCTTTGTTTGGATACAGCATTTTGGAAACATTCCTTTTGTAGAATCTGCAAGTTGATATTTGGATAGCTTTGAGGATTTCGTTGGAAACGGGAATATCTACATATAAAATCTAGACAGAAGCATTCTCAGAAACTTCTTTGTAATGCTTGCATTCAACTCATAGGTTTCAACATTCCCTATCATAGAGCAGGTTTGAAACACTCTTTTTGTAGTATGTGGAAGTGGACATTTGGAGCGCTTTGAGGCCTACGGTGAAAAAGGAAATATCTTCCCATAAAAACTAGACAGAAGCATTCTCAGAAACTTGTTTGTGACGTGTGTATTCAACTAACAGAGTTGAACCTTTCTTTTTACAGAGCAGCTTTGAAACACGCTTTTTGTGGAATCTGCAATTGGAAATTTCGATAGTTCTGAGGATTTCGTTGGAAACGGGATTACAAATAGAAAGTAGACAGCAGCATTCTCAGAAACTGCTTTGTGATGTTTGCATTCAAGTCACCTAGTTGAACATTCCCTTTCATAGAGCAGGTTTGAATCACTGTTTCTGTCGTATCTGGAAGTGGATATTTCGAGCGTTTTCAGGCCTAAGGTGAGAAAGGAAATGTCTTCAAATAAGAACTAGACAGAAGCATTCTCAGAAACTTATTTGTGATGTGTGTCCTCAACTAACAGAGTTGAACCTTTCTTTTGACACAGCAGTTTGGAAACACTCTTTTTGTAGAATCTACAAGTGGATATTTTGAGAGCATTGAAAATTTCGTTGGAAACGGGAAAACCTTCATATAAAATCTAGACAGAAGCATTCTCAGAAACTTCTTTGTAATGTTTGCATTCAACTCATAGAGTTGAACATTCCCTTTCATACAGCAGGTTTGAAACACTCTTTTTCTAGTATGTGGAAGTGGACATTTGGAGCGCTTTGAGGCCTACGGTGAAAAAGGAAATATCTTCCCATAAAAACTAGACAGAAGCATTCTCAGAAACTTGTTTGTGACGTGTGTATTCAACTAACAGAGTTGAACCTTTCTTTTTACAGAGCAGCTTTGAAACCCTGTTTCTGTGGAATCTGCAATTGGAAATTTCGATAGTTCTGAGGATTTCGTTGGAAACGGGATTACAAATTGAAAGTAGACAGCAGCATTCTCAGAAACTGCTTTGTGATGTTTGCATTCAAGTCACCTAGTTGAACATTCCCTTTCATAGAGCAGGTTTGAATCACTGTTTCTGTAGTATCTGGAAGTGGGTATTTCGAGCGCTTTCAGGCCTAAGGTGAGAAAGGAAATGTCTTCAAATAAGAACTAGACAGAAGCATTCTCAGAAACTTATTTGTGATGTGTGTCCTCAACTAACAGAGATGAACCTTTGTTTTGATACAGCAGTTTGGAAACACTCTTTTTGTAGAATCTACAAGAGGATATTTTGAGAGCATTGAAAATTTCGTTGGAAGCGGGAAAACCTTCATATAAAATCTAGACAGCAGCATTCTCAGAAACTTCTTTGTGATGTTTGCATTCAACTCATAGAGTTGAACATTCCCATTCATACAGCAGTTTTGAGACACTCTTTTTATAGCATGTGGAAATGGATATTTGGAGCGCTTTGAGGCCTATGGTGAAGAAGGAAATATCTTCCCAAAAAAACTAGACGAAAGCATTCTCGCAATCTTGTTTGCCATGTGTGTACTCAACTAACAGAGTTGAACCTATCTTTTGACAGAGCAGTTTTGAAACACTCTTTTTGTGGAATCTGCAAGTGGATATTTGGATAGCTTCGAGGATTTCGTTGGAAACGGGAATATCCTCATTTAAAATCTAGACGGAAGCATTCTCAGAACCTGCTTTGTGATGTTTGCATTCAACTCACAGAGCTGAACATTCCCGTTCATAGAGCAGGTTTGAAACACTCTTTCTGTACTATCTGGAAGTGGACATTTCGAGCGCTTTCAGGCCTATGGTGAAAAAGGAAACATCTTCAAATAAAAACTAGACAGAAGCATTCTCAGAAACTTATTTGTGATGTGTGTCCTCAACTCACAGAGTTCAACCTTTGTTTTGATACAGCAGTTTGGAAACACTCTTTTTGTAGAATCTACAAATGGATATTTGGAGACCTTTGAAAATTTCGTTGGACACGGGAATATCTTCATATAAAATCTAGACAAAAGCATTCTCAGAATCTTCTTTGTGATGTTTGCATTCAACTCATAGAGTTGAACATTCCCTTTCATACAGCACGTTTGAAACACACTTTGTGGAGTATGTGGAAATGGACATTTCGAGCACTCTTAGGCCTAAGGTGAAAAGGGAAATATCTTCAAATAAAAACTAGTCAGCAGCATTCTCAGAAACCTCTTTGTGATGTGTGTACTCAACTAACAGAGTTGAACCTTCCTTTTCACAGAGCAGTTTGGAAACACTCTTTTTGTGGCATTTGCAAGTGGATATTTGGATAGCTTTGAGGATTTCGTTGGAAACGGGAATATTTTCATATAAAATCTAGACAGAAGCATTCTCAGAATCTTCTTTGTGATGTATGCCCTCAATTCACAGAGTTGAACCTTTGTTTGGATACAGCATTTTGGAAACATTCCTTTTGCAGAATCTGCAAGTTGATATTTGGATAGCTTTGAGGATTTCGTTGGAAACGGGAATATCTACATATAAAATCTAGACAGAAGCATTCTCAGAAACCTCTTTGTAATGCTTGCATTCAACTCATAGGTTTCAACATTCCCTATCATAGAGCAGGTTTGAAACACTCTTTTTGTAGTATGTGGAAGTGGACATTTGGAGCGCTTTGAGGCCTACCGTGATAAAGGAAATATCTTCCCATAAAAACTAGACAGAAGCATTCTCAGAAACTTGTTTGTGACGTGTGTATTCAACTAACAGAGTTGAACCTTTCTTTTTACAGAGCAGCTTTGAAACACGCTTTTTGTGGAATCTGCAATTGGAAATTTCGATAGTTCTGAGGATTTCGTTGGAAACGGGATTACAAATAGAAAGTAGACAGCAGCATTCTCAGAAACTGCTTTGTGATGTTTGCATTCAAGTCACCTAGTTGAACATTCCCTTTCATAGAGCAGGTTTGAATCACAGTTTCTGTCGTATCTGGAAGTGGATATTTCGAGCGCTTTCAAGCCTAAGGTGAGAAAGGAAATGTCTTCAAATAAGAACTAGACAGAAGCATTCTCAGAAACTTATTTGTGATGTGTGTCCTCAACTAACAGAGATGAACCTTTGTTTTGATACAGCAGTTTGGAAACACTCTTTTTGTTTTAATCTACAAGAGGATATTTTGAGAGCATTGAAAATTTCGTTGGAAGCGGGAAAACCTTCATATAAAATCTAGACAGCAGCATTCTCAGAAACTTCTTTGTGATGTTTGCATTCAACTCATAGAGTTGAACATTCCCATTCATACAGCAGGTTTGAGACACTCTTTGTATAGCATGTGGAAATGGATATTTGGAGCGCTTTGAGGCCTATGGTGAAGAAGGAAATATCTTCCCAAAAAAACTAGACGAAAGCATTCTCGGAATCTTGTTTGCCATGTGTGTACTCAACTAACAGAGTTGAACCTATCTTTTGACAGAGCAGTTTTGAAACACTCTTTTTGTGGAATCTGCAAGTGGATATTTGGATAGCTTCGAGGATTTCGTTGGAAACGGGAATATCCTCATTTAAAATCTAGACGGAAGCATTCTCAGAACCTGCTTTGTGATGTTTGCATTCAACTCACAGAGCTGAACATTCCCGTTCATAGAGCAGGTTTGAAACACTCTTTCTGTACTATCTGGAAGTGGACATTTCGAGCGCTTTCAGGCCTATGGTGAAAAAGGAAACATCTTCAAATAAAAACTAGACAGAAGCATTCTCAGAAACTTATTTGTGATGTGTGTCCTCAACTCACAGAGTTCAACCTTTGTTTTGATACAGCAGTTTGGAAACAATCTTTATTTGGAGACCTTTGAAAATTTCGTTGGACACGGGAATATCTTCATATAAAATCTAGACAAAAGCATTCTCAGAATCTTCTTTGTGATGTTTGCATTCAACTCATAGAGTTGAACATTCCCTTTCATACAGCACGTTTGAAACCCACTTTGTGGAGTATGTGGAAATGGACATTTCGAGCACTCTTAGGCCTAAGGTGAAAAGGGAAATATCTTCAAATAAAAACTAGTCAGCAGCATTCTCAGAAACCTCTTTGTGATGTGTGTACTCAACTAACAGAGTTGAACCTTCCTTTTCACAGAGCAGTTTGGAAACACTCTTTTTGTGGCATTTGCAAGTGGATATTTGGATAGCTTTGAGGATTTCGTTGGAAACGGGAATATTTTCATATAAATTCTAGACAGAAGCATTCTCAGAATCTTCTTTGTGATGTATGCCCTCAATTCACAGAGTTGAACCTTTGTTTGGATACAGCATTTTGGAAACATTCCTTTTGTAGAATCTGCAAGTTGATATTTGGATAGCTTTGAGGATTTCGTTGGAAACGGGAATATCTACATATAAAATCTAGACAGAAGCATTCTCAGAAACCTCTTTGTAATGCTTGCATTCAACTCATAGGTTTCAACATTCCCTATCATAGAGCAGGTTTGAAACACTCTTTTTGTAGTATGTGGAAGTGGACATTTGGAGCGCTTTGAGGCCTACCGTGAAAAAGGAAATATCTTCCCATAAAAACTAGACAGAAGCATTCTCAGAAACTTGTTTGTGACGTGTGTATTCAACTAACAGAGTTGAACCTTTCTTTTTACAGAGCAGCTTTGAAACCCTGTTTCTGTGGAATCTGCAATTGGAAATTTCGATAGTTCTGAGGATTTCGTTGGAAACGGGATTACAAATAGAAAGTAGACAGCAGCATTCTCAGAAACTGCTTTGTGATGTTTGCATTCAAGTCTCATAGTTGAACATTCCCTTTCATAGAGCAGGTTTGAATCACTGTTTCTGTAGTATCTGGAAGTGGGTATTTCGAGCGCTTTCAGGCCTAAGGTGAGAAAGGAAATGTCTTCAAATAAGAACTAGACAGAAGCATTCTCAGAAACTTATTTGTGATGTGTGTCCTCAACTAACAGAGATGAACCTTTGTTTTGATACAGCAGTTTGGAAACACTCTTTTTGTAGAATCTACAAGAGGATATTTTGAGAGCATTGAAAATTTCGTTGGAAGCGGGAAAACCTTCATATAAAATCTAGACAGCAGCATTCTCAGAAACTTCTTTGTGATGTTTGCATTCAACTCATAGAGTTGAACATTCCCATTCATACAGCAGGTTTGAGACACTCTTTGTATAGCATGTGGAAATGGATATTTGGAGCGCTTTGAGGCCTATGGTGAAGAAGGAAATATCTTCCCAAAAAAACTAGACGAAAGCATTCTCGCAATCTTGTTTGCCATGTGTGTACTCAACTAACAGAGTTGAACCTATCTTTTGACAGAGCAGTTTTGAAACACTCTTTTTGTGGAATCTGCAAGTGGATATTTGGATAGCTTCGAGGATTTCGTTGGAAACGGGAATATCCTCATTTAAAATCTAGACGGAAGCATTCTCAGAACCTGCTTTGTGATGTTTGCATTCAACTCACAGAGCTGAACATTCCCGTTCATAGAGCAGGTTTGAAACACTCTTTCTGTACTATCTGGAAGTGGACATTTCGAGCGCTTTCAGGCCTATGGTGAAAAAGGAAACATCTTCAAATAAAAACTAGACAGAAGCATTCTCAGAAACTTATTTGTGATGTGTGTCCTCAACTCACAGAGTTCAACCTTTGTTTTGATACAGCAGTTTGGAAACACTCTTTTTGTAGAATCTACAAATGGATATTTGGGGACCTTTGAAAATTTCGTTGGACACGGGAATATCTTCATATAAAATCTAGACAAAAGCATTCTCAGAATCTTCTTTGTGATGTTTGCATTCAACTCATAGAGTTGAACATTCCCTTTCATACAGCACGTTTGAAACACACTTTGTGGAGTATGTGGAAATGGACATTTCGAGCACTCTTAGGCCTAAGGTGAAAAGGGAAATATCTTCAAATAAAAACTAGTCAGCAGCATTCTCAGAAACCTCTTTGTGATGTGTGTACTCAACTAACAGAGTTGAACCTTCCTTTTCACAGAGCAGTTTGGAAACACTCTTTTTGTGGCATTTGCAAGTGGATATTTGGATAGCTTTGAGGATTTCGTTGGAAACGGGAATATTTTCATATAAAATCTAGACAGAAGCATTCTCAGAATCTTCTTTGTGATGTATGCCCTCAATTCACAGAGTTGAACCTTTGTTTGGATACAGCATTTTGGAAACATTCCTTTTGTAGAATCTGCAAGTTGATATCTGGATAGCTTTGAGGATTTCGTTGGAAACGGGAATATCTACATATAAAATCTAGACAGAAGCATTCTCAGAAACCTCTTTGTAATGCTTGCATTCAACTCATAGGTTTCAACATTCCCTATCATAGAGCAGGTTTGAAACACTCTTTTTGTAGTATGTGGAAGTGGACATTTGGAGCGCTTTGAGGCCTACGGTGAAAAAGGAAATATCTTCCCATAAAAACTAGACAGAAGCATTCTCAGAAACTTGTTTGTGACGTGTGTATTCAACTAACAGAGTTGAACCTTTCTTTTTACAGAGCAGCTTTGAAACACGCTTTTTGTGGAATCTGCAATTGGAAATTTCGATAGTTCTGAGGATTTCGTTGGAAACGGGATTACAAATAGAAAGTAGACAGCAGCATTCTCAGAAACTGCTTTGTGATGTTTGCATTCAAGTCACCTAGTTGAACATTCCCTTTCATAGAGCAGGTTTGAATCACTGTTTCTGTAGTATCTGGAAGTGGGTATTTCGAGCGCTTTCAGGCCTAAGGTGAGAAAGGAAATTGTCTTCAAATAAGAACTAGAAACAAGCATTCTCAGAAACTTATTTGTGATGTGTGTCCTCAACTAACAGAGATGAACCTTTGTTTTGATACAGCAGTTTGGAAACACTCTTTTTGTAGAATCTACAAGAGGATATTTTGAGAGCATTGAAAATTTCGTTGGAAGCGGGAAAACCTTCATATAAAATCTAGACAGCAGCATTCTCAGAAACTTCTTTGTGATGTTTGCATTCAACTCATAGAGTTGAACATTCCCATTCATACAGCAGGTTTGAGACACTCTTTGTATAGCATGTGGAAATGGATATTTGGAGCGCTTTGAGGCCTATGGTGAAGTAGGAAATATCTTCCCAAAAAAACTAGACGAAAGTATTCTCGGAATCTTGTTTGCCATGTGTGTACTCAACTAACAGAGTTGAACCTATCTTTTGACAGAGCAGTTTTGAAACACTCTTTTTGTGGAATCTGCAAGTGGATATTTGGATAGCTTCGAGGATTTCGTTGGAAACGGGAATATCCTCATTTAAAATCTAGACGGAAGCATTCTCAGAACCTGCTTTGTGATGTTTGCATTCAACTCACAGAGCTGAACATTCCCGTTCATAGAGCAGGTTTGAAACACTCTTTCTGTACTATCTGGAAGTGGACATTTCGAGCGCTTTCAGGCCTATGGTGAAAAAGGAAACATCTTCAAATAAAAACTAGACAGAAGCATTCTCAGAAACTTATTTGTGATGTGTGTCCTCAACTCACAGAGTTCAACCTTTGTTTTGATACAGCAGTTTGGAAACACTCTTTTTGTAGAATCTACAAATGGATATTTGGAGACCTTTGAAAATTTCGTTGGACACGGGAATATCTTCATATAAAATCTAGACAAAAGCATTCTCAGAATCTTCTTTGTGATGTTTGCATTCAACTCATAGAGTTGAACGTTCCCTTTCATACAGCACGTTTGAAACACACTTTGTGGAGTATGTGGAAATGGACATTTCGAGCACTCTTAGGCCTAAGGTGAAAAGGGAAATATCTTCAAATAAAAACTAGTCAGCAGCATTCTCAGAAACCTCTTTGTGATGTGTGTACTCAACTAACAGAGTTGAACCTTCCTTTTCACAGAGCAGTTTGGAAACACTCTTTTTGTGGCATTTGCAAGTGGATATTTGGATAGCTTTGAGGATTTCGTTGGAAACGGGAATATTTTCATATAAAATCTAGACAGAAGCATTCTCAGAATCTTCTTTGTGATGTATGCCCTCAATTCACAGAGTTGAACCTTTGTTTGGATACAGCATTTTGGAAACATTCCTTTTGTAGAATCTGCAAGTTGATATTTGGATAGCTTTGAGGATTTCGTTGGAAACGGGAATATCTACATATAAAATCTAGACAGAAGCATTCTCAGAAACCTCTTTGTAATGCTTGCATTCAACTCATAGGTTTCAACATTCCCTATCATAGAGCAGGTTTGAAACACTCTTTTTGTAGTATGTGGAAGTGGACATTTGGAGCGCTTTGAGGCCTACGGTGAAAAAGGAAATATCTTCCCATAAAAACTAGACAGAAGCATTCTCAGAAACTTGTTTGTGACGTGTGTATTCAACTAACAGAGTTGAACCTTTCTTTTTACAGAGCAGCTTTGAAACACGCTTTTTGTGGAATCTGCAATTGGAAATTTCGATAGTTCTGAGGATTTCGTTGGAAACGGGATTACAAATAGAAAGTAGACAGCAGCATTCTCAGAAACTGCTTTGTGATGTTTGCATTCAAGTCACCTAGTTGAACATTCCCTTTCATAGAGCAGGTTTGAATCACTGTTTCTGTCGTATCTGGAAGTGGATATTTCGAGCGTTTTCAGGCCTAAGGTGAGAAAGGAAATGTCTTCAAATAAGAACTAGACAGAAGCATTCTCAGAAACTTCTTTGTGATGTGTGTCCTCAACTAACAGAGTTGAACCTTTCTTTTGACACAGCAGTTTGGAAACACTCTTTTTGTAGAATCTACAGGTGGATATTTTCAGAGCATTGAAAATTTCGTTGGAAACGGGAAAACCTTCATATAAAATCTAGACAGAAGCATTCTCAGAAACTTCTTTGTAATGTTTGCATTCAACTCATAGAGTTGAACATTCCCTTTCATACAGCAGGTTTGAAACACTCTTTTTGTAGTATGTGGACGTGGACATTTGGAGCGCTTTGAGGCCTACGGTGAAAAAGGAAATATCTTCCCATAAAAACTAGACAGAAGCATTCTCAGAAACTTGTTTGTGACGTGTGTATTCAACTA
Source organism: Homo sapiens (assembly GCF_000001405.40). NCBI lineage: Eukaryota > Metazoa > Chordata > Mammalia > Primates > Hominidae > Homo > Homo sapiens. The sequence goes on from NC_000015.10 coordinate 19,307,527, forward strand.
ACAGAGTTGAACCTTTCTTTTTACAGAGCAGCTTTGAAACACGCTTTTTGTGGAATCTGCAATTGGAAATTTCGATAGTTGCTGAGGATTTCGTTGGAAACGGGATTACAAATAGAAAGTAGACAGCAGCATTCTCAGAAACTTATTTGTGATGTGTGTCCTCAACTAACAGAGTTGAACCTTTCTTTTGACACAGCAGTTTGGAAACACTCTTTTTGTAGAATCTACAAGTGGATATTTTGAGAGCATTGAAAATTTCGTTGGAAACGGGAAAACCTTCATATAAAATCTAGACAGAAGCATTCTCAGAAACTTCTTTGTAATGTTTGCATTCAACTCATAGAGTTGAACATTCCCTTTCATACAGCAGGTTTGAAACACTCTTTTTGTAGTATGTGGACGTGGACATTTGGAGCGCTTTGAGGCCTACGGTGAAAAAGGAAATATCTTCCCATAAAAACTAGACAGAAGCATTCTCAGAAACTTGTTTGTGACGTGTGTATTCAACTAACAGAGTTGAACCTTTCTTTTTACAGAGCAGCTTTGAAACCCTGTTTCTGTGGAATCTGCAATTGGAAATTTCGATAGTTCTGAGGATTTCGTTGCAAACGGGATTACAAATAGAAAGTAGACAGCAGCATTCTCAGAAACTGCTTTGTGATGTTTGCATTCAAGTCACATAGTTGAACATTCCCTTTCATAGAGCAGGTTTGAATCACTGTTTCTGTCGTATCTGGAAGTGGATATTTCGAGCGTTTTCAGGCCTAAGGTGAGAAAGGAAATGTCTTCAAATAAGAACTAGACAGAAGCATTCTCAGAAACTTGTGATGTGTGTCCTCAACTAACAGAGTTGAACCTTTCTTTTGACACAGCAGTTTGGAAACACTCTTTTTGTAGAATCTACAAGTGGATATTTTGAGAGCATTGAAAATTTCGTTGGAAACGGGAAAACCTTCATATAAAATCTAGACAGAAGCATTCTCAGAAACTTCTTTGTAATGTTTGCATTCAACTCATAGAGTTGAACATTCCCTTTCATACAGCAGGTTTGAAACACTCTTTTTGTAGTATGTGGAAGTGGACATTTGGAGCGCTTTGAGGCCTACGGTGAAAAAGGAAATATCTTCCCATAAAAACTAGACAGAAGCATTCTCAGAAACTTGTTTGTGACGTGTGTATTCAACTAACAGAGTTGAACCTTTCTTTTTACAGAGCAGCTTTGAAACCCTGTTTCTGTGGAATCTGCAATTGGAAATTTCGATAGTTCTGAGGATTTCGTTGGAAACGGGATTACAAATAGAAAGTAGACAGCAGCATTCTCAGAAACTGCTTTGTGATGTTTGCATTCAAGTCACCTAGTTGAACATTCCCTTTCATAGAGCAGGTTTGAATCACTGTTTCTGTAGTATCTGGAAGTGGGTATTTCGAGCGCTTTCAGGCCTAAGGTGAGAAAGGAAATGTCTTCAAATAAGAACTAGACAGAAGCATTCTCAGAAACTTATTTGTGATGTGTGTCCTCAACTAACAGAGATGAACCTTTGTTTTGATACAGCAGTTTGGAAACACTCTTTTTGTAGAATCTACAAGAGGATATTTTGAGAGCATTGAAAATTTCGTTGGAAGCGGGAAAACCTTCATATAAAATCTAGACAGCAGCATTCTCAGAAACTTCTTTGTGATGTTTGCATTCAACTCATAGAGTTGAACATTCCCATTCATACAGCAGGTTTGAGACACTCTTTGTATAGCATGTGGAAATGGATATTTGGAGCGCTTTGAGGCCTATGGTGAAAAAGGAAATATCTTCCCAAAAAAACTAGACGAAAGCATTCTCGCAATCTTGTTTGCCATGTGTGTACTCAACTAACAGAGTTGAACCTATCTTTTGACAGAGCAGTTTTCAAACACTCTTTTTGTGGAATCTGCAAATGGATATTTGGATAGCTTCGAGGATTTCCTTGGAAACGGGAATATCCTCATATAAAATCTAGACGGAAGCATTCTCAGAACCTGCTTTGTGATGTTTGCATTCAACTCACAGAGCTGAACATTCCCGTTCATAGAACAGGTTTGAAACACTCTTTCTGTACTATCTGGAAGTGGACATTTCGAGCGCTTTCAGGCCTATGGTGAAAAAGGAAATATCTTCAAATAAAAACTAGACAGAAGCATTCTCAGAAACTTATTTGTGATGTGTGTCCTCAACTCACAGAGTTCAACCTTTGTTTTGATACAGCAGTTTGGAAACACTCTTTTTGTAGAATCTACAAATGGATATTTGGAGACCTTTGAAAATTTCGTTGGACACGGGAATATCTTCATATAAAATCTAGACAAAAGCATTCTCAGAGTCTTCTTTGTGATGTTTGCATTCAACTCATAGAGTTGAACATTCCCTTTCATACAGCACGTTTGAAACACACTTTGTGGAGTATGTGGAAATGGACATTTCGAGCACTCTTAGGCCTAAGGTGAAAAGGGAAATATCTTCAAATAAAAACTAGTCAGCAGCGTTCTCAGAAACCTCTTTGTGATGTGTGTACTCAACTAACAGAGTTGAACCTTCCTTTTCACAGAGCAGTTTGGAAACACTCTTTTTGTGGCATTTGCAAGTGGATATTTGGATAGCTTTGAGGATTTCGTTGGAAACGGGAATATTTTCATATAAAATCTAGACAGAAGCATTCTCAGAATCTTCTTTGTGATGTATGCCCTCAATTCACAGAGTTGAACCTTTGTTTGGATACAGCATTTTGGAAACATTCCTTTTGTAGAATCTGCAAGTTGATATTTGGATAGCTTTGAGGATTTCGTTGGAAACGGGAATATCTACATATAAAATCTAGACAGAAGCATTCTCAGAAACCTCTTTGTAATGCTTGCATTCAACTCATAGGTTTCAACATTCCCTATCATAGAGCAGGTTTGAAACACTCTTTTTGTAGTATGTGGAAGTGGACATTTGGAGCGCTTTGAGGCCTACGGTGAAAAAGGAAATATCTTCCCATAAAAACTAGACAGAAGCATTCTCAGAAACTTGTTTGTGACGTGTGTATTCAACTAACAGAGTTGAACCTTTCTTTTTACAGAGCAGCTTTGAAACACGCTTTTTGTGGAATCTGCAATTGGAAATTTCGATAGTTCTGAGGATTTCGTTGGAAACGGGATTACAAATAGAAAGTAGACAGCAGCATTCTCAGAAACTGCTTTGTGATGTTTGCATTCAAGTCACCTAGTTGAACATTCCCTTTCATAGAGCAGGTTTGAATCACTGTTTCTGTCGTATCTGGAAGTGGATATTTCGAGCGTTTTCAGGCCTAAGGTGAGAAAGGAAATGTCTTCAAATAAGAACTAGACAGAAGCATTCTCAGAAACTTATTTGTGATGTGTGTCCTCAACTAACAGAGATGAACCTTTGTTTTGATACAGCAGTTTGGAAACACTCTTTTTGTAGAATCTACAAGAGGATATTTTGAGAGCATTGAAAATTTCGTTGGAAGCGGGAAAACCTTCATATAAAATCTAGACAGCAGCATTCTCAGAAACTTCTTTGTGATGTTTGCATTCAACTCATAGAGTTGAACATTCCCATTCATACAGCAGGTTTGAGACACTCTTTGTATAGCATGTGGAAATGGATATTTGGAGCGCTTTGAGGCCTATGGTGAAGAAGGAAATATCTTCCAAAAAAAACTAGACGAAAGCATTCTCGGAATCTTGTTTGCCATGTTTGTACTCAACTAACAGAGTTGAATCTATCTTTTGACAGAGCAGTTTTGAAACACTCTTTTTGTGGAATCTGCAAGTGGATATTTGGATAGCTTCGAGGATTTCGTTGGAAACGGGAATATCCTCATTTAAAATCTAGACGGAAGCATTCTCAGAACCTGCTTTGTGATGTTTGCATTCAACTCACAGAGCTGAACATTCCCGTTCATAGAGCAGGTTTGAAACACTCTTTCTGTACTATCTGGAAGTGGACATTTCGAGCGCTTTCAGGCCTATGGTGAAAAAGGAAACATCTTCAAATAAAAACTAGACAGAAGCATTCTCAGAAACTTATTTGTGATGTGTGTCCTCAACTCACAGAGTTCAACCTTTGTTTTGATACAGCAGTTTGGAAACACTCTTTTTGTAGAATCTACAAATGGATATTTGGAGACCTTTGAAAATTTCGTTGGACACGGGAATATCTTCATATAAAATCTAGACAAAAGCATTCTCAGAGTCTTCTTTGTGATGTTTGCATTCAACTCATAGAGTTGAACATTCCCTTTCATACAGCACGTTTGAAACACACTTTGTGGAGTATGTGGAAATGGACATTTCGAGCACTCTTAGGCCTAAGGTGAAAAGGGAAATATCTTCAAATAAAAACTAGTCAGCAGCATTCTCAGAAACCTCTTTGTGATGTGTGTACTCAACTAACAGAGTTGAACCTTCCTTTTCACAGAGCAGTTTGGAAACACTCTTTTTGTGGCATTTGCAAGTGGATATTTGGATAGCTTTGAGGATTTCGTTGGAAACGGGAATATTTTCATATAAAATCTAGACAGAAGCATTCTCAGAATCTTCTTTGTGATGTATGCCCTCAATTCACAGAGTTGAACCTTTGTTTGGATACAGCATTTTGGAAACATTCCTTTTGCAGAATCTGCAAGTTGATATTTGGATAGCTTTGAGGATTTCGTTGGAAACGGGAATATCTACATATAAAATCTAGACAGAAGCATTCTCAGAAACCTCTTTGTAATGCTTGCATTCAACTCATAGGTTTCAACATTCCCTATCATAGAGCAGGTTTGAAACACTCTTTTTGTAGTATGTGGAAGTGGACATTTGGAGCGCTTTGAGGCCTACCGTGATAAAGGAAATATGTTCCCATAAAAACTAGACAGAAGCATTCTCAGAAACTTGTTTGTGACGTGTGTATTCAACTAACAGAGTTGAACCTTTCTTTTTACAGAGCAGCTTTGAAACACGCTTTTTGTGGAATCTGCAATTGGAAATTTCGATAGTTCTGAGGATTTCGTTGGAAACGGGATTACAAATAGAAAGTAGACAGCAGCATTCTCAGAAACTGCTTTGTGATGTTTGCATTCAAGTCACCTAGTTGAACATTCCCTTTCATAGAGCAGGTTTGAATCACAGTTTCTGTCGTATCTGGAAGTGGATATTTCGAGCGTTTTCAGGCCTAAGGTGAGAAAGGAAATGTCTTCAAATAAGAACTAGACAGAAGCATTCTCAGAAACTTATTTGTGATGTGTGTCCTCAACTAACAGAGTTGAACCTTTCTTTTGACACAGCAGTTTGGAAACACTCTTTTTGTAGAATCTACAAGTGGATATTTTGAGAGCATTGAAAATTTCGTTGGAAACGGGAAAACCTTCATATAAAATCTAGACAGAAGCATTCTCAGAAACTTCTTTGTAATGTTTGCATTCAACTCATAGAGTTGAACATTCCCTTTCATACAGCAGGTTTGAAACACTCTTTTTGTAGTATGTGGAAGTGGACATTTGGAGCGCTTTGAGGCCTACGGTGAAAAAGGAAATATCTTCCCATAAAAACTAGACAGAAGCATTCTCAGAAACTTGTTTGTGACGTGTGTATTCAACTAACAGAGTTGAACCTTTCTTTTTACAGAGCAGCTTTGAAACCCTGTTTCTGTGGAATCTGCAATTGGAAATTTCGATAGTTCTGAGGATTTCGTTGGAAACGGGATTACAAATAGAAAGTAGACAGCAGCATTCTCAGAAACTGCTTTGTGATGTTTGCATTCAAGTCACATAGTTGAACATTCCCTTTCATAGAGCAGGTTTGAATCACTGTTTCTGTAGTATCTGGAAGTGGGTATTTCGAGCGCTTTCAGGCCTAAGGTGAGAAAGGAAATGTCTTCAAATAAGAACTAGACAGAAGCATTCTCAGAAACTTATTTGTGATGTGTGTCCTCAACTAACAGAGATGAACCTTTGTTTTGATACAGCAGTTTGGAAACACTCTTTTTGTAGAATCTACAAGAGGATATTTTGAGAGCATTGAAAATTTCGTTGGAAGCGGGAAAACCTTCATATAAAATCTAGACAGCAGCATTCTCAGAAACTTCTTTGTGATGTTTGCATTCAACTCATAGAGTTGAACATTCCCATTCATACAGCAGGTTTGAGACACTCTTTGTATAGCATGTGGAAATGGATATTTGGAGCGCTTTGAGGCCTATGGTGAAGAAGGAAATATCTTCCCAAAAAAACTAGACGAAAGCATTCTCGCAATCTTGTTTGCCATGTGTGTACTCAACTAACAGAGTTGAACCTATCTTTTGACAGAGCAGTTTTGAAACACTCTTTTTGTGGAATCTGCAAGTGGATATTTGGATAGCTTCGAGGATTTCGTTGGAAACGGGAATATCCTCATTTAAAATCTAGACGGAAGCATTCTCGGAACCTGCTTTGTGATGTTTGCATTCAACTCACAGAGCTGAACATTCCCGTTCATAGAGCAGGTTTGAAACACTCTTTCTGTACTATCTGGAAGTGGACATTTCGAGCGCTTTCAGGCCTATGGTGAAAAAGGAAACATCTTCAAATAAAAACTAGACAGAAGCATTCTCAGAAACTTATTTGTGATGTGTGTCCTCAACTCACGGAGTTCAACCTTTGTTTTGATACAGCAGTTTGGAAACACTCTTTTTGTAGAATCTACAAATGGATATTTGGAGACCTTTGAAAATTTCGTTGGACACGGGAATATCTTCATATAAAATCTAGACAAAAGCATTCTCAGAGTCTTCTTTGTGATGTTTGCATTCAACTCATAGAGTTGAACATTCCCTTTCATACAGCACGTTTGAAACACACTTTGTGGAGTATGTGGAAATGGACATTTCGAGCACTCTTAGGCCTAAGGTGAAAAGGGAAATATCTTCAAATAAAAACTAGTCAGCAGCATTCTCAGAAACCTCTTTGTGATGTGTGTACTCAACTAACAGAGTTGAACCTTCCTTTTCACAGAGCAGTTTGGAAACACTCTTTTTGTGGCATTTACAAGTGGATATTTGGATAGCTTTGAGGATTTCGTTAGAAACGGGAATATTTTCATATAAAATCTAGACAGAAGCATTCTCAGAATCTTCTTTGTGATGTATGCCCTCAATTCACAGAGTTGAACCTTTGTTTGGATACAGCATTTTGGAAACATTCCTTTTGTAGAATCTGCAAGTTGATATTTGGATAGCTTTGAGGATTTCGTTGGAAACGGGAATATCTACATATAAAATCTAGACAGAAGCATTCTCAGAAACCTCTTTGTAATGCTTGCATTCAACTCATAGGTTTCAACATTCCCTATCATAGAGCAGGTTTGAAACACTCTTTTTGTAGTATGTGGAAGTGGACATTTGGAGCGCTTTGAGGCCTACGGTGAAAAAGGAAATATCTTCCCATAAAAACTAGACAGAAGCATTCTCAGAAACTTGTTTGTGACGTGTGTATTCAACTAACAGAGTTGAACCTTTCTTTTTACAGAGCAGCTTTGAAACACGCTTTTTGTGGAATCTGCAATTGGAAATTTCGATAGTTCTGAGGATTTCGTTGGAAACGGGATTACAAATACAAAGTAGACAGCAGCATTCTCAGAAACTGCTTTGTGATGTTTGCATTCAAGTCACCTAGTTGAACATTCCCTTTCATAGAGCAGGTTTGAATCACTGTTTCTGTCGTATCTGGAAGTGGATATTTCGAGCGTTTTCAGGCCTAAGGTGAGAAAGGAAATGTCTTCAAATAAGAACTAGACAGAAGCATTCTCAGAAACTTATTTGTGATGTGTGTCCTCAACTAACAGAGTTGAACCTTTCTTTTGACACAGCAGTTTGGAAACACTCTTTTTGTAGAATCTACAAGTGGATATTTTGAGAGCATTGAAAATTTCCTTGGAAACGGGAAAACCTTCATATAAAATCTAGACAGAAGCATTCTCAGAAACTTCTTTGTGATGTTTGCATTCAACTCATAGAGTTGAACATTCCCATTCATACAGCAGGTTTGAGACACTCTTTGTATAGCATGTGGAAATGGATATTTGGAGCGCTTTGAGGCCTCTGGTGAAGAAGGAAATATCTTCCCAAAAAAACTAAACGAAAGCATTCTCGGAATCTTGTTTGCCATGTGTGTACTCAACTAACAGAGTTGAACCTATCTTTTGACAGAGCAGTTTTGAAACACTCTTTTTGTGGAATCTGCAAGTGGATATTTGGATAGCTTCGAGGATTTCGTTGGAAACGGGAATATCCTCATTTAAAATCTAGACGGAAGCATTCTCAGAACCTGCTTTGTGATGTTTGCATTCAACTCACAGAGCTGAACATTCCCGTTCATAGAGCAGGTTTGAAACACTCTTTCTGTACTATCTGGAAGTGGACATTTCGAGCGCTTTCAGGCCTATGGTGAAAAAGGAAACATCTTCAAATAAAAACTAGACAGAAGCATTCTCAGAAACTTATTTGTGATGTGTGTCCTCAACTCACAGAGTTCAACCTTTGTTTTGATACAGCAGTTTGGAAACACTCTTTTTGTAGAATCTACAAATGGATATTTGGAGACCTTTGAAAATTTCGTTGGACACCGGAATATCTTCATATAAAATCTAGACAAAAGCATTCTCAGAATCTTCTTTGTGATGTTTGCATTCAACTCATAGAGTTGAACATTCCCTTTCATACAGCACGTTTGAAACACACTTTGTGGAGTATGTGGAAATGGACATTTCGAGCACTCTTAGGCCTAAGGTGAAAAGGGAAATATCTTCAAATAAAAACTAGTCAGCAGCATTCTCAGAAACCTCTTTGTGATGTGTGTACTCAACTAACAGAGTTGAACCTTCCTTTTCACAGAGCAGTTTGGAAACACTCTTTTTGTGGCATTTGCAAGTGGATATTTGGATAGCTTTGAGGATTTCGTTGGAAACGGGAATATTTTCATATAAAATCTAGACAGAAGCATTCTCAGAATCTTCTTTGTGATGTATGCCCTCAATTCACAGAGTTGAACCTTTGTTTGGATACAGCATTTTGGAAACATTCCTTTTGTAGAATCTGCAAGTTGATATTTGGATAGCTTTGAGGATTTCGTTGGAAACGGGAATATCTACATATAAAATCTAGACAGAAGCATTCTCAGAAACCTCTTTGTAATGCTTGCATTCAACTCATAGGTTTCAACATTCCCTATCATAGAGCAGGTTTGAAACACTCTTTTTGTAGTATGTGGAAGTGGACATTTGGAGCGCTTTGAGGCCTACGGTGAAAAAGGAAATATCTTCCCATAAAAACTAGACAGAAGCATTCTCAGAAACTTGTTTGTGACGTGTGTATTCAACTAACAGAGTTGAACCTTTCTTTTTACAGAGCAGCTTTGAAACACGCTTTTTGTGGAATCTGCAATTGGAAATTTCGATAGTTCTGAGGATTTCGTTGGAAACGGGATTACAAATAGAAAGTAGACAGCAGCATTCTCAGAAACTGCTTTGTGATGTTTGCATTCAAGTCACCTAGTTGAACATTCCCTTTCATAGAGCAGGTTTGAATCACTGTTTCTGTCGTATCTGGAAGTGGATATTTCGAGCGTTTTCAGGCCTAAGGTGAGAAAGGAAATGTCTTCAAATAAGAACTAGACAGAAGCATTCTCAGAAACATATTTGTGATGTGTGTCCTCAACTAACAGAGTTGAACCTTTCTTTTGACACAGCAGTTTGGAAACACTCTTTTTGTAGAATCTACAAGTGGATATTTTGAGAGCATTGAAAATTTCGTTGGAAACGGGAAAACCTTCATATAAAATCTAGACAGAAGCATTCTCAGAAACTTCTTTGTAATGTTTGCATTCAACTCATAGTAGTTGAACATTCCCTTTCATACAGCAGGTTTGAAACACTCTTTTTGTAGTATGTGGAAGTGGACATTTGGAGCGCTTTGAGGCCTACGGTGAAAAAGGAAATATCTTCCCATAAAAACTAGACAGATAAGCATTCTCAGAAACTTGTTTGTGACGTGTGTATTCAACTAACAGAGTTGAACCTTTCTTTTTACAGAGCAGCTTTGAAACCCTGTTTCTGTGGAATCTGCAATTGGAAATTTCGATAGTTCTGAGGATTTCGTTGGAAACGGGATTACAAATAGAAAGTAGACAGCAGCATTCTCAGAAACTGCTTTGTGATGTTTGCATTCAAGTCACATAGTTGAACATTCCCTTTCATAGAGCAGGTTTGAATCACTGTTTCTGTAGTATCTGGAAGTGGGTATTTCGAGCGCTTTCAGGCCTAAGGTGAGAAAGGAAATGTCTTCAAATAAGAACTAGACAGAAGCATTCTCAGAAACTTATTTGTGATGTGTGTCCTCAACTAACAGAGTTGAACCTTTCTTTTGATACAGCAGTTTGGAAACACTCTTTTTGTAGAATCTACAAGAGGATATTTTGAGAGCATTGAAAATTTCGTTGGAAGCGGGAAAACCTTCATATAAAATCTAGACAGCAGCATTCTCAGAAACTTCTTTGTGATGTTTGCATTCAACTCATAGAGTTGAACATTCCCATTCATACAGCAGGTTTGAGACACTCTTTGTATAGCATGTGGAAATGGATATTTGGAGCGCTTTGAGGCCTATGGTGAAGAAGGAAATATCTTCCCAAAAAAACTAGACGAAAGCATTCTCGGAATCTTGTTTGCCATGTGTGTACTCAACTAACAGAGTTGAACCTATCTTTTGACAGAGCAGTTTTGAAACACTCTTTTTGTGGAATCTGCAAGTGGATATTTGGATAGCTTCGAGGATTTCGTTGGAAACGGGAATATCCTCATTTAAAATCTAGACGGAAGCATTCTCAGAACCTGCTTTGTGATGTTTGCATTCAACTCACAGAGCTGAACATTCCCGTTCATAGAGCAGGTTTGAAACACTCTTTCTGTACTATCTGGAAGTGGACATTTCGAGCGCTTTCAGGCCTATGGTGAAAAAGGAAACATCTTCAAATAAAAACTAGACAGAAGCATTCTCAGAAACTTATTTGTGATGTGTGTCCTCAACTCACAGAGTTCAACCTTTGTTTTGATACAGCAGTTTGGAAACACTCTTTTTGTAGAATCTACAAATGGATATTTGGAGACCTTTGAAAATTTCGTTGGACACGGGAATATCTTCATATAAAATCTAGACAAAAGCATTCTCAGAATCTTCTTTGTGATGTTTGCATTCAACTCATAGAGTTGAACATTCCCTTTCATACAGCACGTTTGAAACACACTTTGTGGAGTATGTGGAAATGGACATTTCGAGCACTCTTAGGCCTAAGGTGAAAAGGGAAATATCTTCAAATAAAAACTAGTCAGCAGCATTCTCAGAAACCTCTTTGTGATGTGTGTACTCAACTAACAGAGTTGAACCTTCCTTTTCACAGAGCAGTTTGGAAACACTCTTTTTGTGGCATTTGCAAGTGGATATTTGGATAGCTTTGAGGATTTCGTTGGAAACGGGAATATTTTCATATAAAATCTAGACAGAAGCATTCTCAGAATCTTCTTTGTGATGTATGCCCTCAATTCACAGAGTTGAACCTTTGTTTGGATACAGCATTTTGGAAACATTCCTTTTGTAGAATCTGCAAGTTGATATTTGGATAGCTTTGAGGATTTCGTTGGAAACGGGAATATCTACATATAAAATCTAGACAGAAGCATTCTCAGAAACATCTTTGTAATGCTTGCATTCAACTCATAGGTTTCAACATTCCCTATCATAGAGCAGGTTTGAAACACTCTTTTTGTAGTATGTGGAAGTGGACATTTGGAGCGCTTTGAGGCCTACCGTGAAAAAGGAAATATCTTCCCATAAAAACTAGACAGAAGCATTCTCAGAAACTTGTTTGTGACGTGTGTATTCAACTAACAGAGTTGAACCTTTCTTTTTACAGAGCAGCTTTGAAACCCTGTTTCTGTGGAATCTGCAATTGGAAATTTCGATAGTTCTGAGGATTTCGTTGCAAACGGGATTACAAATAGAAAGTAGACAGCAGCATTCTCAGAAACTGCTTTGTGATGTTTGCATTCAAGTCACATAGTTGAACATTCCCTTTCATAGAGCAGGTTTGAATCCCTGTTTCTGTCGTATCTGGAAGTGGGTATTTCGAGCGTTTTCAGGCCTAAGGTGAGAAAGGAAATGTCTTCAAATAAGAACTAGACAGAAGCATTCTCAGAAACTTATTTGTGATGTGTGTCCTCAACTAACAGAGATGAACCTTTGTTTTGATACAGCAGTTTGGAAACACTCTTTTTGTAGAATCTACAAGAGGATATTTTGAGAGCATTGAAAATTTCGTTGGAAGCGGGAAAACCTTCATATAAAATCTAGACAGCAGCATTCTCAGAAACTTCTTTGTGATGTTTGCATTCAACTCATAGAGTTGAACATTCCCATTCATACAGCAGGTTTGAGACACTCTTTGTATAGCATGTGGAAATGGATATTTGGAGCGCTTTGAGGCCTATGGTGAAGAAGGAAATATCTTCCCAAAAAAACTAGACGAAAGCATTCTCGGAATCTTGTTTGCCATGTGTGTACTCAACTAACAGAGTTGAACCTATCTTTTGACAGAGCAGTTTTGAAACACTCTTTTTGTGGAATCTGCAAGTGGATATTTGGATAGCTTCGAGGATTTCGTTGGAAACGGGAATATCCTCATTTAAAATCTAGACGGAAGCATTCTCAGAACCTGCTTTGTGATGTTTGCATTCAACTCACAGAGCTGAACATTCCCGTTCATAGAGCAGGTTTGAAACACTCTTTCTGTACTATCTGGAAGTGGACATTTCGAGCGCTTTCAGGCCTATGGTGAAAAAGGAAACATCTTCAAATAAAAACTAGACAGAAGCATTCTCAGAAACTTATTTGTGATGTGTGTCCTCAACTCACAGAGTTCAACCTTTGTTTTGATACAGCAGTTTGGAAACACTCTTTTTGTAGAATCTACAAATGGATATTTGGAGACCTTTGAAAATTTCGTTGGACACGGGAATATCTTCATATAAAATCTAGACAAAAGCATTCTCAGAATCTTCTTTGTGATGTTTGCATTCAACTCATAGAGTTGAACATTCCCTTTCATACAGCACGTTTGAAACACACTTTGTGGAGTATGTGGAAATGGACATTTCGAGCACTCTTAGGCCTAAGGTGAAAAGGGAAATATCTTCAAATAAAAACTAGTCAGCAGCATTCTCAGAAACCTCTTTGTGATGTGTGTACTCAACTAACAGAGTTGAACCTTCCTTTTCACAGAGCAGTTTGGAAACACTCTTTTTGTGGCATTTGCAAGTGGATATTTGGATAGCTTTGAGGATTTCGTTGGAAACGGGAATATTTTCATATAAAATGTAGACAGAAGCATTCTCAGAATCTTCTTTGTGATGTATTCCCTCAATTCACAGAGTTGAACCTTTGTTTGGATACAGCATTTTGGAAACATTCCTTTTGTAGAATCTGCAAGTTGATATTTGGATAGCTTTGAGGATTTCGTTGGAAACGGGAATATCTACATATAAAATCTAGACAGAAGCATTCTCAGAAACCTCTTTGTAATGCTTGCATTCAACTCATAGGTTTCAACATTCCCTATCATAGAGCAGGTTTGAAACACTCTTTTTGTAGTATGTGGAAGTGGACATTTGGAGCGCTTTGAGGCCTACGGTGAAAAAGGAAATATCTTCCCATAAAAACTAGACAGAAGCATTCTCAGAAACTTGTTTGTGACGTGTGTATTCAACTAACAGAGTTGAACCTTTCTTTTTACAGAGCAGCTTTGAAACCCTGTTTCTGTGGAATCTGCAATTGGAAATTTCGATAGTTCTGAGGATTTCGTTGCAAACGGGATTACAAATAGAAAGTAGACAGCAGCATTCTCAGAAACTGCTTTGTGATGTTTGCATTCAAGTCACCTAGTTGAACATTCCCTTTCATAGAGCAGGTTTGAATCACTGTTTCTGTCGTATCTGGAAGTGGATATTTCGAGCGTTTTCAGGCCTAAGGTGAGAAAGGAAATGTCTTCAAATAAGAACTAGACAGAAGCATTCTCAGAAACTTATTTGTGATGTGTGTCCTCAACTAACAGAGTTGAACCTTTCTTTTGACACAGCAGTTTGGAAACACTCTTTTTGTAGAATCTACAAGTGGATATTTTGAGAGCATTGAAAATTTCGTTGGAAACGGGAAAACCTTCATATAAAATCTAGACAGAAGCATTCTCAGAAACTTCTTTGTAATGTTTGCATTCAACTCATAGAGTTGAACATTCCCTTTCATACAGCAGGTTTGAAACACTCTTTTTGTAGTATGTGGAAGTGGACATTTGGAGCGCTTTGAGGCCTACGGTGAAAAAGGAAATATCTTCCCATAAAAACTAGACAGAAGCATTCTCAGAAACTTGTTTGTGACGTGTGTATTCAACTAACAGAGTTGAACCTTTCTTTTTACAGAGCAGCTTTGAAACCTTGTTTCTGTGGAATCTGCAATTGGAAATTTCGATAGTTCTGAGGATTTCGTTGGAAACGGGATTACAAATAGAAAGTAGACAGCAGCATTCTCAGAAACTGCTTTGTGATGTTTGCATTCAAGTCACCTAGTTGAACATTCCCTTTCATAGAGCAGGTTTGAATCACTGTTTCTGTAGTATCTGGAAGTGGGTATTTCGAGCGCTTTCAGGCCTAAGGTGAGAAAGGAAATGTCTTCAAATAAGAACTAGACAGAAGCATTCTCAGAAACTTATTTGTGATGTGTGTCCTCAACTAACAGAGATGAACCTTTGTTTTGATACAGCAGTTTGGAAACACTCTTTTTGTAGAATCTACAAGAGGATATTTTGAGAGCATTGAAAATTTCGTTGGAAGCGGGAAAACCTTCATATAAAATCTAGACAGCAGCATTCTCAGAAACTTCTTTGTGATGTTTGCATTCAACTCATAGAGTTGAACATTCCCATTCATACAGCAGGTTTGAGACACTCTTTGTATAGCATGTGGAAATGGATATTTGGAGCGCTTTGAGGCCTATGGTGAAGAAGGAAATATCTTCCCAAAAAAAATAGACGAAAGCATTCTCGGAATCTTGTTTGCCATGTGTGTACTCAACTAACAGAGTTGAACCTATCTTTTGACAGAGCAGTTTTGAAACACTCTTTTTGTGGAATCTGCAAGTGGATATTTGGATAGCTTCGAGGATTTCGTTGGAAACGGGAATATCCTCATTTAAAATCTAGACGGAAGCATTCTCAGAACCTGCTTTGTGATGTTTGCATTCAACTCACAGAGCTGAACATTCCCGTTCATAGAGCAGGTTTGAAACACTCTTTCTGTACTATCTGGAAGTGGACATTTCGAGCGCTTTCAGGCCTATGGTGAAAAAGGAAATATCTTCAAATAAAAACTAGACAGAAGCATTCTCAGAAACTTATTTGTGATGTGTGTCCTCAACTCACAGAGTTCAACCTTTGTTTTGATACAGCAGTTTGGAAACACTCTTTTTGTAGAATCTACAAATGGATATTTGGAGACCTTTGAAAATTTCGTTGGACACGGGAATATCTTCATATAAAATCTAGACAAAAGCATTCTCAGAATCTTCTTTGTGATGTTTGCATTCAACTCATAGAGTTGAACATTCCCTTTCATACAGCACGTTTGAAACACACTTTGTGGAGTATGTGGAAATGGACATTTCGAGCACTCTTAGGCCTAAGGTGAAAAGGGAAATATCTTCAAATAAAAACTAGTCAGCAGCATTCTCAGAAACCTCTTTGTGATGTGTGTACTCAACTAACAGAGTTGAACCTTCCTTTTCACAGAGCAGTTTGGAAACACTCTTTTTGTGGCATTTGCAAGTGGATATTTGGATAGATTTGAGGATTTCGTTGGAAACGGGAATATTTTCATATAAAATCTAGACAGAAGCATTCTCAGAATCTTCTTTGTGATGTATGCCCTCAATTCCCAGAGTTGAACCTTTGTTTGGATACAGCATTTTGGAAACATTCCTTTTGTAGAATCTGCAAGTTGATATTTGGATAGCTTTGAGGATTTCGTTGGAAACGGGAATATCTACATATAAAATCTAGACAGAAGCATTCTCAGAAACCTCTTTGTAATGCTTGCATTCAACTCATAGGTTTCAACATTCCCTATCATAGAGCAGGTTTGAAACACTCTTTTTGTAGTATGTGGAAGTGGACATTTGGAGCGCTTTGAGGCCTACGGTGAAAAAGGAAATATCTTCCCATAAAAACTAGACAGAAGCATTCTCAGAAACTTGTTTGTGACGTGTGTATTCAACTAACAGAGTTGAACCTTTCTTTTTACAGAGCAGCTTTGAAACCCTGTTTCTGTGGAATCTGCAATTGGAAATTTCGATAGTTCTGAGGATTTCGTTGGAAACGGGATTACAAATAGAAAGTAGACAGCAGCATTCTCAGAAACTGCTTTGTGATGTTTGCATTCAAGTCACCTAGTTGAACATTCCCTTTCATAGAGCAGGTTTGAATCACTGTTTCTGTAGTATCTGGAAGTGGGTATTTCGAGCGCTTTCAGGCCTAAGGTGAGAAAGGAAATGTCTTCAAATAAGAACTAGACAGAAGCATTCTCAGAAACTTATTTGTGATGTGTGTCCTCAACTAACAGAGATGAACCTTTGTTTTGATACAGCAGTTTGGAAACACTCTTTTTGTAGAATCTACAAGAGGATATTTTGAGAGCATTGAAAATTTCGTTGGAAGCGGGAAAACCTTCATATAAAATCTAGACAGCAGCATTCTCAGAAACTTCTTTGTGATGTTTGCATTCAACTCATAGAGTTGAACATTCCCATTCATACAGCAGGTTTGAGACACTCTTTGTATAGCATGTGGAAATGGATATTTGGAGCGCTTTGAGGCCTATGGTGAAGAAGGAAATATCTTCCCAAAAAAACTAGATGAAAGCATTCTCGGAATCTTGTTTGCCATGTGTGTACTCAACTAACAGAGTTGAACCTATCTTTTGACAGAGCAGTTTTGAAACACTCTTTTTGTGGAATCTGCAAGTGGATATTTGGATAGCTTCGAGGATTTCGTTGGAAACGGGAATATCCTCATTTAAAATCTAGACGGAAGCATTCTCAGAACCTGCTTTGTGATGTTTGCATTCAACTCACAGAGCTGAACATTCCCGTTCATAGAGCAGGTTTGAAACACTCTTTCTGCACTATCTGGAAGTGGACATTTCGAGCGCTTTCAGGCCTATGGTGAAAAAGGAAACATCTTCAAATAAAAACTAGACAGAAGCATTCTCAGAAACTTATTTGTGATGTGTGTCCTCAACTCACAGAGTTCAACCTTTGTTTTGATACAGCAGTTTGGAAACACTCTTTTTGTAGAATCTACAAATGGATATTTGGAGACCTTTGAAAATTTCGTTGGACACGGGAATATCTTCATATAAAATCTAGACAAAAGCATTCTCAGAATCTTCTTTGTGATGTTTGCATTCAACTCATAGAGTTGAACATTCCCTTTCATACAGCACGTTTGAAACACACTTTGTGGAGTATGTGGAAATGGACATTTCGAGCACTCTTAGGCCTAAGGTGAAAAGGGAAATATCTTCAAATAAAAACTAGTCAGCAGCATTCTCAGAAACCTCTTTGTGATGTGTGTACTCAACTAACAGAGTTGAACCTTCCTTTTCACAGAGCAGTTTGGAAACACTCTTTTTGTGGCATTTGCAAGTGGCTATTTGGATAGCTTTGAGGATTTCGTTGGAAACGGGAATATTTTCATATAAAATCTAGACAGAAGCATTCTCAGAATCTTCTTTGTGATGTATGCCCTCAATTCACAGAGTTGAACCTTTGTTTGGATACAGCATTTTGGAAACATTCCTTTTGTAGAATCTGCAAGTTGATATTTGGATAGCTTTGAGGATTTCGTTGGAAACGGGAATATCTACATATAAAATCTAGACAGAAGCATTCTCAGAAACCTCTTTCTAATGTTTGCATTCAACTCATAGGTTTCAACATTCCCTATCATAGAGCAGGTTTGAAACACTCTTTTTGTAGTATGTGGAAGTGGACATTTGGAGCGCTTTGAGGCCTACGGTGAAAAAGGAAATATCTTCCCATAAAAACTAGACAGAAGCATTCTCAGAAACTTGTTTGTGACGTGTGTATTCAACTAACAGAGTTGAACCTTTCTTTTTACAGAGCAGCTTTGAAACACGCTTTTTGTGGAATCTGCAATTGGAAATTTTGATAGTTCTGAGGATTTCGTTGGAAACGGGATTACGAATAGAAAGTAGACAGCAGCATTCTCAGAAACTTATTTGTGATGTGTGTCCTCAACTAACAGAGTTGAACCTTTCTTTTGACACAGCAGTTTGGAAACACTCTTTTTGTAGAATCTACAAGTGGATATTTTGAGAGCATTGAAAATTTCGTTGGAAACGGGAAAACCTTCATATAAAATCTAGACAGAAGCATTCTCAGAAACTTCTTTGTAATGTTTGCATTCAACTCATAGAGTTGAACATTCCCTTTCATACAGCAGGTTTGAAACACTCTTTTTGTAGTATGTGGAAGTGGACATTTGGAGCGCTTTCAGGCCTACGGTGAAAAAGGAAATATCTTCCCATAAAAACTAGACAGAAGCATTCTCAGAAACTTGTTTGTGACGTGTGTATTCAACTAACAGAGTTGAACCTTTCTTTTTACAGAGCAGCTTTGAAACCCTGTTTCTGTGGAATCTGCAATTGGAAATTTCGATAGTTCTGAGGATTTCGTTGGAAACGGGATTACAAATAGAAAGTAGACAGCAGCATTCTCAGAAACTGCTTTGTGATGTTTGCATTCAAGTCACCTAGTTGAACATTCTCTTTCATAGAGCAGGTTTGAATCACTGTTTCTGTCGTATCTGGAAGTGGATATTTCGAGCGTTTTCAGGCCTAAGGTGAGAAAGGAAATGTCTTCAAATAAGAACTAGACAGAAGCATTCTCAGAAACTTATTTGTGATGTGTGTCCTCAACTAACAGAGTTGAACCTTTCTTTTGACACAGCAGTTTGGAAACACTCTTTTTGTAGAATCTACAAGTGGATATTTTGAGAGCATTGAAAATTTCGTTGGAAACGGGAAAACCTTCATATAAAATCTAGACAGAAGCATTCTCAGAAACTTCTTTGTAATGTTTGCATTCAACTCATAGAGTTGAACATTCCCTTTCATACAGCAGGTTTGAAACACTCTTTTTGTAGTATGTGGAAGTGGACATTTGGAGCGCTTTGAGGCCTACGGTGAAAAAGGAAATATCTTCCCATAAAAACTAGACAGAAGCATTCTCAGAAACTTGTTTGTGACGTGTGTATTCAACTAACAGAGTTGAACCTTTCTTTTTACAGAGCAGCTTTGAAACCCTGTTTCTGTGGAATCTGCAATTGGAAATTTCGATAGTTCTGAGGATTTCGTTGGAAACGGGATTACAAATAGAAAGTAGACAGCAGCATTCTCAGAAACTGCTTTGTGATGTTTGCATTCAAGTCACATAGTTGAACATTCCCTTTCATAGAGCAGGTTTGAATCACTGTTTCTGTAGTATCTGGAAGTGGGTATTTCGAGCGCTTTCAGGCCTAAGGTGAGAAAGGAAATGTCTTCAAATAAGAACTAGACAGAAGCATTCTCAGAAACTGATTTGTGATGTGTGTCCTCAACTAACAGAGATGAACCTTTGTTTTGATACAGCAGTTTGGAAACACTCTTTTTGTAGAATCTACAAGAGGATATTTTGAGAGCATTGAAAATTTCGTTGGAAGCGGGAAAACCTTCATATAAAATCTAGACAGCAGCATTCTCAGAAACTTCTTTGTGATGTTTGCATTCAACTCATAGAGTTGAACATTCCCATTCATACAGCAGGTTTGAGACACTCTTTGTATAGCATGTGGAAATGGATATTTGGAGCGCTTTGAGGCCTATGGTGAAGAAGGAAATATCTTCCCAAAAAAACTAGACGAAAGCATTCTCAGAATCTTGTTTGCCATGTGTGTACTCAACTAACAGAGTTGAACCTATCTTTTGACAGAGCAGTTTTGAAACACTCTTTTTGTGGAATCTGCAAGTGGATATTTGGATAGCTTCGAGGATTTCGTTGGAAACGGGAATATCCTCATTTAAAATCTAGACGGAAGCATTCTCAGAACCTGCTTTGTGATGTTTGCATTCAACTCACAGAGCTGAACATTCCCGTTCATAGAGCAGGTTTGAAACACTCTTTCTGTACTATCTGGAAGTGGACATTTCGAGCGCTTTCAGGCCTATGGTGAAAAAGGAAACATCTTCAAATAAAAACTAGACAGAAGCATTCTCAGAAACTTATTTGTGATGTGTGTCCTCAACTCACAGAGTTCAACATTTGTTTTGATACAGCAGTTTGGAAACAATCTTTATTTGGAGACATTTGAAAATTTCGTTGGACACGGGAATATCTTCATATAAAATCTAGACAAAAGCATTCTCAGAATCTTCTTTGTGATGTTTGCATTCAACTCATAGAGTTGAACATTCCCTTTCATACAGCACGTTTGAAACACACTTTGTGGAGTATGTGGAAATGGACATTTCGAGCACTCTTAGGCCTAAGGTGAAAAGGGAAATATCTTCAAATAAAAACTAGTCAGCAGCATTCTCAGAAACCTCTTTGTGATGTGTGTACTCAACTAACAGAGTTGAACCTTCCTTTTCACAGAGCAGTTTGGAAACACTCTTTTTGTGGCATTTGCAAGTGGATATTTGGATAGCTTTGAGGATTTCGTTGGAAACGGGAATATTTTCATATAAAATCTAGACAGAAGCATTCTCAGAATCTTCTTTGTGATGTATGCCCTCAATTCACAGAGTTGAACCTTTGTTTGGATACAGCATTTTGGAAACATTCCTTTTGTAGAATCTGCAAGTTGATATTTGGATAGTTTGAGGATTTCGTTGGAAACGGGAATATCTACATATAAAATCTAGACAGAAGCATTCTCAGAAACCTCTTTGTAATGCTTGCATTCAACTCATAGGTTTCAACATTCCCTATCATAGAGCAGGTTTGAAACACTCTTTTTGTAGTATGTGGAAGTGGACATTTGGAGCGCTTTGAGGCCTACGGTGAAAAAGGAAATATCTTCCCATAAAAACTAGACAGAAGCATTCTCAGAAACTTGTTTGTGACGTGTGTATTCAACTAACAGAGTTGAACCTTTCTTTTTACAGAGCAGCTTTGAAACACGCTTTTTGTGGAATCTGCAATTGGAAATTTCGATAGTTCTGAGGATTTCGTTGGAAACGGGATTACAAATAGAAAGTAGACAGCAGCATTCTCAGAAACTGCTTTGTGATGTTTGCATTCAAGTCACCTAGTTGAACATTCCCTTTCATAGAGCAGGTTTGAATCACTGTTTCTGTCGTATCTGGAAGTGGATATTTCGAGCGTTTTCAGGCCTAAGGTGAGAAAGGAAATGTCTTCAAATAAGAACTAGACAGAAGCATTCTCAGAAACTTATTTGTGATGTGTGTCCTCAACTAACAGAGTTGAACCTTTCTTTTGACACAGCAGTTTGGAAACACTCTTTTTGTAGAATCTACAAGTGGATATTTTGAGAGCATTGAAAATTTCGTTGGAAACGGGAAAACCTTCATATAAAATCTAGACAGAAGCATTCTCAGAAACTTCTTTGTAATGTTTGCATTCAACTCATAGAGTTGAACATTCCCTTTCATACAGCAGGTTTGAAACACTCTTTTTGTAGTATGTGGACGTGGACATTTGGAGCGCTTTGAGGCCTACGGTGAAAAAGGAAATATCTTCCCATAAAAACTAGACAGAAGCATTCTCAGAAACTTGTTTGTGACGTGTGTATTCAACTAACAGAGTTGAACCTTTCTTTTTACAGAGCAGCTTTGAAACCCTGTTTCTGTGGAATCTGCAATTGGAAATTTCGATAGTTCTGAGGATTTCGTTGGAAACGGGATTACAAATAGAAAGTAGACAGCAGCATTCTCAGAAACTGCTTTGTGATGTTTGCATTCAAGTCACCTAGTTGAACATTCCCTTTCATAGAGCAGGTTTGAATCACTGTTTCTGTAGTATCTGGAAGTGGGTATTTCGAACGCTTTCAGGCCTAAGGTGAGAAAGGAAATGTCTTCAAATAAGAACTAGACAGAAGCATTCTCAGAAACTTATTTGTGATGTGTGTCCTCAACTAACAGAGATGAACCTTTGTTTTGATACAGCAGTTTGGAAACACTCTTTTTGTAGAATCTACAAGAGGATATTTTGAGAGCATTGAAAATTTCGTTGGAAGCGGGAAAACCTTCATATAAAATCTAGACAGCAGCATTCTCAGAAACTTCTTTGTGATGTTTGCATTCAACTCATAGAGTTGAACATTCCCATTCATACAGCAGGTTTGAGACACTCTTTGTATAGCATGTGGAAATGGATATTTGGAGCGCTTTGAGGCCTATGGTGAAGAAGGAAATATCTTCCCAAAAAAACTAGACGAAAGCATTCTCGCAATCTTGTTTGCCATGTGTGTACTCAACTAACGGAGTTGAACCTATCTTTTGACAGAGCAGTTTTGAAACACTCTTTTTGTGGAATCTGCAAGTGGATATTTGGATAGCTTCGAGGATTTCGTTGGAAACGGGAATATCCTCATTTAAAATCTAGACGGAAGCATTCTCATAACCTGCTTTGTGATGTTTGCATTCAACTCACAGAGCTGAACATTACCGTTCATAGAGCAGGTTTGAAACACTCTTTCTGTACTATCTGGAAGTGGACATTTCGAGCGCTTTCAGGCCTATGGTGAAAAAGGAAATATCTTCAAATAAAAACTAGACAGAAGCATTCTCAGAAACTTATTTGTGATGTGTGTCCTCAACTCACAGAGTTCAACCTTTGTTTTGATACAGCAGTTTGGAAACACTCTTTTTGTAGAAACTACAAATGGATATTTGGAGACCTTTGAAAATTTCGTTGGACACGGGAATATCTTCATATAAAATCTAAACAAAAGCATTCTCAGAATCTTCTTTGTGATGTTTGCATTCAACTCATAGAGTTGAACATTCCCTTTCATACAGCACGTTTGAAACACACTTTGTGGAGTATGTGGAAATGGACATTTCGAGCACTCTTAGGCCTAAGGTGAAAAGAGAAATATCTTCAAATAAAAACTAGTCAGCAGCATTCTCAGAAACCTCTTTGTGATGTGTGTACTCAACTAACAGAGTTGAACCTTCCTTTTCACAGAGCAGTTTGGAAACACTCTTTTTGTGGCATTTGCAAGTGGATATTTGGATAGCTTTGAGGATTTCGTTGGAAACGGGAATATTTTCATATAAAATCTAGACAGAAGCATTCTCAGAATCTTTGTGATGTATGCCCTCAATTCACAGAGTTGAACCTTTGTTTGGATACAGCATTTTGGAAACATTCCTTTTGTAGAATCTGCAAGTTGATATTTGGATAGCTTTGAGGATTTCGTTGGAAACGGGAATATCTACATATAAAATCTAGACAGAAGCATTCTCAGAAACCTCTTTGTAATGCTTGCATTCAACTCATAGGTTTCAACATTCCCTATCATAGAGCAGGTTTGAAACACTCTTTTTGTAGTATGTGGAAGTGGACATTTGGAGCACTTTGAGGCCTACGGTGAAAAAGGAAATATCTTCCCATAAAAACTAGACAGAAGCATTCTCAGAAACTTGTTTGTGACGTGTGTATTCAACTAACAGAGTTGAACCTTTCTTTTTACAGAGCAGCTTTGAAACACGCTTTTTGTGGAATCTGCAATTGGAAATTTCGATAGTTCTGAGGATTTCGTTGGAAACGGGATTACAAATAGAAAGTAGACAGCAGCATTCTCAGAAACTGCTTTCTGATGTTTGCATTCAAGTCACCTAGTTGAACATTCCCTTTCATAGAGCAGGTTTGAATCACTGTTTCTGTCGTATCTGGAAGTGGATATTTCGAGCGTTTTCAGGCCTAAGGTGAGAAAGGAAATGTCTTCAAATAAGAACTAGACAGAAGCATTCTCAGAAACTTATTTGTGATGTGTGTCCTCAACTAACAGAGATGAACCTTTGTTTTGATACAGCAGTTTGGAAACACTCTTTTTGTAGAATCTACAAGAGGATATTTTGAGAGCATTGAAAATTTCGTTGGAAGCGGGAAAACCTTCATATAAAATCTAGACAGCAGCATTCTCAGAAACTTCTTTGTGATGTTTGCATTCAACTCATAGAGTTGAACATTCCCATTCATACAGCAGGTTTGAGACACTCTTTGTATAGCATGTGGAAATGGATATTTGGAGCGCTTTGAGGCCTATGGTGAAGAAGGAAATATCTTCCCAAAAAAACTAGACGAAAGCATTCTCGGAATCTTGTTTGCCATGTGTGTACTCAACTAACAGAGTTGAACCTATCTTTTGACAGAGCAGTTTTGAAACACTCTTTTTGTGGAATCTGCAAGTGGATATTTGGATAGCTTCGAGGATTTTGTTGGAAACGGGAATATCCTCATTTAAAATCTAGACGGAAGCATTCTCAGAACCTGCTTTGTGATGTTTGCATTCAACTCACAGAGCTGAACATTCCCGTTCATAGAGCAGGTTTGAAACACTCTTTCTGTACTATCTGGAAGTGGACATTTCGAGCGCTTTCAGGCCTATGGTGAAAAAGGAAACATCTTCAAATAAAAACTAGACAGAAGCATTCTCAGAAACTTATTTGTGATGTGTGTCCTCAACTCACAGAGTTCAACCTTTGTTTTGATACAGCAGTTTGGAAACACTCTTTTTGTAGAATCTACAAATGGATATTTGGAGACCTTTGAAAATTTCGTTGGACACGGGAATATCTTCATATAAAATCTAGACAAAAGCATTCTCAGAATCTTCTTTGTGATGTTTGCATTCAACTCATAGAGTTGAACATTCCCTTTCATACAGCACGTTTGAAACACACTTTGTGGAGTATGTGGAAATGGACATTTCGAGCACTCTTAGGCCTAAGGTGAAAAGGGAAATATCTTCAAATAAAAACTAGTCAGCAAGCATTCTCAGAAACCTCTTTGTGATGTGTGTACTCAACTAACAGAGTTGAACCTTCCTTTTCACAGAGCAGTTTGGAAACACTCTTTTTGTGGCATTTGCAAGCGGATATTTGGATAGCTTTGAGGATTTCGTTGGAAACGGGAATATTTTCATATAAAATTTAGACAGAAGCATTCTCAGAATCTTCTTTGTGATGTATGCCCTCAATTCACAGAGTTGAACCTTTGTTTGGATACAGCATTTTGGAAACATTCCTTTTGTAGAATCTGCAAGTTGATATTTGGATAGCTTTGAGGATTTCGTTGGAAACGGGAATATCTACATATAAAATGTAGACAGAAGCATTCTCAGAAACCTCTTTGTAATGTTTGCATTCAACTCATAGGTTTCAACATTCCCTATCATAGAGCAGGTTTGAAACACTCTTTTTGTAGTATGTGGAAGTGGACATTTGGAGCGCTTTGAGGCCTACGGTGAAAAAGGAAATATCTTCCCATAAAAACTAGACAGAAGCATTCTCAGAAACTTGTTTGTGACGTGTGTATTCAACTAACAGAGTTGAACCTTTCTTTTTACAGAGCAGCTTTGAAACCCTGTTTCTGTGGAATCTGCAATTGGAAATTTCGATAGTTCTGAGGATTTCGTTGGAAACGGGATTACAAATAGAAAGTAGACAGCAGGATTCTCAGAAACTGCTTTGTGATGTTTGCATTCAAGTCACCTAGTTGAACATTCCCTTTCATAGAGCAGGTTTGAATCACTGTTTCTGTCGTATCTGGAAGTGGATATTTCGAGCGTTTTCAGGCCTAAGGTGAGAAAGGAAATGTCTTCAAATAAGAACTAGACAGAAGCATTCTCAGAAACTTATTTGTGATGTGTGTCCTCAACTAACAGAGTTGAACCTTTCTTTTGACACAGCAGTTTGGAAACACTCTTTTTGTAGAATCTACAAGTGGATATTTTGAGAGCATTGAAAATTTCGTTGGAAACGGGAAAACCTTCATATAAAATCTAGACAGAAGCATTCTCAGAAACTTCTTTGTAATGTTTGCATTCAACTCATAGAGTTGAACATTCCCTTTCATACAGCAGGTTTGAAACACTCTTTTTGTAGTATGTGGAAGTGGACATTTGGAGCGCTTTGAGGCCTACGGTGAAAAAGGAAATATCTTCCCATAAAAACTAGACAGAAGCATTCTCAGAAACTTGTTTGTGACGTGTGTATTCAACTAACAGAGTTGAACCTTTCTTTTTACAGAGCAGCTTTGAAACACGCTTTTTGTGGAATCTGCAATTGGAAATTTCGATAGTTCTGAGGATTTCGTTGGAAACGGGATTACAAATAGAAAGTAGACAGCAGCATTCTCAGAAACTGCTTTGTGATGTTTGCATTCAAGTCACCTAGTTGAACATTCCCTTTCATAGAGCAGGTTTGAATCACTGTTTCTGTCGTATCTGGAAGTGGATATTTCGAGCGTTTTCAGGCCTAAGGTGAGAAAGGAAATGTATTCAAATAAGAACTAGACAGAAGCATTCTCAGAAACTTATTTGTGATGTGTGTCCTCAACTAACAGAGTTGAACCTTTCTTTTGACACAGCAGTTTGGAAACACTCTTTTTGTAGAATCTACAAGTGGATATTTTGAGAGCATTGAAAATTTCGTTGGAAACGGGAAAACCTTCATATAAAATCTAGACAGAAGCATTCTCAGAAACTTCTTTGTAATGTTTGCATTCAACTCATAGAGTTGAACATTCCCTTTCATACAGCAGGTTTGAAACACTCTTTTTGTAGTATGTGGAAGTGGACATTTGGAGCGCTTTGAGGCCTACGGTGAAAAAGGAAATATGCTTCCCATAAAAACTAGACAGAAGCATTCTCAGAAACTTGTTTGTGACGTGTGTATTCAACTAACAGAGTTGAACCTTTCTTTTTACAGAGCAGCTTTGAAACCCTGTTTCTGTGGAATCTGCAATTGGAAATTTCGATAGTTCTGAGGATTTCGTTGGAAACGGGATTACAAATAGAAAGTAGACAGCAGCATTCTCAGAAACTGCTTTGTGATGTTTGCATTCAAGTCACATAGTTGAACATTCCCTTTCATAGAGCAGGTTTGAATCACTGTTTCTGTCGTATCTGGAAGTGGATATTTCGAGCGTTTTCAGGCCTAAGGTGAGAAAGGAAATGTCTTCAAATAAGAACTAGACAGAAGCATTCTCAGAAACTTGTGATGTGTGTCCTCAACTAACAGAGTTGAACCTTTCTTTTGACACAGCAGTTTGGAAACACTCTTTTTGTAGAATCTACAAGTGGATATTTTGAGAGCATTGAAAATTTCGTTGGAAACGGGAAAACCTTCATATAAAATCTAGACAGAAGCATTCTCAGAAACTTCTTTGTAATGTTTGCATTCAACTCATAGAGTTGAACATTCCCTTTCATACAGCAGGTTTGAAACACTCTTTTTGTAGTATGTGGAAGTGGACATTTGGAGCGCTTGAGGCCTACGGTGAAAAAGGAAATATCTTCCCATAAAAACTAGACAGAAGCATTCTCAGAAACATGTTTGTGACGTGTGTATTCAACAAACAGAGTTGAACCTTTCTTTTTACAGAGCAGCTTTGAAACCCTGTTTTTGTGGAATCTGCAATTGGAAATTTCGATAGTTCTGAGGATTTCGTTGGAAACGGGATTACAAATAGAAAGTAGACAGCAGCATTCTCAGAAACTGCTTTGTGATGTTTGCATTCAAGTCACATAGTTGAACATTCCCTTTCATAGAGCAGGTTTGAATCACTGTTTCTGTAGTATCTGGAAGTGGGTATTTCGAGCGCTTTCAGGCCTAAGGTGAGAAAGGAAATGTCTTCAAATAAGAACTAGACAGAAGCATTCTCAGAAACTTATTTGTGATGTGTGTCCTCAACTAACAGAGATGAACCTTTGTTTTGATACAGCAGTTTGGAAACACTCTTTTTGTAGAATCTACAAGAGGATATTTTGAGAGCATTGAAAATTTCGTTGGAAGCGGGAAAACCTTCATATAAAATCTAGACAGCAGCATTCTCAGAAACTTCTTTGTGATGTTTGCATTCAACTCATAGAGTTGAACATTCCCATTCATACAGCAGGTTTGAGACACTCTTTGTATAGCATGTGGAAATGGATATTTGGAGCGCTTTGAGGCCTATGGTGAAGAAGGAAATATCTTCCCAAAAAAACTAGACGAAAGCATTCTCGGAATCTTGTTTGCCATGTGTGTACTCAACTAACAGAGTTGAACCTATCTTTTGACAGAGCAGTTTTGAAACACTCTTTTTGTGGAATCTGCAAGTGGATATTTGGATAGCTTCGAGGATTTCCTTGGAAACGGGAATATCCTCATTTAAAATCTAGACGGAAGCATTCTCAGAACCTGCTTTGTGATGTTTGCATTCAACTCACAGAGCTGAACATTCCCGTTCATAGAGCAGGTTTGAAACACTCTTTCTGTACTATCTGGAAGTGGACATTTCGAGCGCTTTCAGGCCTATGGTGAAAAAGGAAACATCTTCAAATAAAAACTAGACAGAAGCATTCTCAGAAACTTATTTGTGATGTGTGTCCTCAACTCACAGAGTTCAACCTTTGTTTTGATACAGCAGTTTGGAAACACTCTTTTTGTAGAATCTACAAATGGATATTTGGAGACCTTTGAAAATTTCGTTGGACACGGGAATATCTTCATATAAAATCTAGACAAAAGCATTCTCAGAATCTTCTTTGTGATGTTTGCATTCAACTCATAGAGTTGAACATTCCCTTTCATACAGCACGTTTGAAACACACTTTGTGGAGTATGTGGAAATGGACATTTCGAGCACTCTTAGGCCTAAGGTGAAAAGGGAAATATCTTCAAATAAAAACTAGTCAGCAGCATTCTCAGAAACCTCTTTGTGATGTGTGTCCTCAACTAACAGAGTTGAACCTTTCCTTTGACACAGCAGATTGGAAACACTCTTTTTGTAGAATCTACAAGTGGATATTTTGAGAGCATTGAAAATTTCCTTGGAAACGGGAAAACCTTCATATAAAATCTAGACAGAAGCATTCTCAGAAACTTCTTTGTAATGTTTGCATTCAAGTCATAGAGTTGAACATTCCCTTTCATACAGCAGGTTTGAAACACTCTTTTTGTAGTATGTGGAAGTGGACATTTGGAGCGCTTTGAGGCCTACGGTGAAAAAGGAAATATCTTCCCATAAAAACTAGACAGAAGCATTCTCAGAAACTTGTTTGTGACGTGTGTATTCAACTAACAGAGTTGAACCTTTCTTTTTACAGAGCAGCTTTGAAACCCTGTTTCTGTGGAATCTGCAATTGGAAATTTCGATAGTTCTGAGGATTTCGTTGGAAACGGGATTACAAATAGAAAGTAGACAGCAGCATTCTCAGAAACTGCTTTGTGATGTTTGCATTCAAGTCACGTAGTTGAACATTCCCTTTCATAGAGCAGGTTTGAATCACTGTTTCTGTAGTATCTGGAAGTGGGTATTTCGAGCGCTTTCAGGCCTAAGGTGAGAAAGGAAATGTCTTCAAATAAGAACTAGACAGAAGCATTCTCAGAAACTTATTTGTGATGTGTGTCCTCAACTAACAGAGATGAACCTTTGTTTTGATACAGCAGTTTGGAAACACTCTTTTTGTAGAATCTACAAGAGGATATTTTGAGAGCATTGAAAATTTCGTTGGAAGCGGGAAAACCTTCATATAAAATCTAGACAGCAGCATTCTCAGAAACTTCTTTGTGATGTTTGCATTCAACTCATAGAGTTGAACATTCCCATTCATACAGCAGGTTTGAGACACTCTTTGTATAGCATGTGGAAATGGATATTTGGAGCGCTTTGATGCCTATGGTGAAGAAGGAAATATCTTCCCAAAAAAACTAGACGAAAGCATTCTCGGAATCTTGTTTGCCATGTGTGTACTCAACTAACAGAGTTGAACCTATCTTTTGACAGAGCAGTTTTGAAACACTCTTTTTGTGGAATCTGCAAGTGGATATTTGGATAGCTTCGAGGATTTCGTTGGAAACGGGAATATCCTCATTTAAAATCTAGACGGAAGCATTCTCAGAACCTGCTTTGTGATGTTTGCATTCAACTCACAGAGCTGAACATTCCCGTTCATAGAGCAGGTTTGAAACACTCTTTCTGTACTATCTGGAAGTGGACATTTCGAGCGCTTTCAGGCCTATGGTGAAAAAGGAAACATCTTCAAATAAAAACTAGACAGAAGCATTCTCAGAAACTTATTTGTGATGTGTGTCCTCAACTCACAGAGTTCAACCTTTGTTTTGATACAGCAGTTTGGAAACACTCTTTTTGTAGAATCTACAAATGGATATTTGGAGACCTTTGAAAATTTCGTTGGACACGGGAATATCTTCATATAAAATCTAGACAAAAGCATTCTCAGAATCTTCTTTGTGATGTTTGCATTCAACTCATAGAGTTGAACATTCCCTTTCATACAGCACGTTTGAAACACACTTTGTGGAGTATGTGGAAATGGACATTTCGAGCACTCTTAGGCCTAAGGTGAAAAGGGAAATATCTTCAAATAAAAACTAGTCAGCAGCATTCTCAGAAACCTCTTTGTGATGTGTGTACTCAACTAACAGAGTTGAACCTTCCTTTTCACAGAGCAGTTTGGAAACACTCTTTTTGTGGCATTTGCAAGTGGATATTTGGATAGCTTTGAGGATTTCGTTGGAAACGGGAATATTTTCATATAAAATCTAGACAGAAGCATTCTCAGAATCTTCTTTGTGATGTATGCCCTCAATTCCCAGAGTTGAACCTTTGTTTGGATACAGCATTTTGGAAACATTCCTTTTGTAGAATCTGCAAGTTGATATTTGGATAGCTTTGAGGATTTCGTTGGAAACGGGAATATCTACATATAAAATCTAGACAGAAGCATTCTCAGAAACCTCTTTGTAATGCTTGCATTCAACTCATAGGTTTCAACATTCCCTATCATAGAGCAGGTTTGAAACACTCTTTTTGTAGTATGTGGAAGTGGACATTTGGAGCGCTTTGAGGCCTACGGTGAAAAAGGAAATATCTTCCCATAAAAACTAGACAGAAGCATTCTCAGAAACTTGTTTGTGACGTGTGTATTCAACTAACAGAGTTGAACCTTTCTTTTTACAGAGCAGCTTTCAAACACGCTTTTTGTGGAATCTGCAATTGGAAATTTCGATAGTTCTGAGGATTTCGTTGGAAACGGGATTACAAATAGAAAGTAGACAGCAGCATTCTCAGAAACTGCTTTGTGATGTTTGCATTCAAGTCACCTAGTTGAACATTCCCTTTCATAGAGCAGGTTTGAATCACTGTTTCTGTCGTATCTGGAAGTGGATATTTCGAGCGTTTTCAGGCCTAAGGTGAGAAAGGAAATGTCTTCAAATAAGAACTAGACAGAAGCATTCTCAGAAACTTATTTGTGATGTGTGTCCTCAACTAACAGAGTTGAACCTTTCTTTTGACACAGCAGTTTGGAAACACTCTTTTTGTAGAATCTACAAGTGGATATTTTGAGAGCATTGAAAATTTCGTTGGAAACGGGAAAACCTTCATATAAAATCTAGACAGAAGCATTCTCAGAAACTTCTTTGTAATGTTTGCATTCGACTCATAGAGTTGAACATTCCCTTTCATACAGCAGGTTTGAAACACTCTTTTTGTAGTATGTGGAAGTGGACATTTGGAGCGCTTTGAGGCCTACGGTGAAAAAGGAAATATCTTCCCATAAAAACTAGACAGAAGCATTCTCAGAAACTTGTTTGTGACGTGTGTATTCAACTAACAGAGTTGAACCTTTCTTTTTACAGAGCAGCTTTGAAACCCTGTTTCTGTGGAATCTGCAATTGGAAATTTCGATAGTTCTGAGGATTTCGTTGGAAACGGGATTACAAATAGAAAGTAGACAGCAGCATTCTCAGAAACTGCTTTGTGATGTTTGCATTCAAGTCACATAGTTGAACATTCCCTTTCATAGAGCAGGTTTGAATCCCTGTTTCTGTCGTATCTGGAAGTGGGTATTTCGAGCGTTTTCAGGCCTAAGGTGAGAAAGGAAATGTCTTCAAATAAGAACTAGACAGAAGCATTCTCAGAAACTTATTTGTGATGTGTGTCCTCAACTAACAGAGATGAACCTTTGTTTTGATACAGCAGTTTGGAAACACTCTTTTTGTAGAATCTACAAGAGGATATTTTGAGAGCATTGAAAATTTCGTTGGAAGCGGGAAAACCTTCATATAAAATCTAGACAGCAGCATTCTCAGAAACTTCTTTGTGATGTTTGCATTCAACTCATAGAGTTGAACATTCCCATTCATACAGCAGGTTTGAGACACTCTTTGTATAGCATGTGGAAATGGATATTTGGAGCGCTTTGAGGCCTATGGTGAAGAAGGAAATATCTTCCCAAAAAAACTAGACGAAAGCATTCTCGGAATCTTGTTTGCCATGTGTGTACTCACCTAACAGAGTTGAACCTATCTTTTGACAGAGCAGTTTTGAAACACTCTTTTTGTGGAATCTGCAAGTGGATATTTGGATAGCTTCGAGGATTTCGTTGGAAACGGGAATATCCTCATTTAAAATCTAGACGGAAGCATTCTCAGAACCTGCTTTGTGATGTTTGCATTCAACTCACAGAGCTGAACATTCCCGTTCATAGAGCAGGTTTGAAACACTCTTTCTGTACTATCTGGAAGTGGACATTTCGAGCGCTTTCAGGCCTATGGTGAAAAAGGAAACATCTTCAAATAAAAACTAGACAGAAGCATTCTCAGAAACTTATTTGTGATGTGTGTCCTCAACTCACAGAGTTCAACCTTTGTTTTGATACAGCAGTTTGGAAACACTCTTTTTGTAGAATCTACAAATGGATATTTGGAGACCTTTGAAAATTTCGTTGGACACGGGAATATCTTCATATAAAATCTAGACAAAAGCATTCTCAGAGTCTTCTTTGTGATGTTTGCATTCAACTCATAGAGTTGAACATTCCCTTTCATACAGCACGTTTGAAACACACTTTGTGGAGTATGTGGAAATGGACATTTCGAGCACTCTTAGGCCTAAGGTGAAAAGGGAAATATCTTCAAATAAAAACTAGTCAGCAGCATTCTCAGAAACCTCTTTGTGATGTGTGTACTCAACTAACAGAGTTGAACCTTCCTTTTCACAGAGCAGTTTGGAAACACTCTTTTTGTGGCATTTGCAAGTGGATATTTAGATAGCTTTGAGGATTTCGTTGGAAACGGGAATATTTTCATATAAAATCTAGACAGAAGCATTCTCAGAATCTTCTTTGTGATGTATGCCCTCAATTCACAGAGTTGAACCTTTGTTTGGATACAGCATTTTGGAAACATTCCTTTTGTAGAATCTGCAAGTTGATATTTGGATAGCTTTGAGGATTTCGTTGGAAACGGGAATATCTACATATAAAATCTAGACAGAAGCATTCTCAGAAACCTCTTTGTAATGCTTGCATTCAACTCATAGGCTTCAACATTCCCTATCATAGAGCAGGTTTGAAACACTCTTTTTGTAGTATGTGGAAGTGGACATTTGGAGCGCTTTGAGGCCTACGGTGAAAAAGGAAATATCTTCCCATAAAAACTAGACAGAAGCATTCTCAGAAACTTGTTTGTGACGTGTGTATTCAACTAACAGAGTTGAACCTTTCTTTTTACAGAGCAGCTTTGAAACACGCTTTTTGTGGAATCTGCAATTGGAAATTTCGATAGTTCTGAGGATTTCGTTGGAAACGGGATTACAAATAGAAAGTAGACAGCAGCATTCTCAGAAACTGCTTTGTGATGTTTGCATTCAAGTCACCTAGTTGAACATTCCCTTTCATAGAGCAGGTTTGAATCACTGTTTCTGTCGTATCTGGAAGTGGGTATTTCGAGCGCTTTCAGGCCTAAGGTGAGAAAGGAAATGTCTTCAAATAAGAACTAGACAGAAGCATTCTCAGAAACTTATTTGTGATGTGTGTCCTCAACTAACAGAGATGAACCTTTGTTTTGATACAGCAGTTTGGAAACACTCTTTTTGTAG
This sequence comes from Homo sapiens, assembly GCF_000001405.40. Taxonomy (NCBI): domain Eukaryota; kingdom Metazoa; phylum Chordata; class Mammalia; order Primates; family Hominidae; genus Homo; species Homo sapiens. The sequence continues at coordinate 19,341,815 of NC_000015.10, forward strand.
AATCTACAAGAGGATATTTTGAGAGCATTGAAAATTTCGTTGGAAGCGGGAAAACCTTCATATAAAATCTAGACAGCAGCACTCTCAGAAACTTCTTTGTGATGTTTGCATTCAACTCATAGAGTTGAACATTCCCATTCATACAGCAGGTTTGAGACACTCTTTGTATAGCATGTGGAAATGGATATTTGGAGCGCTTTGAGGCCTATGGTGAAGAAGGAAATATCTTCCCAAAAAAACTAGACGAAAGCATTCTCGCAATCTTGTTTGCCATGTGTGTACTCAACTAACAGAGTTGAACCTATCTTTTGACAGAGCAGTTTTGAAACACTCTTTTTGTGGAATCTGCAAGTGGATATTTGGATAGCTTCGAGGATTTCTTTGGAAACGGGAATATCCTCATTTAAAATCTAGACGGAAGCATTCTCAGAACCTGCTTTGTGATGTTTGCATTCAACTCACAGAGCTGAACATTCCCGTTCATAGAGCAGGTTTGAAACACTCTTTCTGTACTATCTGGAAGTGGACATTTCGAGCGCTTTCAGGCCTATGGTGAAAAAGGAAACATCTTCAAATAAAAACTAGACAGAAGCATTCTCAGAAACTTATTTGTGATGTGTGTCCTCAACTCACAGAGTTCAACCTTTGTTTTGATACAGCAGTTTGGAAACACTCTTTTTGTAGAATCTACAAATGGATATTTGGAGACCTTTGAAAATTTCGTTGGACACGGGAATATCTTCATATAAAATCTAGACAAAAGCATTCTCAGAATCTTCTTTGTGATGTTTGCATTCAACTCATAGAGTTGAACATTCCCTTTCATACAGCACGTTTGAAACACACTTTGTGGAGTATGTGGAAATGGACATTTCGAGCACTCTTAGGCCTAAGGTGAAAAGGGAAATATCTTCAAATAAAAACTAGTCAGCAGCATTCTCAGAAACCTCTTTGTGATGTGTGTACTCAACTAACAGAGTTGAACCTTCCTTTTCACAGAGCAGTTTGGAAACACTCTTTTTGTGGCATTTGCAAGTGGATATTTGGATAGCTTTGAGGATTTCGTTGGAAACGGGAATATTTTCATATAAAATCTAGACAGAAGCATTCTCAGAATCTTCTTTGTGATGTATGCCCTCAATTCACAGAGTTGAACCTTTGTTTGGATACAGCATTTTGGAAACATTCCTTTTGCAGAATCTGCAAGTTGATATTTGGATAGCTTTGAGGATTTCGTTGGAAACGGGAATATCTACATATAAAATCTAGACAGAAGCATTCTCAGAAACCTCTTTGTAATGCTTGCATTCAACTCATAGGTTTCAACATTCCCTATCATAGAGCAGGTTTGAAACACTCTTTTTGTAGTATGTGGAAGTGGACATTTGGAGCGCTTTGAGGCCTACGGTGAAAAAGGAAATATCTTCCCATAAAAACTAGACAGAAGCATAATCAGAAACTTGTTTGTGACGTGTGTATTCAACTAACAGAGTTGAACCTTTCTTTTTTACAGAGCAGCTTTGAAACCCTGTTTCTGTGGAATCTGCAATTGGAAATTTCGATGGTTCTGAGGATTTCGTTGGAAACGGGATTACAAATAGAAAGTAGACAGCCAGCATTCTCAGAAACTGCTTTGTGATGTTTGCATTCAAGTCACCTAGTTGAACATTCCCTTTCATAGAGCAGGTTTGAATCACTGTTTCTGTAGTATCTGGAAGTGGGTATTTCGAGCGCTTTCAGGCCTAAGGTGAGAAAGGAAATGTCTTCAAATAAGAACTAGACAGAGCATTCTCAGAAACTTATTTGTGATTTGTGTCCTCAACTAACAGAGATGAACCTTTGTTTTGATACAGCAGTTTGGAAACACTCTTTTTGTAGAATCTACAAGAGGATATTTTGAGAGCATTGAAAATTTCGTTGGAAGCGGGAAAACCTTCATATAAAATCTAGACAGCAGCATTCTCAGAAACTTCTTTGTGATGTTTGCATTCAACTCATAGAGTTGAACATTCTCATTCATACAGCAGGTTTGAGACACTCTTTGTATAGCATGTGGAAATGGATATTTGGAGCGCTTTGAGGCCTATGGTGAAGAAGGAAATATCTTCCCAAAAAAACTAGACGAAGGCATTCTCGCAATCTTGTTTGCCATGTGTGTACTCAACTAACAGAGTTGAACCTATCTTTTGACAGAGCAGTTTTGAAACACTCTTTTTGTGGAATCTGCAAGTGGATATTTGGATAGCTTCGAGGATTTCGTTGGAAACGGGAATATCCTCATTTAAAATCTAGACGGAAGCATTCTCAGAACCTGCTTTGTGATGTTTGCATTCAACTCACAGAGCTGAACATTCCCGTTCATAGAGCAGGTTTGAAACACTCTTTCTGTACTATCTGGAAGTGGACATTTCGAGCGCTTTCAGGCCTATGGTGAAAAAGGAAACATCTTCAAATAAAAACTAGACAGAAGCATTCTCAGAAACTTATTTGTGATGTGTGTCCTCAACTCACAGAGTTCAACCTTTGTTTTGATACAGCAGTTTGGAAACACTCTTTTTGTAGAATCTACAAATGGATATTTGGAGACCTTTGAAAATTTCGTTGGACACGGGAATATCTTCATATAAAATCTAGACAAAAGCATTCTCAGAATCTTCTTTGTGATGTTTGCATTCAACTCATAGAGTTGAACATTCCCTTTCATACAGCAAGTTTGAAACACACTTTGTGGAGTATGTGGAAATGGACATTTCGAGCACTCTTAGGCCTAAGGTGAAAAGGGAAATATCTTCAAATAAAAACTAGTCAGCAGCATTCTCAGAAACCTCTTTGTGATGTGTGTACTCAACTAACAGAGTTGAACCTTCCTTTTCACAGAGCAGTTTGGAAACACTCTTTTTGTGGCATTTGCAAGTGGATATTTGGATAGCTTTGAGGATTTCGTTGGAAACGGGAATATTTTCATATAAAATCTAGACAGAAGCATTCTCAGAATCTTCTTTGTGATGTATGCCCTCAATTCACAGAGTTGAACCTTTGTTTGGATACAGCATTTTGGAAACATTCCTTTTGTAGAATCTGCAAGTTGATATTTGGATAGATTTGAGGATTTCGTTGGAAACGGGAATATCTACATATAAAATCTAGACAGAAGCATTCTCAGAAACCTCTTTGTAATGCTTGCATTCAACTCATAGGTTTCAACATTCCCTATCATAGAGCAGGTTTGAAACACTCTTTTTGTAGTATGTGGAAGTGGACATTTGGAGCGCTTTGAGGCCTACCGTGAAAAAGGAAATATCTTCCCATAAAAACTAGACAGAAGCATTCTCAGAAACTTGTTTCTGTCGTGTATTCAAATAACAGAGTTGAACCTTTCTTTTTACAGAGCAGCTTTGAAACACTCTTTTTGTGGAATCTGCAATTGGAAATTTCGATAGTTCTGAGGATTTCGTTGGAAACGGGATTACAAATAGAAAGTAGACAGCAGCATTCTCAGAAACTTCTTTGTGATGTTTGCATTCAACTCATAGAGTTGAACATTCCCATTCATACAGCAGGTTTGAGACACTCTTTGTATAGTATGTGGAAATGGATATTTGGAGCGCTTTGAGGCCTGTGGTGAAGAAGGAAATATCTTCCCAAAAAATCTAGACAAAAGCATTCTCGGAATCTTGTTTGCCATGTGTGTACTCAACTAACAGAGTTGAACCTATCTTTTGAGAGAGCAGATTTGAAACACTCTTTTTGTAGAATCTGTAAGTGGATATTTGGATAGCTTTGAGGATTTCGTTGGAAACGGGAATATCTTCCCATAAAATCTAGATGGAAGCATTCTCAGAACCTGCTTTGTGATATTTGCATTGAACTCACAGAGCTGAACATACCCTTTGATAGAGCAGGTTTGAAACACTCTTTCTGTACTATCTGGAAGTGGGCATTTTGAGCGCTTTCAGGCCTATGGTGAAAAAGGAAATATCTTCAAATAAAAACTAGACAGAAGCATTCTCAGAAACTTATTTGTGATGTGTGACCTCAACTCACAGAGTTCAACCTTTGTTTTGATACAGCAGTTTGGAGACACTCTTTTTGTAGAATCTACAAATGGATATTTGGAGATCTTTGAAAATTTCGTTGGACTTGGGAATATCTTCATATAAAATCTAGACAAAAGCATTCTCAGAATCTTCTTTGTGATGTTTGCATTGAACTCATAGAGTTGAGCATTCCCTTTCATACAGCACGTTAGAAACACACTTTGTGTAGTATGTGGAAATGGACATTTCGAGCACTCTTAGGCCTAAGGTGAAAAGGGAAATATCTTCAAATAAAAACTAGTCAGCAGCATTCTCAGAAACCTCTTGGTGAATGTGTGTACTCAACTAACAGAGTTGAACCTTCCTTTTCACAGAGCAGGTTTGAAACACTCTTTTTGTGGCATTTTCAAGTGGATATTTGGATAGCTTTGAGGATTTCGTTGGAAACGGGAATATTTTCATGTAAAATCTAGACCGAAGCATTCTCAGAATCTTCTTTGTGATGTTTGCATTCAACTCATAGAGTTGAACCTTTGTTTGGATACAGCATTTTGGAAACATTCCTTTTGTAGAATCTGCAAGTTGATATTTGGATAGCTTTGAGGATTTCGTTGGAAACGGGAATATCTACATATAAAATCTAGACAGAAGCATTCTCAGAAACCTCTTTGTAATGCTTGCATTCAACTCATAGGTTTCAACATTCCCTATCATAGAGCAGGTTTGAAACACTCTTTTTGTAGTATGTGGAAGTGGACATTTGGAGCGCTTTGAGGCCTACCGTGAAAAAGGAAATATCTTCCCATAAAAACTAGACAGAAGCATTCTCAGAAACTTGTTTGTGACGTGTGTATTCAACTAACAGAGTTGAACCTTTCTTTTTACAGAGCAGCTTTGAAACCCTGTTTCTGTGGAATCTGCAATTGGAAATTTCGATAGTTCTGAGGATTTCGTTGGAAACGGGATTACAAATAGAAAGTAGACAGCAGCATTCTCAGAAACTGCTTTGTGATGTTTGCATTCAAGTCACCTAGTTGAACATTCCCTTTCATAGAGCAGGTTTGAATCACTGTTTCTGTAGTATCTGGAAGTGGGTATTTCGAGCGCTTTCAGGCCTAAGGTGAGAAAGGAAATTGTCTTCAAATAAGAACTAGAAACAAGCATTCTCAGAAACTTATTTGTGATGTGTGTCCTCAACTAACAGAGATGAACCTTTGTTTTGATACAGCAGTTTGGAAACACTCTTTTTGTAGAATCTACAAGAGGATATTTTGAGAGCATTGAAAATTTCGTTGGAAGCGGGAAAACCTTCATATAAAATCTAGACAGCAGCATTCTCAGAAACTTCTTTGTGATGTTTGCATTCAACTCATAGAGTTGAACATTCCCATTCATACAGCAGGTTTGAGACACTCTTTGTATAGCATGTGGAAATGGATATTTGGAGCGCTTTGAGGCCTATGGTGAAGAAGGAATATCTTCCCAAAAAACTAGACGAAAGCATTCTCGCAATCTTGTTTGCCATGTGTGTACTCAACTAACAGAGTTGAACCTATCTTTTGACAGAGCAGTTTTGAAACACTCTTTTTGTGGAATCTGCAAGTGGATATTTGGATAGCTTCGAGGATTTCGTTGGAAACGGGAATATCCTCATTTAAAATCTAGACGGAAGCATTCTCAGAACCTGCTTTGTGATGTTTGCATTCAACTCACAGAGCTGAACATTCCCGTTCATAGAGCAGGTTTGAAACACTCTTTCTGTACTATCTGGAAGTGGACATTTCGAGCGCTTTCAGGCCTATGGTGAAAAAGGAAACATCTTCAAATAAAAACTAGACAGAAGCATTCTCAGAAACTTATTTGTGATGTGTGTCCTCAACTCACAGAGTTCAACCTTTGTTTTGATACAGCAGTTTGGAAACACTCTTTTTGTAGAATCTACAAATGGATATTTGGAGACCTTTGAAAATTTCGTTGGACACGGGAATATCTTCATATAAAATCTAGACAAAAGCATTCTCAGAATCTTCTTTGTGATGTTTGCATTCAACTCATAGAGTTGAACATTCCCTTTCATACAGCACGTTTGAAACACACTTTGTGGAGTATGTGGAAATGGACATTTCGAGCACTCTTAGGCCTAAGGTGAAAAGGGAAATATCTTCAAATAAAAACTAGTCAGCAGCATTCTCAGAAACCTCTTTGTGTTGTGTGTACTCAACTAACAGAGTTGAACCTTCCTTTTCACAGAGCAGTTTGGAAACACTCTTTTTGTGGCATTTGCAAGTGGATATTTGGATAGCTTTGAGGATTTCGTTGGAAACGGGAATATTTTCATATAAAATCTAGACAGAAGCATTCTCAGAATCTTCTTTGTGATGTATGCCCTCAATTCACAGAGTTGAACCTTTGTTTGGATACAGCATTTTGGAAACATTCCTTTTGCAGAATCTGCAAGTTGATATTTGGATAGCTTTGAGGATTTCGTTGGAAACGGGAATATCTACATATAAAATCTAGACAGAAGCATTCTCAGAAACCTCTTTGTAATGCTTGCATTCAACTCATAGGTTTCAACATTCCCTATCATAGAGCAGGTTTGAAACACTCTTTTTGTAGTATGTGGAAGTGGACATTTGGAGCGCTTTGAGGCCTACCGTGAAAAAGGAAATATCTTCCCATAAAAACTAGACAGAAGCATTCTCAGAAACTTGTTTGTGACGTGTGTATTCAACTAACAGAGTTGAACCTTTCTTTTTACAGAGCAGCTTTTAAACCCTGTTTCTGTGGAATCTGCAATTGGAAATTTCGATGGTTCTGAGGATTTCGTTGGAAACGGGATTACAAATAGAAAGTAGACAGCAGCATTCTCAGAAACTGCTTTGTGATGTTTGCATTCAAGTCACCTAGTTGAACATTCCCTTTCATAGAGCAGGTTTGAATCACTGTTTCTGTAGTATCTGGAAGTGGGTATTTCGAGCGCTTTCAGGCCTAAGGTGAGAAAGGAAATGTCTTCAAATAAGAACTAGACAGAAGCATTCTCAGAAACTTATTTGTGATGTGTGTCCTCAACTAACAGAGATGAACCTTTGTTTTGATACAGCAGTTTGGAAACACTCTTTTTGTAGAATCTACAAGAGGATATTTTGACAGCATTGAAAATTTCGTTGGAAGCGGGAAAACCTTCATATAAAATCTAGACAGCAGCATTCTCAGAAACTTCTTTGTGATGTTTGCATTCAACTCATAGAGTTGAACATTCCCATTCATACAGCAGGTTTGAGACACTCTTTGTATAGCATGTGGAAATGGATATTTGGAGCGCTTTGAGGCCTATGGTGAAGAAGGAAATATCTTCCCAAAAAAACTAGACGAAAGCATTCTCGGAATCTTGTTTGCCATGTGTGTACTCAACTAACAGAGTTGAACCTATCTTTTGACAGAGCAGTTTTGAAACACTCTTTTTGTGGAATCTGCAAGTGGATATTTGGATAGCTTCGAGGATTTCGTTGGAAACGGGAATATCCTCATTTAAAATCTAGACGGAAGCATTCTCAGAACCTGCTTTGTGATGTTTGCATTCAACTCACAGAGCTGAACATTCCCGTTCATAGAGCAGGTTTGAAACACTCTTTCTGTACTATCTGGAAGTGGACATTTCGAGCGCTTTCAGGCCTATGGTGAAAAAGGAAACATCTTCAAATAAAAACTAGACAGAAGCATTCTCAGAAACTTATTTGTGATGTGTGTCCTCAACTCACAGAGTTCAACCTTTGTTTTGATACAGCAGTTTGGAAACACTCTTTTTGTAGAATCTACAAATGGATATTTGGAGACCTTTGAAAATTTCGTTGGACACGGGAATATCTTCATATAAAATCTAGACAAAAGCATTCTCAGAATCTTCTTTGTGATGTTTGCATTCAACTCATAGAGTTGAACATTCCCTTTCATACAGCACGTTTGAAACACACTTTGTGGAGTATGTGGAAATGGACATTTCGAGCACTCTTAGGCCTAAGGTGAAAAGGGAAATATCTTCAAATAAAAACTAGTCAGCAGCATTCTCAGAAACCTCTTTGTGATGTGTGTACTCAACTAACAGAGTTGAACCTTCCTTTTCACAGAGCAGTTTGGAAACACTCTTTTTGTGACATTTGCAAGTGGATATTTGGATAGCTTTGAGGATTTCGTTGGAAACGGGAATATTTTCATATAAAATCTAGACAGAAGCATTCTCAGAATCTTCTTTGTGATGTATGCCCTCAATTCACAGAGTTGAACCTTTGTTTGGATACAGCATTTTGGAAACATTCCTTTTGTAGAATCTGCAAGTTGATATTTGGATAGCTTTGAGGATTTCGTTGGAAACGGGAATATCTACATATAAAATCTAGACAGAAGCATTCTCAGAAACCTCTTTGTAATGTTTGCATTCAACTCATAGGTTTCAACATTCCCTATCATAGAGCAAGTTTGAAACACTCTTTTTGTAGTATGTGGAAGTGGACATTTGGAGCGCTTTGAGGCCTACGGTGAAAAAGGAAATATCTTCCCATAAAAACTAGAGAGAAGCATTCTCAGAAACTTGTTTGTGACGTGTGTATTCAACTAACAGAGTTGAACCTTTCTTTTTACAGAGCAGCTTTGAAACCCTGTTTCTGTGGAATCTGCAATTGGAAATTTCGATAGTTCTGAGGATTTCGTTGGAAACGGGATTACAAATAGAAAGTAGACAGCAGCATTCTCAGAAACTGCTTTGTGATGTTTGCATTCAAGTCACATAGTTGAACATTCCCTTTCATAGAGCAGGTTTGAATCACTGTTTCTGTAGTATCTGGAAGTGGGTATTTCGAGCGCTTTCAGGCCTAAGGTGAGAAAGGAAATGTCTTCAAATAAGAACTAGACAGAAGCATTCTCAGAAACTTATTTGTGATGTGTGTCCTCAACTAACAGAGATGAACCTTTGTTTTGATACAGCAGTTTGGAAACACTCTTTTTGTAGAATCTACAAGAGGATATTTTGAGAGCATTGAAAATTTCGTTGGAAGCGGGAAAACCTTCATATAAAATCTAGACAGCAGCATTCTCAGAAACTTCTTTGTGATGTTTGCATTCAACTCATAGAGTTGAACATTCCCATTCATACAGCAGGTTTGAGACACTCTTTGTATAGCATGTGGAAATGGATATTTGGAGCGCTTTGAGGCCTATGGTGAAGAAGGAAATATCTTCCCAAAAAAACTAGACGAAAGCATTCTCGGAATCTTGTTTGCCATGTGTGTACTCAACTAACAGAGTTGAACCTATCTTTTGACAGAGCAGTTTTGAAACACTCTTTTTGTGGAATCTGCAAGTGGATATTTGGATAGCTTCGAGGATTTCGTTGGAAACGGGAATATCCTCATTTAAAATCCTAGACGGAAGCATTCTCAGAACCTGCTTTGTGATGTTTGCATTCAACTCACAGAGCTGAACATTCCCGTTCATAGAGCAGGTTTGAAACACTCTTTCTGTACTATCTGGAAGTGGACATTTCGAGCGCTTTCAGGCCTATGGTGAAAAAGGAAACATCTTCAAATAAAAACTAGACAGAAGCATTCTCAGAAACTTATTTGTGATGTGTGTCCTCAACTCACAGAGTTCAACCATTGTTTTGATACAGCAGTTTGGAAACACTCTTTTTGTAGAATCTACAAATGGATATTTGGAGACCTTTGAAAATTTCGTTGGACACGGGAATATCTTCATATAAAATCTAGACAAAAGCATTCTCAGAATCTTCTTTGTGATGTTTGCATTCAACTCATAGAGTTGAGCATTCCCTTTCATACAGCACGTTTGAAACACACTTTGTGGAGTATGTGGAAATGGACATTTCGAGCACTCTTAGGCCTAAGGTGAAAAGGGAAATATCTTCAAATAAAAACTAGTCAGCAGCATTCTCAGAAACCTCTTTGTGATGTGTGTACTCAACTAACAGAGTTGAACCTTCCTTTTCACAGAGCAGTTTGGAAACACTCTTTTTGTGGCATTTGCAAGTGGATATTTGGATAGCTTTGAGGATTTCGTTGGAAACGGGAATATTTTCATATAAAATCTAGACAGAAGCATTCTCAGAATCTTCTTTGTGATGTATGCCCTCAATTCACAGAGTTGAACCTTTGTTTGGATACAGCATTTTGGAAACATTCCTTTTGTAGTATCTGCAAGTTGATATTTGGATAGCTTTGAGGATTTCGTTGGAAACGGGAATATCTACATATAAAATCTAGACAGAAGCATTCTCAGAAACCTCTTTGTAATGTTTGCATTCAACTCATAGGTTTCAACATTCCCTATCATAGAGCAGGTTTGAAACACTCTTTTTGTAGTATGTGGAAGTGGACATTTGGAGCGCTTTGAGGCCTACGGTGAAAAAGGAAATATCTTCCCATAAAAACTAGACAGAAGCATTCTCAGAAACTTGTTTGTGACGTGTGTATTCAACTAACAGAGTTGAACCTTTCTTTTTACAGAGCAGCTTTGAAACCCTGTTTTTGTGGAATCTGCAATTGGAAATTTCGATAGTTCTGAGGATTTCGTTGGAAACGGGATTACAAATAGAAAGTAGACAGCAGCATTCTCAGAAACTGCTTTGTGATGTTTGCATTCAAGTCACATAGTTGAACATTCCCTTTCATAGAGCAGGTTTGAATCACTGTTTCTGTAGTATCTGGAAGTGGGTATTTCGAGCGCTTTCAGGCCTA